>NC_000002.12:153247193-153550224 GCF_000001405.40 Homo sapiens
TTTAACACCCCACTGACAATATTAGGAAGATCGACAAAACAGAAAATTAGCAAGCATATTCAGGACTTGAAATCAACTCTGGATCAAGTGGACCTAACAGACACCTACAGAATTCTCCACCCCAAATCAACAGAATATACATTCTTCTCAGTGCCATATGGCAGGTATTCTAATATCTACTACATAATTGGAAATAAAACATTCCTCAGCAAATGCAAAAGAATGGAAATCATAACTAACAGTCCCTCAGACCACAGTGCAATCAAATTAGAACTCAGGGTTAAGAAACTCACTCAAAACTGCACAACTACATGGAAATTCAAAGATATTTCCACTGAATGATAAATAATAAAATTAAGGCAGAAATCAAGAAGTGATAACAGGAAAATTTATAGCACTAAATGCCCACATCAGAAGCTAGAAAGATCTCAGTTGACACCCTAATATCACGATTAAAATAACTAGACAAGCAGGAGCAAACACATTCAAAAGCCAGCAGAATACAAGAAGTAACTAAGATCAGAGCAGAAATGAAGGAGATAGAGACACAAAAAACGCTTCAAAAAATCAGTGAATCCAGGAGGTGGTTTTTTGAAAATATTAACAAAATACATAGACCACTATCTAAACTAATAAAGAAGAAAAGAGAAGAATCGAATAGAGACAATAAAAATGATAAAGGGGATATCACCATTGATCCCATAGAAATACAAACTACCATCAGAAAATACGATAAACAGCCCTATGTAACCAAACTAAAAAATCTGGAAGAAATGGATAAATTCCTGGACACAAACACCCTCCCAGGACTAAACCAGGAAGAAGATGAGTGCCTGAATAGACCAATAACAAGTTCTGAAATTCAGGCAGTAATTGATAGCCTGCTAACTAAAAAGAGCCTAGAATGAGACAGATTCACAGCCGAATTCTACCGGAGGTACAAAGAGGAGCTGGTACCATTCCTTCTGAAACTATTCCAAACAAAAGAAAAAGAGGGACTCCTCACTAACTCATTTCATGAGGCCAGCATCATCTTGATACCAAAACATGGTGGAGACAGAACAAGAAAAGAAAATTTTAGGCCAACATCCCTGATGAAAATCGATGTGAAAATCCTCAATAAAATACTGACAAACCAAATCCAGCAGCACATCACAAAGCTTATCCACCACGATCAAGTCAGCTTCATCCCTGGGGTGCAAGGCTGGTTCAACATACACAAATTAATAAATATAATTTATCATATAAACAGAAAAAAGGGCAAAAACCGCTTGATTATTTTAATAGATGCAGAAAAGGCGTGAGATAAAATTCAACATCCTTTATGTTAAAAACCCTCGGCCGGGCGTGGTGGCTCAGCCTGTAATCCCAGCACTTTGGGAGGCTGAGGAGGGCAGATCACGAGGTCAGGAGATGGCGACCATCCTGGCTAACACGGTGAAACGCCATCTCTACTAAAAAAATACAAAAAAATTAGCTGGGCGTGGTGGTGGGTGCCTGTAGTCCCAGCTACTCAGGAGGCTGAGGCAGGATAATGGCGTGAACCCAGGAAGCGGAGCTTGCAGTGAGCGGAGATCGAGCCATTGCGCTCCAGCCTGGGCGACTGAGCGAGACTCTGTCTCGAAAAAAAAAAAAGAAAAAAAAGAAAAAAAAAACCCTCAATAAACTAGGTATTGAAGGAACATACCTCAAAATAAGAGCCATTTATTACAAACCCAGAACAAATATCATACAGAATGGGAAAAAGCTGGAAGCATTCCCCTTGAAAACTGGCACAAGACAAGAATGCTCTCTCTCAGCACTCCTATTCAACATAATATTGAAAGTTCTAGCCAGGGCAATCAGACAAGAGAAAGAAATAAATGGTATTCAAATAGAAAGAGAGAAAGTTAAATTATCTCTGTTTGCAGCTGACATAATTCCATATCTAGAAAACCCCATCATCTCAGCCCAAAAGCTTCTTAACCTGATAAGCAACATTAGCAAAGTTTCAGGATGCAAAATCAATGTGTAAAAATCACAAGTATTCCTATACACCAATAATAGACAGAGAGCCAAATCATGAGTGAACTCCCATTTACAATTAGTATAAAGAGAATAAAATACCAAGGAATACAACTTATAAGGGATGTGAAGGACCTCTTCAAGGAGAACTACAAATCACTGCTCAAAGAAATGAGAGAGGACACAAATCAATGGGAAAAAATTTCATGCTCATTGATAGAAAGAATCAATATTGTGAAAATAGCCATACTGCCCAAAGTAATTTACAGATTCAATGCTATTCCCATAAAGTTACCATTGACTTTCTTCACAGAATTAGAAAAAACTACTTTAAATTTCATATGGTACCAAAAAAGAGCCCATATAACCAAGACAATGTTAAGCAAAAAGAACAAAACTGGAGGCATCATACTACCTGACTTCAAACTATACTACAAGTCTACAGTAACCAAAACAGCAGGGTACTGATACCAAAACAGATATATAGACCAATGGAACAGAACAGAGACCTCAGAAATAACACCATACATCTACAACCACAAGATCTTCAACAAAAATGACAAAAACAAGCAATGAGGAAATTATTCCATATTTAATAAATCATGCTGGGGGAACTGGCTAGCCATACGCAGAAAACAGAAACTGAACTCCCTCCTTACACCTTATACAAAAATTAATTCATGTTGGATTAAAGACTTAAATGTGAAACCCAAAACCATAAAAAACCCTAGAAGAAAACCTAGGCAATACCATTCAGGATATAGGCACGATCTCATAGTCATAAGATTTCATGAATAAAACACAAAAAGCAACTGCAACAGAAGCTAAAATTGACAAATGGGATCTAATTAAGCTAAAGAGCTTCTGCACAGCGAAAGAAACTATCATCAGAGTGAACAGACAACCCACAGAATGGGAGAAAATTTTTGCAATCCATCCATCTGACAAAGGTCTAATATCCAGAATCTACAAGGAACTTAAACAAATTTACAAGAAAAAAACAACCCCATCAAAAAGTGGGCAAAGGATATGAACAGACACTTCCGAAAAGAAGACATTTATGTGGGCAACAAAATATGGAAAAAAGCTCATCATCGCTGGTCATTAGAGAAACGCAAATCAAAACCACAATGAGGTACCATCTCATGCCAGTTAGAATGGTGATTATTAAATGTCAAGAAACAACAGATGCTGGAGAGGATGTGGAGAAATAGGAATGCTTTTACATTGTTGGTGGGAGTGTAATTAGTTCAACTATTGTGGAAGACAGTATGGTGATTCCTCAAGGATCTAGAACCAGAAATACCATTTGATCCATCAGTTCTGTTACTGGGTATATACCCATAGGATTATAAATCATTCTACTATAAAGACACACGCACATGTATGTTTATTGCAGCACTATTTACAATAGCAATGACTTGGAACCAACCCAAATGCCCATCAGTGGCAGACTGGATAAAGAAAATGTGGCACATATACACCATGAAATATTATACAGCCACAAAAAAGAATGAGTTCATGTCCTTCCGGGGACATGGATGAAGCTGGAAGCCATCATTCTTAGCTAACTATCACAAGAGCAGAAAACCAAACACCGCATGTTCTCAAAAGTGGGAGTTGAACAATGAAAACGCATGGACATAGGGAGGGGGACATTACACACCAGGGCCTGTCATGGGGTGGGGGGCAAAGGGACAGAGAGGAATAGGACAAATACCTAATGCATGCAGGGCTTAAAACCTAGATGACAGATTGATGGGTGTAGCAAACAACCATGGCATATGTATACCTCTGTAACAAACCTGCACATTCTGCACATGTATCCCAACACTTAAAGTAAAATAAAAATAAATAATTTTTTTTATTACTCAATCTTTTAGATAGTAGGTCCTCTAAAGTCCAAAAATGACATTTGGCTTATTTAGTATAAAAATTTTACAGAATGCATTGCCAAATATGAAATGGTGTTTGGCTTTCTTTGGATTATATTTGTGTAAATGTATTACTGGTATATGTTACAAAATTATGGGAATCTCCTATAATTCTAATATGACTTAGTGTATGTTAACAGTAATAATTGTAATTGATATGTTAAATTATTGTGTGCTACAGAGGTAATTAATTTCCTTGTCAATTGTGTCTTTATCTGTGATTGCCCTAAGGCTTCTTTTCATCCATAGACAATTGTCGTCTTGTTTTGATCCTCTTTTAATGATGATTTTATTATCAGCTATGAAACTCTAACACTCTAACAGGTACTCTTTTTTTTTAAATTTATTATTATTATACTTTAAGTTTTAGAGTACATGTGCACAATGTGCAGGTAAGTTACGTATGTATACATGTGCCATGCTGGTGCGCTGCACCCACTGACTCGTCATCTCGCATTAGGTATATCTCCCAATGCCATCCCTCCCCCCTCCCCCCACCCCACCACAGTCCCCAGAGTGTGATGTTCCCCTTCCTGGGTCCATGTGTTCTCATTGTTCAGTTCCCACGTATGAGTGAGAATATGCGGTGTTTGGTTTTTTGTTCTTGCGATAGTTTACTGAGAGTGATGATTTCCAATTTCATCCATGTCCCTACAAAGGACATGAACTCATCATTTTTTATGGCTGCATAGTATTCCATGGTGTATATGTGCCACATTTTCTTAATCCAGTCTATCATTATTGGACATTTGGGTTGGTTCCAAGTCTTTGCTATTGTGAATAATGCCGCAATAAACATACGTGTGCCTGTGTCTTTATAGCAGCATGATTTATAGTCCTTTGGGTATATACCCAGTAAAGGGATGGCTGGGTCAAATGGTATTTCTAGTTCTAGATCCCTGAGGAATCACTACACTTACTTCCACAATGGTTGAACTAGTTTACAGTTCCACCAACAGTGTAAAAGTGTTCCTATTTCTCCACATCCTCTCCAGCACCTGTTGTTTCCTGACTTTTTAATGATTGCCATTCTAACTGGTGTGAGATGGTATCTCATTGTGGTTTTGATTTGCATTTCTCTGATGACCAGTGATGGTGAGCATTTTTTCATGTGTTTTTTGGCTGCATAAATGTCTTCTTTTGAGAAGTGTCTGTTCATGTCCTTCGCCCACTTTTTGATGGGGTTGTTTGCTTTTTTCTTGTAAATTTGTTTGAGTCCATTGTAGATTCTGGATATTAGCCCTTTGTCAGATGAGTAGGTTGTGAAAATTTTCTCCCATTTTGTAGGTTGCCTGTTCACTCTGATGGTAGTTTCTTTTGCTGTGCAGAAGCTCTTTAGTTTAATTAGATCCCATTTGTCAATTTTGGCTTTTGTTGCCATTGCTTTTGGTGTTTTGGACATGAAGTCCTTGCCCATGCCTATGTCCTGAATGGTATTGCCTAGGTTTTCTTCTAGGGTTTTTACGGTTTTAGGTCTAACCTGTAAGTCTTTAATCCATCTTGAATTAATTTTTGTATAATGTGTAAGGAAGGGATCCAGTTTCAGCTTTCTCCATATGGCTAGCCAGTTTTCTCAGCACCATTTACTAAATAGGGAATCCTTTCCCCACTTCTGGTTTTTGTCAGGTTTGTCAAAGATCTGATAGTTGTAGATATGTGGCATTATTTCTGAGGGCTCTGTTCTGTTACATTGGTCTGTATCTGCTTTGGTACCAGCACCACGCTGTTTTGGTTACTGTAGCCTTGTAGTATAGTTTGAAGTCAGGTAGCGTGATGCCTCCAGCTTTGTTCTTTTGGCTTAGGATTGACTTGGCGATGCAGGCTCTTTTTTGGTTCCATATGAACTTTAAAGTAGTTTTTTCCAATTCTGTGAAGAAAGTCATTGGTAGCTTGATGGTGATGGCATTGAATCTGTAAATTACCTTGGGCAGTATGGCCATTTTCATGATATTGATTCTTCCTACCCATGAGCATGGGATATTCTTCCATTTGTTTGTATCCTCTTATTTCCTTGAGCAGTGGTTTGTAGTTCTCCTTGAAGAGGTCCTTCACATCCCTTGTAAGTTGGATTCCTAGGTATTTTATTCTCTTTGAAGCAATTGTGAATGGGAGTTCACTCATGATTTGGCTCTCTGTTTGTCTGTTGTTGGTGTATTAGAATGCTTGTGATTTTTGTACATTGATTTTGTATCCTGAGACTTTGCTGAAGTTGCTTATCAGCTTAAGGAGATTTTGGGCTGAGACAATGGGGTTTTCTAGATATACAATCGTGTCATCTGCAAACAGGGACAATTTGACTTCCTCTTTTCCTAATTGAATACCCTTTATTTCCTTCTGCTGCCTAATTGCCCTGGCCAGAACTTCCAACACTATGTTGAATAGGAGTGGTGAGAGAGGGCATCCCTGTCTTGTGCCAGTTTTCAAAGGGAATGCTTCCAGTTTTTGCCCATTCAGTATGATATTGGCTGTGGGTCTGTCATAGATAGCTCTTATTATTTTGAAATACATCCCATCAATACCTAATTTATTGAGAGTTTTTAGCATGAAGGGTTGTTGAATTTTGTCAAAGGCCTTTTCTGCATCTATTGAGATAATCATGTGGTTTTTGTCTTTGGTTCTGTTTATATGCTGGATTACATTTATTGATTTGCGTATATTGAATCAGCCCTGCATCCCAGGGATGAAGCCCACTTGATCATGGTGGATAAGTTTTTGATGTGCTGCTGGATTCGGTTTGCCAGTATTTTATTGAGGATTTTTGCATCAATGTTCATCAAGGATATTGGTCTAAAATTGTCTTTTTTGGTTGTGTCTCTGCCCGGCTTTAGTATCAGGATGATGCTGGCCTCATAAAATGAGTTAGGACAGATTCCCTCTTTTTCTATTGATTGGAATAATTTCAGAAGGAATGGTACCAGTTCCTCCTTGTACCTCTGGTAGAATTCGGCTGTGAATCCATCTGGTCCTGGACTCTTTTTGGTTGGTAAGCTATTGATTATTGCCACAATTTCAGATCCTGTTATTGGTCTATTCAGAGATTCACCTTCTTCCTGGTTTAGTCTTGGGAGGGTGTATGTGTCAAGGAATTTATCCATTTCTTCTAGATTTTCTAGTTTATTTGCGTAGAGGTATTTGTAGTATTCTCTGATGGTAGTTTGTATTTCTGTGGGATCGGTGGTGATATCCCCTTTATCATTTTTTATTGCATCTGTTTGATTCTTCTCTCTTTTTTTCTTTATTAGTCTGGCTAACAGTCTGTCAATTTTGTAGATCCTTTCAAAAAACCAGCTCCTGGATTCATTAATTTTTTGAAGGGTTTTTTGTGTCTCTATTTCCTTCAGTTCTGCTCTGATTTTAGTTATTTCTTGCCTTCTGCTAGCTTTTGAATATGTTTGCCCTTGCTTTTCTAGTTCTTTTAATTGTGATGTTAGGGGGTCAATTTTGGATCTTTCCTGCTTTCTCTTGTGGGCATTTAGTGCTATAAATTTCCCTCCACACACTGCTTTGGATGTGTCCCAGAGATTCTGGTATGTTGTGTCTTTGTTCTCGTTGGTTTCAAAGAACATCTTTATTTCTGCCTTCATTTCGTTATGTACCCAGTAATCATTCAGGAGCAGGTTGTTCAGTTTCCATGTAGTTGAGTGGTTTTGAGTGAGATTCTTAATCCTGAGTTCTAGTTTGATTACACTGTGGTCTGAGAGACAGTTTGTTATAATTTCTGTTCTTTTACATTTGCTGAGGAGAGCTTTACTTCCAAGTATGCGGTCAATTTTGGAATAGGTGTGGTGTGGTACTGAAAAAAATGTATATTCTGTTGATTTTGGGTGGAGAGTTCTGTAGATGTCTATTAGGTCCACTTGGTGCAGAGCTGAGTTCAATTCCTGGGTATCCTTGTTAACTTTCTGTCTCGTTGATCTGTCTAATGTTGACAGCGGGGTGTGAAAGTCTCCCATTATTAATGTGTGGGAGGCTAAGTCTCTTTGTAGGTCACTCAGGACTTGCTTTATGAATCTGGGTGCTCCTGTATTGGGTGCATATATATTTAGGATAGTTAGCTCTTCTTGTTGAATTGATCCCTTTACCATTATGTAATGGCCTTCTTTGTCTCTTTTGATCTTTGTTGGTTTAAAGTCTGTTTTATCAGAGACTAGGATTGCAACCCCTGCCTTTTTTTGTTTTCCATTTGCTTGGTAGATCTTCCTCCATCCTTTTATTTTGAGCCTATGTGTGTCTCTGCACGTGAGATGGTTTTCCTGAATACAGCACACTGATGGATCTTGACTCTTTATCCAATTTGCCAGTCTGTGTCTTTTAATTGGAGCATTTAGTCCATTTACATTTAAAGTTAATATTGTTATGTGTGAATTTGATCCTGTCATTATGATGTTAGCTGGTTATTTTGCTCGTTAGTTGATGCAGTTTCTTCCTAGTCTCGATCATTACGTTTTGGCATGATTTTGCAGCGGCTGGTACCGGTTGTTCCTTTCCATGTTTAGCACTTCCTTCAGGAGCTCTTTTAGGGCAGGCCTGGTGGTGACAAAATCTCTCAGCATTTGCTTGTCTGTGAAGTATTTTATTTGTCCTTCACTTATGAAGCTTAGTTTGGCTGGATATGAAATTCTGGGTTGAAAATTCTTTTCTTTAAGAATGTTGAATATTGGCCCCCACTCTCTTCTGGCTGGTAGAGTTTCTGCTGAGAGATCAGCTGTTAGTCTGATGGGCTTCCCTTTGTGGGTAACTTCACCTTTCTCTCTGGCTGTCCTTAACATTTTTTCCTTCATTTCAACTTTGGTGAATCTGACAATTATGTGTCTTGGAGTTGCTCTTCTCGAGGAATATCTTTGTGGCGTTCTCTGTATTTCCTGAATCTGAATGTTGGCCTGCCTTGCTAGATTGGGGAAGTTCTCCTGCATAATATCCTGCAGAGTGTTTTCCAACTTGGTTCCATTCTCCCCATCACTTTCAGGTACACCAATCAGACGTAGATTTGGTCTTTTCACATAGTCCCATATTTCTTGGAGGCTTTGCTCGTTTCTTTTTATTCTTTTTTCTCTAAACTTCCCTTCTCGCTTCATTTCATTCATTTCATCTTCCATCGCTGATACCCTTTCTTCCAGTTGATCGCATCAGCTCCTGAGGCTTCTGCATTCTTCACGTAGTTCTCGAGCCTTGGTTTTCAGCTCCATCAGCTCCTTTAAGCACTTCTCTGTATCGGTTAGTCTAGTTATACATTCGTCTAAATTTTTTTCAAAGTTTTCAACTTCTTTGCCTTTGGTTTGAATGTTCTCCCGTAGCTCGGAGTAATTTGATCATCTGAAGCCTTCTTCTCTCAGCTCCTCAACGTCATTCTCCGTCCAGCTTTGTTCCGTTGCTGGTGAGGAACTGCGTTCCTTTGGAGGAGGAGAGGCGCTCTGCTTTTTAGAGTTTCCAGTTTTTCTGCTCTGTTTTTTCCCCAACTTTGTGGTTTTATCTACTTTTGGTCTTTGAGGATGGTGATGTACAGATGGGATTTTTGTGTGGATGTCCTGTTTGTTAGTTTTCCTTCTAACAGACATGCAGGTCTGTTGGAGTACCAGGCCGTGTGAGGTGTCAGTCTGCCCCTGCTGGGGGGTGCCTCCCAGTTAGGCTGCTCGGGGGTCAAGGGTCAGGGACCCCCTTGAGGAGGCAGTCTGCCTGTTCTCAGATCTCCAGCTGTGTGCTGGGAGAACCACTGCTCTCTTCAAAGCTGTCAGACAGGGACATTTAAGTCTGCAGAGGTTACTGTTGTCTTTTTGTTTGTCTGTGCCCTGCCCGCAGAGGTGGAGCCTGCAGAGGCAGGCAGGCCTCCTTGAGCTGTGGTGGGCTCCACCCAGTTCGAGCTTCCCGGCTACTTTGTTTACCTAATCAAGTCTGGGCAATGGCGGGCGCCCCTCCGCCAGCCTCGCTGCCGCCTTGCAATTTGATCTCAGACTGCTGTGCTAGCAATCAGTGAGACTCCCTGGGCGTAGGACCCTCCGAGCCAGGTGCCGGATATAATCTTGTGGTGCGCCGTTTTTTAAGCCCGTCGGAAAAGCGCAGTATTCGGGTGGGAGTGACCTGATTTTCCAGGTGCCGTCTGTCACCCCTTTGTTTGACTAGGAAAGGGAACTCCCTGACCCCTTGGGCTTCCCAAGTGAGGCAATGCCTCGCCCTGCTTCGGCTCGTGCACGGTGCGCGCACCCACTGACCTGCGCCCACTGTCTGGCACTCCCTAGTGAGATGAACCCGGTACCTCAGATGGAAATGCAGAAATCACCCGTCTTCTGCGTGGCTCACACTGGGAGCTGTAGACCTGAGCTGTTCCTATTCAGCCATCTTGGCTCCTCTCTAACAGGTACTCTTAAATGCAGGTTTCTGATTGATAATTCTGGAGATTGTGACATTAGAATAGAGAAACATTTTCAAATAGAAGACTGAAATAATCTTTTCTGACTTTTCCCTTAAAAGTTTGCTGATCCTTTTTTGTTTATCAGAGCCAAGAAATCTTTTTTGAGCTATTGGCAGCTTTTAACAATTGAGTAAAGTATACTGCTATGAATAAAATTTGAAGCATATTGTTTTCCTTTGACCTGCTTTCTCTAGAACTTGGAAACTATTTGTGAGTATTCTTAACTTATGGCAATATAGTTATTTGTACAAGTGCTATAAAATGTTTTCTTTTGCAATAGGACACAATTGGAGGAACTGGTTATTTAACCAAGGCTTTGACTGGAATGGTGTGCTTTCTTTAATGAATCAAACTTGACTTATACAGCCAATAAAAGACCCTTGGGAAAACTGGTCTCATACCATTCCCTGTACAAGGTTCCTGACCTGTGGTAAGTAAAGAATGTCACTTTCTAACAGGCCCAGGAGCCCCAAATTATCTTGGGACCTGAAGAAGAGAGGAATTTACCCAACTCATAGGTATTTGAGGGTACAAACCTATGGCTGGACTCAGCTTTAAAAAAAGTCTTAGAGATTCCTTATGGAACAGAGTTTCATCAAAGCCAATTTGGAAAGCCTATGTAAAAAATAATTATTCTTATTGGGCTTTATGCAAATAATCAGACAAAATATAGTAATACTAAAGTTTGTTTTGCAGACAAATCAGTCCTATCATGATTTACTTTTAAATCGAGCTCAGTGGCTTCCCCCCACCCACCAAGTTGTCCTTAAAAACTGTGATCCACAAATTATCTGGAGACTGATTTGAGTAATAGTAAAGCTCTGGTCTCCCAAAAACAAAACAAAACAAAACAAAACAAAACAAAACCCAACTTTTCATTTTGTTGATCTCTTGTATTTTTTAGTTTTAATATTATTTATTTCAGCTTTTATCTTTATTATAGTCTTTCTTCTACAAGTTTTGCATTTGGTTTGCTCTTCCTTTTGTAGTTCTTTAATATGCATCATTAGGTTGTTTATTCGAAGTTTTTCTATTGTTTTGATGTAGGTGCTTATTGCTATAAACTTTCCTCTTGGAACTGCTTTCAGTGCATCTCATAGGATTTAATATGTTTTTTTTCCATTTTTTCATTTATTTCAAGACATTTTAAACATTTTCTTTGTAATTTCTTCATTGACCCACTGGTCATTCAGGAGCATATTGTTTAATTTCCTTGTGTTTGTATAGTTTCCATATTTCGTCTTGTTATCAATTACCGGTTTTATTCCTTTCTTGTCAGAGAAGATACTTGATATAATTTCATTTTTTAAGACTTGTTTTGTTGCCTAACATATGGTCTATCCTTGAGAATAATGCATGTGCTGAGGAGAAGAATGTTTATTCTATAGCCATTAGATGAAATGTTCTGTAAATATTGATTAGGTCCGTTTGGTCTACAGTGCTGATATGTCTGATGTTTCTTTGTCGGTTCTCTTTCTGGATGATCTGTCCAATGCTGACAATGGAGTATTGAATTTTCCAGCTATTATTGTATTAGCTCTCATATTTGCTTTATATATCTGAGGCTCCAGTGTTGGGAGTATGTATATTTAAAATTGTTATGTCCTCTTGGTGAATTGACCCCCTTATCATTGTATAATGACTTTCTTTGCCTCTGTATAGCCTTTGTCTTGAAATCTATCTTGTCTGAAATAAGTATAGCTTCTCTGGCTCTTTTTTGTTTTCCATTGTCATAAAATATCTCTTTCCGTTCTTTTATTTTCATTTTATGTGTCTCTTTATAGGTGTAGTATGTTTCTTATAAGAACAGATCATTAGGTCTTGTATTTTTTTTTTAATCCATTCTGCCACTCTGTCTTTTGATTGAAAAGTTTGGTCAATTTTCATTCAATGTTATTATAAATAAGTAAAGACTTGTACTTGCTGATATGGTTTGGCTGTGTCCCCACCGAAATCTCATTTTAAATAGTAGCTCCCATAATCCCCATATGTCATGGGAGAGACCTAGTGGGAGGTAACTGAATCATGGGGGTGGGTTTTCTGTGATATTCTCATGATAGTGAATAAATCTTATGAGATCTATTGGTTTTATAAAATGCAGTTCCCCTGCACACGGTCTCTTCCCTGCTGCCATGTAAGACTTGCCTTTGTTCTTCCTTCACCTTCTGCCATGATAGTGAGGCCTCCCCAGCCATGTGGAAGTGTGAGTCCATTAAACCTCTTTTTCCTTATAAATTACCCAGTCTTGGATATTTCTTCATAGCAGTATGAAAATTATCTAACATACTTGCCACGTTGTTATTTTTTTAAATTATTTTGGTTATTTCTTGGTCTTCTCCTTCTTCTTTCTTTCCTTCCTGTCTTCCTCTTAGTGAAGGTGAATTTCTCAGATGGCATGCTTTAAATTCTTGATTTTTATGTTTTGTGTATCTGTTGTGTGTTTTTTTTAATTTGAGTTTACCCTGAGGCTTGCAAATAACATATTCCTTCATTTTAAACCAATAACAACTTAACACTATTTGCATAAGCAAACAAGCAATAATAAAACTAATACAACTCTAAGTTTAGCTTTTTCCCTCCACTTTTTAACTTTTTGTCACTTCTATTTATATCCTATTATATGGTCTATGTCTTGAAAAGTTACTGTAGTATTTTAGATATGTTCATATTTTAGTCTTTCTACTTAAGATATGAGTAGTTTACACAGCACAGTTATTGGGTTATAAAATTCTGCATACGTACCATTACCAGTGAATTTTATACCTTCACATGATTTCTTATTGCTCATTAATATCCCTTTTCTTGCAGATTGAAGAACTTCCTTTAGCATTTCTTGTAGGACAGGTCCAGTGTTGATAAAATCCCTCAGTTTTGTATGATTGGGAAAGTCTTTATTTCTCCTTTATGTTTGAAGAATATGTTCACTGGATATACTATTCTAGGATAAATTTTCTTTTCCTTCAGTGCATTAAATATGTCATGTCATGCTCTCCTGGCCTGTAAGGTTTTCACTGAGCAATCTGCTGCCTAACATATTGGAACTCCTTTGTGTGTTATTTGTTTGTTTTTCTCTTGCTTTTAGTATCATTTTTTATCCTCGACCTTTGGGAGTTTGATGTTTAAGTGTCTTGAGGTAGTCTTCTTTGGGTTGAATGTGCTTGGTGTTCTATAACCTTCTACTTGAATATTGATATCTGTCTCTAGATTTGAGAAGTTTTCTGTTATTATCTATTTAAATAATCTTTCTACCCTGAACTTTCTCTCTACCTCCTCTTCAAGACCAGTAGCTCTTGGATTTGCCCTTTTGAGGCTATTTTCTAAATCTTGTAGGTGAGCTTCATTCTTTTTTATTCTTTTTTCTTTTTGTCTCCCCTAGCTATGTATTTTCAAATAGCCTGTCTACAAGCTCACTAATTCTTTTTCTGCTTGATTAGTTCTGATGTTAAGAGACTCTGATGCATTCTTCAGTATATCAGTGCATTTTTCAAATTCAGAATTTCTGCTTCATTCTTTTTCATTATTTTTATTTCTTTGTGAAATTTATCTGATAGTATTCTGAATTCATCCCCTGTGTTATCTTGTATTTTATTGAGCTTCCCCCAAAGAGCTATTTTGAATTCTTTATCTGAAAGGTAATATATCTCTGTCTCTTTGAGATTGGACATTGGTATATTATTTAATTCATTGGGTGAGATTGTGCTTTCCTGTATTGTCTTGATGCTTATGGATGTTTGGCAGTGTCTGAGCATTAAAGAATTAGGTATTTATTGTAGTATTCTCAGTCTGGACTTGTTCTTACCTATCCTTTTCGAGGACATTCCAGGTATTTGGAGGGACTTGGGTATTGAGATCTAAATCTTGGTCATTGCAGCCATATTTGCTTAACCCTGTTGCTCTTGCAGACTTTTAGAGTACCAAGGGTAAGATCCAGGAGAACTCCCTGGATTACCAGGTAGAGACTCTTGTTTTCTTCCCTTACTTTCCCTCAAACAAATGGAGCCTCTTACTCTGTTCTGAAATGCCTGGATCTGGGGGAGAGGTGACATAAGCAAACCTGTGGCCACCACTACTTGGACTATGCTGGGTCAAATCTGAAGCCAGCGTACCACTGGGTTTTGCCCAAGAACTCCAGTGACCATTGCCTGGCTACTACCTATGTTCACTCAAGGCCCAAGGGCTCTACAATCAGTAGGCAGGCAATCTACCCAGGCTTGTGAGCTGGCCCCCAAGCCATGAGACAAAGTCCTTCCCACTCTTGCCTCCCTTTTCCTCAAGCAGAGGAGTCTCTTCCCGTGGCCACCACCACCCCAGGTTCACAGCAACTATTGCCTGGCTACCACCAATGTTTGCTCAATGACCAAGGGCTCTGCAGTCATCTTTTGGTGAATGACACAAACCCTGAGTCTCTTACATCAGGGGACTTGGCTCCCCTTTGGCTTAGGGACTGTACAAAAATGCCACCCAAGAGTCAAGGCCTAGAATTGGAAACCCCAGGAGCTTGCTTGGTCCTCTACTCTACTATGGCCAAGCTGGTATCTAAGATGCAAGACCGAGTCCCCTTTACTGTTCTCTCTTCTTTCCTCAAGCATAAGGGGTCTTTCCTTATAGCCACCACAGTTGATAATGTGCTGGATCATACCTGAAGCCAGCAGAACTCTCAGTCTCACTCAGGGCCCACAGTGTGTACTGCCTGGCTACCTTTGCTGATTGTTCAGGGACAAAGGCAGGTGCTAAATTCATCGGCAGTTGATGAATTCTTCCAGAACTCAGTCTTTCCATTCAATATAGCAGGTTTCCTTCTGACTGTGTTTAAAACTGTCCTCTGGGACTACAAAGAGGAGGTGGTACCATTTCTTCTGAAGCTATTCCTAACAACTCAAAAGGAGGGATTCCTCCCTAACTCATTTTATGAGGCCAGCATCATCCTGATACCAAAAACCTGGCAGAAATACAACAAAAAAGGAAAACTTTAGGCCAGTATCCGTGATTAACATCAATCCAAAAATCCTCAATAAAATACTGGCAAACTGAATCTAGCAGTACATCAAAAAGCTTATCCACCATGACCACCAAGTTGGCTTCATCCCTGGAATGCAAAGCTAGTTCAACATATCCAAATTAATAAACATAATTTATCACACAAACAGAAATAAAGGCAAAAACCACATGATTATTTTAATAGATGCAGAAAAGGCCAGAGATAAAGTTCAACATCCTTTATGTTAAAAACTCTCAATAAACTAGGTATTAAAAGAACATACCTCAAAATAATAAGAGCCATTTATTACAAACCCAGAACAAATATCATACAGAATGGGAAAAAGGTGGAAGCATTCCACTTGAAAACTGGCACAAGACAAGAATGCTCTCTCTCACCACTCCTATTCAACATAGTATTGGAAGTTCTGGCCAGGGCAATCAGACAAGAGAAAGAAATAAATGGTACTCAAATAGGAAGAGAGAAAGTTAAATTGTCTCTGTATAGATATAATCCTATATCTAGAAAACTCCATCATCTCAACCCCAAATCTTCTTAACCTGATAAGCAACATTAGCAAAGTCTCAGGGTACAAAATCAATGTGCAAAAGTCACAAGCATTCCTATACCCCAAAAACAGACAAGCAGAGAGGCAAATTATGAATGACCTCCCATTCACAATTGCTAGGAAAAGAATAAAATACCTAGGAATACAGCTAACAAGGGAAGTGAAGGACCTCTTCAAGGAGAACTACAAACCCTGCTCAAGGAAATCAGAGAAAACACAAACAAATGGAAAAAGTTTCCATGCTTATGGATAGGAAGAATCAATATAATAAAAATGGCCATACTGCCCAAAGTAATTTATAGATTCAGTGCAATTCCTGTTAAACTACCATTGACATTCTTCACAGAATTAGAAAAAAATCTATTTTAAAATGCATATGAAACCAAAAAATTACCCATATTGCTAAGAGAATCAATAGCAAAAAGAACAAAGCTAGAGGCATCATGCTACCTGACTTGAAACTATACTACAAGGTTACATAACCAAAGCAGCATGGTACTGGTACACATACAGACACATAGACAAATGGAACAGAATACAGAACTCAGAAATAAGGCCACACATCTACAATAATCTGCTCTTTGATGAGCCTGACAAAAACAAGCAGTGGGGAAATAATTCCCCATTTCATAAATGGTACTGAGAGAACTGGCTAGCCATAGGCAGAAAATTAAAACTGGACCCCTTCCTTACACCTTATACAAAAATTAATTCAAGATGGATTAAAGGCTTAAAGGTAAAAGCAAAAACTATAAAAATCCTAGAAGAAAATCTAGGCAATACCATTTAGGATGTAGGCACAATCAAAGATTTCATGATGAAAATGCCAAATGCAATTGCAAGAAAAGCAAAAATTGGCAGATGAGATCTAATTAAACTTAAGAGCTTCTGCACAGAAAACAAAGCTATCATCATAGTGAACAGACAACCCACAGAATGGGAGAAAATTTTTGCAATCTATCCATCTGACAGAGGTCTAATATCCAGAGTCTACAAGGAACTTAAATTTACAAGAGAAAATCAACCCCATTAAAAAGTGGGCATAGGAAATGAGCAGACCCTTCTGAAAAGAAGACATACAAGTGGACAACAAACATATGAAAAGCTCAACATCACTAATTGTTAGAGAAATGTAGATCAAAACCATAATGAGATACTACCTTATGCCAGTTTGAATGGCGACTATTAAAAAGTCAAGAAGCAATAGATGCTAGCGAGGCTGTGGAGAAATAGGAATGCTTTTACACTGTTGGTGGGAATGTAAATTAGTTCAACCATTGTAGAAGACAGTGTGGCAATTCCTCAAAGACCTAGAGACAGAAATATCATTTGACCCAGCAATCCCATTACTGGGTATATACCCAAAGGAATATAAATCATTCTGTTATAAAGATACATGCACTTGTATGCTCATTGTAACACTATTCACAATAGCAAAGACATGGAATCAACCAAAATGCCCATCAATGATAGACTGGATAAAAGAAATGTGGTACATATGAATCATGGAATACTATTCAGCCATAAAAAGAAATGACATTAGGTTTTTTGAAGGAACATGAATGAAGCTGGAAGCCATTATCCTCAGCAGACTAATGCAGGAGCTAATGCAGGAACCAAAAACCAAACACTGCTTGTACTCACTTATAAGTGGTAGCTGAACAGTGAGAACACATGGACACAGGGAGGGGAACAATACACAGTGGGGCCTGTTGTGGGGAGGCAGAGCATCAGGAAAAACAGCTAATGCATGCTGGGCTTAATACCTAGGTGATGGGTTGATAGGAGCAGCAAACCACCATGGCACATGTTTACCTATGTAACAAACCTGCACATTCTGCACATATACCCCAGAACTTAAAAAATAAATTAAAAATGTTCTCTTGGAGCTAGGGCCCAGGATGGGGTTGTCAGGATTCTGCCTTTTGCCTTATTTTACTGTGGCTGAGCTGATATCCAAGTTGGAAGACAAAGTCATTTTTTACTGTCCCTTCTCTTCTT
The DNA here is from genome assembly GCF_000001405.40 of Homo sapiens. Lineage (NCBI taxonomy): Eukaryota > Metazoa > Chordata > Mammalia > Primates > Hominidae > Homo > Homo sapiens. Next base: position 153,265,085 of record NC_000002.12, read on the forward strand.
CTGAAACAGAGGAAAGGAGTCCCTCCCAGAGCTGCAAGCTGTGCTGTTTGAGGTTGGGGAAGGGGTGATGCAAGCACTCCCTTGGCAACCCCAGCTGATGTCTCACTAGGTCATATTTCCCCCATGTCCATGGGCTCTGAGCCCAGCACAGATCAGGACTTCCCCAGAAGTTGCAGTTTTTGTGGCCTAGACAGCCTTTCATGTTTATTTAGGACCCTGGAGCCTTTATCTCATGGTCGTGTGGCTTGCAGGAACTCAGGTCTGATGGCTGGAATGGACAATTTGCCTCTGACTAGGGATGACCTAAATGTTCTCTCCATGGGAACCAGCTGAGTTCTGCCTGTGTTGCTTTCTACTGTGACAGGGCAGCACTGAGTTCCAATGCAAAGTTCCACAACCACTGCATTCTCTCTCCTCTAAGTGCATAGATTCTCTCTTTGTGCCACAAGACTGCTGCAGAAGGATGGGGGAGTGGTTGTATAGGTGATTCAAGACTGTCCTTTGTACCCTCTTTAGTGTCTATTTCTTTAATATGTTAAAACCAGGTATTGTGATCTCTAATCTGATTTTTGATTGTGATGAATGTGCTTTTTTGTGTGTAGATAAATGTTCATTTTGGTGTTCCTGTGCAGAAGATTATTACTAGAGGCTTCTATTCAGCTATTTTGCTCTACCTCCTCTTCCAGAACAAGGTTTCTTGAGATGGAATCTGTTTCTGATGAAGATGCTATGAGTATTGTTGAAATGACAACAAAGGATCTAGAATATTACATAAACTTAGTTGATAAAATGGCAGCAATATTTGAGAGGAGTGACTTCAATTTTGAAAGAAGATCTAGTGTGGGTAAAATGCTACTAAAAAGCATCACATACCCTCAGATGGTCGTTAACAATTTTTTTTCAATAAAGTATTCTTGAAGATATGTACTTATTTTAGACACAACACTATTGCACACTTAATAAACTGTAGTGTAAATGTAGCTTTTATATTCAGTGGGAAACCAAAAAATTTGTGTGACTTGTTCCATTGTATATTCACTTTATGGTTGTAGTCCGTTACCAAGCCCACAATATTTCCAAGGTATGTTTGTATATAAAATAGTGAAATACATGGCTTTGACATGATTGCCTAATACCTATTGGATAACAAAGGAACATAAATGCTTTAGTAAGATGTATCTGAAATTCTCAACTGGAATATTTATTCGTAGTATTTGACAACGTTAGAGAAAACGTGCTTCCCTATTGTATCAACTATGTTATTTCATTGAACCTTACAACTCTAAATGTAAATTCGTGTTGGAGTGAAAGGGTTTTTGTATTAGTTCATTTTCACACTGCTATAAGGATACTGCCTGAGACTGGGTAATTTAAAAAGAAAAAAAGGTTTAATTGACTCACAGTTTTACATGGCTGAAGAGGCCTCAGAAAACTTACAATCACAGTGGAAGGCAAAGGAGAAGCAAGTACCTTCTTCACAAGGTGGCAGGAGAGAGAGAGAGCTCGAGTGCAGGGGGAAAAGTGCCAATTTTAAGCCATCAGATCTCATGAGAACTCACTCACTATCATGAGAACATCATGGGGAAAACTGCCCCCATGATCCAATCACATTGAACTAGGTCCCTCCCTTGACACGTGGGGATTATGGGGATTACAATTGGAGATGAGATTTGGGTGGGGACACAGAGCCAAAGCATATCATTCACTGGTGGTCCCTCCCAAATCTCACATCATTTTTATGTTTCAAAACCAATTATGCCTTCCCAACAGTCCCCCACGTCTTAACTCATTCCAGCATTACCCCAAAAGTCCAAGTCCAAAGTCTCATCTAAGACAAGGCAAGTCCCTCTGCCTATAAGCCTGTAAAATCACATGCAAGTCAGTTACTTCCAAGATACAATGGGAGTGTGGGCATTGGGTAAGTGTTCCCATTCCAAATGGGAGAAATTGGCCAAAACAAAGGGGCCACAGGCCCCATGCAAGTTTGAAACCCAGTGGGGCAGTCATTAAATATTAAATCTTCAAAATCTGCTTTGACTCTGTGTGTCACATCCAGATTGCACTGGTTTAAGAGGTGGGCTCCCTTGACCTTGGGGAGCTTTGCACCTGTGGCTCTGTAAGGTACAGCCCCTGAAGCTGCTTTCACAGGCTGGTGGGTGTTGACTGACTGTGGCTTTTCCAGGGGACTCTGGAAAAGAGCAGGGACTCTGTGTGGGGGCTCCACCCCACATTTTCTCTCTGCATTGCCCTAGTAGAGGTTTTCTATAAGGGCTTGACCCCTGCAGCAGACTTCTTCCTGGACATACAGGTGTTTCCATACATCCTCTGAAATCTAGGTGGAGGTTTCCAAAGCTCAACTCTTGTCTTCTGTGTACCTGCAGGCCCAACACCACCTGGAAGCCACCAAGGATTGGGGCTTGCACCCTCTAAAGCAATAGCCCAAGCTGTATCTTGGCCCCTTTTAGCCATGGCTAGAGCTGGAGTGGCAGGAACCCAAGGCACCAAGTCCTGAGGCTGCACAGAGCAGTGGGGCCATGCTCCAGATACATTCAACAATTTTTCCCTCCTAGGTCTCTGGACTTGTGATGGGAGAGGATACTGTGAAGATCTCTGATATGCCCTGGAGGCATTTTCCCCATTGCCTTGGCTATTAACATTCAACTCCTTATTACTTGTGAAATTTCTGCAGCAGGCTTGAATTTCTCCTCAGAAAATGGGTTTTTCTTTTGTATTGCATCATCAGGCTGCAAATTTTCCAAGCTTTTAGACTTGCCTCTTTTTAAAACAAGAGTTCCAACTTCAGATAACCTCTCACTAGAACAGCATGTGGGAAAACACCCCAATGATTTAATTATCTCCACCTGGTCCCATCCTTGACATGTGGGGATTATTACAATTCAAGGTGAGATTTGGGTAGGGACACAGAGCCAAACCATCCACTGCTGGCCCTTCCCAAACCTCTTGTTCTCACATCAAAACATAATCATTCCCTTCCAACAGTCCCCAAAAGTCTTAACTCATTCCAGCATTACCCAAAAATCCAAGTCCAAAGTGTCATCTGAGACAAAGCAAGTTCCTTTTAGTTATAAGCCAGTAAAATCAAAAGCAAATTAGTTACTTCCTAGATACAATGGTGGGGGGTGGCACAGGCATTGAGTAAATACACCTCTTCCAAATGGGAGATATTGGCCAAATCAAAGGGGCTACAGGCCTCATGCATGTCAGATATCCATTAAGGCAGTCATTAAACCTTAAAATTCCAAAATGATCACCTGTGACTCCATGTCTCACATCCAGGCCACACTGATGCAACAGGTGAGCTCCCATGGCCTTGGAAAGCTCTGCCCCTGTGGCTTTGCAGGGTACAGCCCCCTTCCTGACTGCTTTCATGTGGGGCTGGCATTGAGTGCCTGAGGCCTTTCCAGGCACATGATGCAAGCTGTCAGTGGATCTACTATGCTGGGGTCTGGAGGAAAGTGGCCCTCTTTTTACAGTTCCACTAGAAAATGACCCAGTGGGGACCTGTATGGTGGCTCCAACCTCACATTTCATTTCTGCATTGCCCTGGTACAGGTTCTCTATGAGGGCTCCACCTCTGCAGCAGACTTCTGCCTGCATGTTCAGGTGTTTCCATACATCCTCTGAAATCTAGGTGGAAGTTCTCAAAGCTCAACTCTTGTCTTCTGTGCACCTGCAGGCCCAACAACACCTGGAAGCCACCAAGGCTTGGGGCTTGCACCCTTTGAAGCAATGGCTCAACCTGTATCCTGGCCCCTTTCAGCCATCACCTGAGCTGGAGTGGCTGGAACCCAAGGCACCAGTCCTGAGGCTGCACAGAGCAGCAGGACCGTAAGCTAGACACATGGAATCATTTATTCCTCCTAGGTCTCTGGACCTGTGATGGGAGGGACTGCCTTGAAGATCTCTGACATGCCATGAAGACATTATCTCCATTGTCTTGGAAATTTAACATTTGGCTCTTTGTTACTTATGCAAATTTCTACAGCTGGCTTGAATTTCTTTCCAGAAAATGGGTTTTTCTTTTCTACCTTGTGGTCAGGCTGCCAATTTTTAAAACTTTTTATGTTCTACTTTTTTAAAAAAAATAAAAGTTTCACTTTCAGATAATCTCTTTAGGAATGCATATGACTAAACACTTTCAGAATCAGCCAGGTAACCTCTTGAATGCTTTGCTGCTTAGAAATTTCTTCCTCCAGATACCCTAAATCATCTCTCTCAGATTCAAAGACAGATCTCTAGAGCAGAGGTGAAATGCCACCAGTCTCTTTGCTAAAGCATAGCATGAGTGACCTTTACTCCAGTTCCCAATAAATTCCTCATCTTCATCTGAGACCCCCTTAATCTGGACTTCATTGTCCATATAATTATCAACACTTTGGTCAAAACCATTCAACAAGTCTCTAGGAAAATCCAAACTTTCCCACATTTTCCTGTCTACTTCTGAGCCCTCCAATCTGTTTCAACCTCTGCTTGTTACCGTTTCCAAAGTTGCTTCCACATTTTCAGGTTATCTTTGTAATAGTACCCTACTCTGCCGGTACCAATTCTCTGTATTAGTTCGTTTTCACACTGCTATTAAGATACTACCTGAGACTGGGTAATTTATAAACAAAAGGAGTTTAATTGACACACTTCTTCATGGCTCAGGGGGCCTGAGGAAACTTAAAATCATGGTTGAAGGTGAAGGAGAAACAAGTACTTTCTTTACAAGGTGGCAGGAAAGAGAGAGAGGGAAGGGGGATGTGCCACCTTTAAACCATCAGATCTCTTGAGAACTCACTATCATAAGAACAGTATGGGGGAAACTCCCCATAATCCAATCACCTATCACGAAGTCACTCCCTTGACACATTGGGGATTACAATTCAAGATGAGATTTGGGTAGGGACACAGAGCCAAACCATATCAGTTCCTTATAAAAAGACTTAATCTAGTTAAACTGCAATGTGTGTCTCTGGAGAAGAACCTTATTTATGAATAAGATGGTTTCAAAAGATCCATTTTCTAAGATATAGAATTTAGTTTGGGACCAATTCCAACTCCTGATGCAGGTAAACTGTAGTAATCTGCAGACCTTCTTTCACTGGGTTTCCAAATAAATGTTCCAACATGCAATACACTTTCTGAGCATCTACTCTGTGTCAGACATTTTAGGTACTAAAGAGTTCATGGTGGGCAAGACAAAACTTCTGCTACATGTGTGAGCAGTCTAATGCTAGACACTAGACTGAGTTCTGTTAATGCACTAGCTCATTTAATTTAAGGATCAATTATTTGTCTTCGATGTCTGTTAGAGTTTTAGTAACTTGTCTTAAGATTCTGCAACCTGCAAGTGATAGAGGTCAGATTAAACATAGGCAGTTTGACTTCAGTGCCCAGACGCGCACCTCCTATATGTAGTGTCTATCTCTTAGTCAAAGCTTCTTTTGCTTTGGCTCCAAATGCAGTTTAAGCTGTAAAAACATACATTTGTGGCCAGACATAGTGACTCATGCCTGTAGTCTCAGCACTATGTGAGGCCGAGGTGGGCAGATTGCTTGAGCCCAGGAGTTTGAGACCAGCGTGAGAAATCCTGTCTCTATAAGAAATACAGAAATTAGCCAGGCAAGATGGCACACCCCTTGTAGACTGAGCTACTTGAGAGACTGAGGTGGGAGGATCACTTGAACTTGGGAGGTCGAGGCTGCAATGAACTGAGATGGTGCCACTGCACTCAGCCTAGGTGACAGGGTGAGACCCTGTCTCAATAAAAAACAAAAACAATAACATACATTGTGATTGTTAAAAAGTAGCACATCAAAAAGCTTATCTACCACAATCAAGTCAGCTTCATCCCTGGATGCAAGGCTGGTTCAACATATGCAACTCATAAAACGTAATCCATCACATAAACAGAACCAATGAAAAAAACCACATAATTATCTCAATAGATGTAGAAAAGGCCTTCAATAAAATTCAACACCCCTTCATGCCAAAAACTCTCTCAATAAACTAGGTATTGATGGAACATATCTCAAAATAGTAAGAGCTATTTATGACAAACCCACAGCAAATATCATACTGAATGGGCAAAAGCTGGAAGAATTCCCTTTGAAAACCAACACAAGACAAAGATGCCCTCTCTCAACACTCCTATTCAGCATAATATTGGAAGTTCTGGCTAGGGCAATCAGACAAGAGAAGGAAATAAAGGGTATTCAAACAGGAAGAGAGGGAGCCAAATTGTCTCTGTTTGCAGATGACATGACTGTATATTTAGAAAACCCCATCATCACAGCCTCAAATCTCCTTAAGCTGATAAGCAACTTCAGCAAAGTTTCAGGATACAAAATCAATGTGCAAAAATCACAAGCATTCCTATACACCAATAATAGGCAGAGAACCAAATCATGAGTGAACTCACATTCACAATTGCTACAAAGAGAATAAAATACGTAGGAATGCAACTTATAAGGGATGAGAAGGACCTCTTCAAGGAGAACTACAAACCACTGCTCAAGGAAATAGGAGACAACACAAACAAATGGAAAAACATTCTATGCTCATGGATAGGAAGAATCAATATCGTGAAAATGGCCATACTGCCCAAAGTAATTTATAGATTCAATGCTATCCCCATCAAGCTACCATTGACTTTCTTCACAGAATTAGAAAACACTACTTTAAATTTCATATGGAACCAAAAAAGAGTCTGTATAGCCAAGACAATCCTAAGCAAAAAGAACAAAGCTGGAGGCATTATGCTACCTGTCTTCAAACTATACTACAAGGCTACAGTAACCAAAACAGAATGGTACTGTTACCAAAACAGATACATAGACCAATGGAACAGAACAGAGGCCTCAGAAATTGCATCAAACATCTACAACCATCTGATCTTTGGCAAACATGATAAAAACAAGTAATGGGAAAATGATTCCCTATTTAATAAATGGTGCTGGGAAAACTGGCTAGCCATATGCAGAAAATTGAAACCGGACCCCTTTTCTACACCTTATACAAAAATTAAGATGGATTAAAGACTTAAACATAAGACCTAAAACCATAAAAACCCTAGAAGAAAACCTAGGCAATACCATTCAGGACATAGGTATGGGCAAGGACTTCATGACTAAAACACTAAAAGCAACGGCAACAGAAGCCAAAATAGACAAATGGGATCTAATTAAACTAAAATGCTTCTGCACAGCAAAAGAAACAATCATCAGAGTGAACAGGCAACCTACAGAATGGGAGAAAATTTTTGCAGTCTATCCAACTGACAAAGGGATAGTATCCAGAAGACAAAGAACTTAAACAAATTTACAAGAAAAAAAAAAACAACCCTATCAAAAAGTGGGTAAAGGATATGAACAGACACTTCTCAAAAGAAGACATTTATATGGCCAACAAACATATGAAAAAAAAGCTCATCATCACTGGTCATTAGGAGAAATGCAAATCAAAACCACAATGATATACCATCTCACACCAGTTAGAATGGAGGTCATTAAAAAGTCAGGAAACAACAGATGCTGGAGAGGATGTGCAGAAATAGGAAAGCTTTTACACTGTGGGTGGGAGTGTAAATTATTAGTTCAACCATTGTGGAAGAGAATGTGGCAATTTCTCAAGGATCTAGAACCAGAAATACCATTTGACCCCACAAGCCCATTACTGGGTATATACCTAAAGGATTATAAATCATTCTGCTCTAAAGACACATGCACAGGTACGTATATTGCAGCACTATTCACAATCGCAAAGACTTGGAATCAACCCAGATGCCCATCAATGATAGACTGGATAAAGAAAATGTGGCACATATACACCATGGAATACTATGCATCCATAAAAAGGGATGAGTTCATGTCCTTTGTAGGGACATGGATGAAGCTGCAATCCATGAATCTGTTCCTGTGTCAGTTTGCTGAGCATTCTCAGGAACAGAAAACCAAACACTGCATATTCTCACTCATAAAGGAGTTGAACAATGAGAACACATGGACACAGGGAGGGGAACAATACACACCGGGGCCTGTCAGGGGGTGAGGGGCTAGGGAGGGATAGCATTAGTAGAAATACCTAATGTAGATGATGGGTTGATGGGTGCAGCAAACCACCATGTCATGTGTATACCTATGTAACAAACCTGCACGTTCTGCACATGTATCACAGAACTTAAAGTATAATTTTTTTAAAAAAATGAACCACTGCAAAATGTAAAAGAAAAGAGGAATTAGGTTATATGAGGTGAAAGTAACCTATCTGCAGGCTAGTAGGCAAAAACTATGGTATTGAGTGCTGCTTCTTCCTACTTTGTCTAGAATCATCTTTATGGCTTTAATTAACCTGTCTTTAGAATAATGCTTCTTACCCGGTACTTATAACTTGACAAGATTACAGAGAATGGCCATTAATAATGGCTGGATTTGTTATCAGTTGAAATTGCCATTTATAGAAGGTGATATAATTGGTGGCCGTATATATTATAATTAATTGTGATAATTATGTCTGAAGAGTCATGATTTGTGAAGAAATATTTATATAGTGTTCAAGATAAACTTTGGGAATTAAAATGGCCTGACTCATGAAGGAATCACATGGAGGATTATATTAAGCTACTGCTGATTTTCAGTGAGTGTCACAGGAGGGTGAATTTTTCATTTAGTTGTCTCCACTGGAGAACAATCAAATGTCATATCTGTTGGCCAAATAATAGTCTATATGTGTAATTCTATATATTTTTCAGTTCCTTAACTTTGTAAAATATTTGAAACTAAAATTGATCCTTATTGTATTTCTAATTAGTTGCTGAAATAAATGTCAGAAATATTTTCCTTTTTAGCACAATTTATTTTTGATTGTTTATCATGGCAAGCATTCCAGGGAGACTCCTTAGGAATGTTCAGCAGAGGTGTCTCTGGTAATTGACTTAAATGTTGTTCAAATAATTTATAGCTTACTAAAGTTAGCCAGGCTTGGTGGCAGGTGCCTAATCCCAGCTACTCAGGAGGCTGAGGCAGGATAATCGCTGGAACCTGGGAGGCGGAGGTGGCAGTGAGCCGAGATGGTGCCATTGCACTCCAGCCTGGGCGACAAGAGCGAGACTTCATTAAAAAAAATAAAAAAAATTTATAGCTTTCCATCACTGCCTGCCTGCCGTTATTGGAGACTTGGCCTGCCAGGTGTTTATGTCAGTCTGTAAGGAACCGTACTGGGTCAGGGCCTATGTGGTTGTGGTAGTGAAAATCTAGAAATAGGTACCACCCTTCCTTTGTCCTTCTTGCTGTCTTGCACCACAACATTTTCTAGTAGCCAACTCCATTTTGCTTCGAACAGGCAGAATGGAACAGAGTGAGTAACTACAAAGGAGAAGGAGATACTTGTAGGAGATACTGCAGAGAACTGCAGAATAAAAGAGGAATATGGCTGAAAAGAGTCCCAGGCTGGGACCTCAGTACCTGAAGGCAGTTGACACTGCTGTATATGCTGACTTCTCTATATCTTGGAACTGTGAATACAAAATGACTCTTGGGTGAGTCAAAATTTCTGTATATAGCAGACTCTGCATTTGGAGTCTCTCCTTCTGTCAAAAGCTCCTGGTCTTCTATGTGGAAATGCATTCTTTTCTCTACTTTCCTTATTCTTTTATTTGAAGTCACGTTTTTAAATACTAATAGATCACCTACTTCCAGTTGTTTTCAATCTCTTAACTGACTTCCACATCTTGTTGCCTTCAGGGCAATTCATTTTGTAGAAGTAGGGTTCTTCTACAAAATGATGAAGATTGTCTCACAAATGTGGCCTACCTTTCTTTACACAGACTGTGGGTGCTACACTGTGGTCAGTTAGGCTTAGCATATTATGCTCTTCTTTCTATTATTTCTCATTTGATAAATTTTAATTTTTCAACTGCAAATAAGTCCTTTTGTCTTTTAAAAAATTGTAATATGTGAATACCTGTTAGATGTGAACAAGTCAAATAAAACAATATTTAAAAATTAACCTTTCCCTGTACTGCCCCACTTCCACAACCTCGATTCCTCAAAAATAACCCCTGTTAATAGTTTGGTGTATATTATTCAGATTTTTGTAATATAGAAACACACATTTAGTTTAGTGAGTTTTTTTAAATTTTCATAAATAATAACATAGTCAACTGTTTTCTCCAGCTCTTTAATTTTAACAATATGTTTTAGAGATTACTTTATGTCTGCTAGTTTGAAGGTGTCTCCTCCACAGTTCAGGTTATATTACGGTATTAAGAGGAAAGGTCTTAAAGGTGATTAGGCAATGAGAGCTACTTCCTTGTGAATGGGATTAGGTGCCCTTATAAAGAGGCTTGATGAAGGAAGTCCATCCCTTTTTGCCCTACTGCCTTTCACCATGAGAGGATGCACCAAGAAGGCCCTCACTAGATGCTAGTGCCTTGATCTTGGACTTCTCAGCCTCCAGAAGTATGATAAATAAATTTCTGTTCTTTATAAATTATCCAGTCTCTGTTATAGCAGCATAAAATGGACTGATAATGTCTCTCTCTTTCTCTCTCATGATTCAATATATACTGCTACTCGTTCTTTATAAGGGATGTAAAGCATTCCATAATAAGGCTATGTCATGATTTATTAATACCTTATTGGTAAGTGTTTGTTCTAGTTTTTTTGCCATTACAATAATATAGTCTTATGTACAATTGTCAGTATTTTTCCATGGCAGATTACAAGAAGTAGAGCTTAAGGTTGAAGAACAGAAAAAAAAAGTTGATTGATCCTGCCAGTTGAAATTGATACAATGAAATTATCAGTATATTAACTATATTCCCATGAAGAGTTTAGGAAAGTACCAATTGCCTGCATCACCACCAACACAGTTTATTATTTTTTAAACTTTGCCAAAATAATTGATAAATTATATTTCATTTTCATTTAAATTTGTGTTTCTGAACTATTAATGAAGTTAAGCATTTTTCATATTTGTAAAAGCCAGTTGCATTTTGTTCCTGTTTATTTCTGGTATTCTATTTTTGCATGAGACTGCTTTTCTTATGCATACTATCAAATGTATTATATAAAACATGGTTTAATATTGTGAATATTATTTCTTTGTCTATTACACACTATGCTTTTGTTTCAAGTTTTTCACTTGCGTTTATACTTTGTTTTGTATTATTTAGAAAAGGTTTATACTTTCATTTACTAAATTTATCAAAGTTCATTCTTTTATAATTCTTGGGTTTTTCATTTTATATAGAAAAAGCATCCTCTTGAAAAACACATAAATTCTATATTTACTTTTAATAACTTTAGCTTTAAACTTAGGCCTTTAATAAATTGATTTATTTTTTGTTTGGTATGAGGTAGTGATCTAATTATATGTTTTCTAGATGAATAGCCAATATTTCCATAAACTATATATTGAATCACTTCTCCTTTTGCAAATAATTTAAAATGCCCATTTTCATAAATAAAATGCCCATGTATAAACACAATATTTTATCATGTTTTCCTGTTCTGTTAATACAGTCCCAAATCTCTAACAGACACATTGCATATTTAATTTGTAGTTTCTGATGACTAAGTTGAGTACCTTCTCTTACATTTATTGGCCAATTGAATATCCCCCTCTTATATTGGATGTTTTGCCTATTTTTATCCGTCTTCTTTGTCTTCTTATTGATTAAAATGAATTATTTATATATTCTAGATTTAGGTTCTTTGTGAGCTATACATAGAGGAAATATTTTCTCTAACTATATAGCTTGGCTTCTAGTGCACATTTTTTAAAATAAAAAGAAGTCCTTAATCTTAATGAATTTCAAGTAATCAATATTTTCTTTGTTATTTCTTTTTGTATTCTGTTTAAGAAATTAGTTTGTTTTTCCAGACATGAATGTTCTTGGATTGTTTTTCTTCTATAACTTTAACATCATCTTGTTATTATTCAATAATAAGATAATTTTTAAAGTAATTTTAAGTTTTATTTTTGATTCAAGAGGTACATGTGCTGGTATGGTATATGGGTATATTGTGCGACGGTAATGCTTGGGATACAATTGATCCCGTCACCTAGTTAGTGAGCATAGTACCCCATAGGCAGATTTTCAATCCTTCCCCTTTCCTATATCCCCGCTCTAGTACTTGCCAGTGTCTATTACTCTCATTTTTATGGGCATGAGTACCCAATATCCAGTTTCCACTTATAAATGAGAACATGCTGTATTTGCTTTTCAGTTCCTGTGTTAATTTGCTTAGGATATCGGCCTCCAGTTTCATCTATTTTGTTGCAAAGTACATAATTTCATTCTCTTTTCCGGCTGTGTCGTATTCTGTGGTATATATGTATGACATTTTATTTACCCAGTGCACCATTGATAGATACCTAAATTGATTCCATGTCTTTGCTATTTTGAATAGTACTGCAGCAAACATACAAATGAATTTCTTTGGTAGAGTAATTTATTTACTTTTGTAATTCCATACCCAGTAATGGGGTGCTGGGTCAAATGGTCGTTCTGTTTTAAGGTCTTTGAGGAATATCTAAGCTGTTTTCCATGGTGGCTGAATTAATTTACATTCTCACCAACACTGTATAAGGATTTCCTTTTCTCAGCAGCCTCACCAGCATCTGTTGCTTTTTCAGTTTTTAATAATGGCCATTCTGACTCATGTGAGATGGTATCTCACATGACTAGTGATGTTCAGCAGTTTTTTCTTGTTTGCTGACTGCTTGTATGTCTTATTTTGAGAAGTATCTGTTCTTTGCCCATTTTTAAATGCAGTTTTTTGGTTTTTGCTTGTTGAATTGCTTGAGTTTCTTTTTTCTTTTGTTTTCTTTTCTTTCTTTTTTTTTTTTTTTTTGAGACAGAGTCTCACTCGGTCACCCAGGCTGGAGTGCAGTGTAGCGATCTCGGCTCACTGCAAGCTCTGCCTCCCAGGTTCATACCATTCTCCTGCCTCAGCCTCCCAAGTAGCTGAGACTACAGGCGCCCGCCACCACTCCCAGCTAATTTTTTGTATTTTTAATAGAGACAGGGTTATAGAGACCACCGTGTTAGCCAGGATGGTCTCAATCTCCTGACCTCGTGATCTGTCCGCCTCGGCCTCCCAAAGTGCTGGGATTACAGGCGTGAGCCACCGTGTTTAAGTTTCTTAAAGTTTCAGGGTATTAAACCTCTGTCAGATGCATAGTTTGCAAATATTTTCTGTCATTCTGTAGGTTGTCTGTTTACTCTGCTGATGATTTCTTTTGCTATCCACAAGCTGTTTAATTAGGCCCCATTTGTCCATTTTTGGTTTTGTTGCAATTGCTTTTGAGGACTTAGTTATAAATAAATTCTTTTCTAAGGCCAATGTCCAGAGTGGTGTTTCCCAGGTTTTCTTCAAGGATTCTTATAGTTTGAGTTCTTACATTTAAATCTTGCATCCATTTGCAGTGAATTTTCGTATATAGTGAAAGGCAGTCATCCAGTTTTATTCTTCTGCTTGTGGTCAGCCAGTTACCCCAGACTCATTTATTGAATAGGGATTCTTTTCTCCATTGCTTATTCTTGTCAACATTGTCAAAAATATGGCTATAGGTGTACAGCTATATTTCTGGGGTTTCTATTATGTTCCATGGGTCTATGTGTCTCTTTTTGTACAACAAAGTATCATGCTTTGTTGTTTACTGCAGCTTCCGTCACAGTTTGAAGTCAGGTAATGTGATGCCTCTGGCTTTGTTCTTTTTGCTTAGGAATGCTTTGACTATTCTGTCTCCTTTTTGGTCCCATACGAGTTTTAGAACAGTTTTTTTCTAGTTCTGTGAAAAATGACATTTGTAGTTTGATAGAAATAGTATTGAATCTGCAGGTTACTTTGGGCAATATGGCCATTTTAATGATAGTAATTCTTCTAATGTAGGAGCATGGAATGATTTACCATTTGCTTGAGTCATTTATGATTTCTTTCATTAGCATTTTGTAGTTTCCCTTGGAGAGATTGTGCACCACCTTGGTTAGAGGTAAACCTAGGTATTTTTTTGTGTGTGTGTGGCTATTGTGAATGGGGTTGCATTCTTGATTTGGCTCTCATCTTGAATGTTATTGGTGTATAGAAATGCTACTAATTTTTGTACACTGATTTTGTATCCTCCATCTTTACTAAATTTGTTTATCAGTTCCAGGAGCCTTTTAGAGGAGTCTTTGGGATTTCTAGGTATAGAACTATATCATCAGTGAAGAGAGGTAGTTCCACTCTCCTTTTTCTATTTGGATTCCTTTTATTTCCTCCTTTTACTTGACTGCTCTGGCTAGGACTTGGTCCTGTACTATATTGAATAAGATTGGTGAAAATGGGCATCCTTGTCTTGTTCCAGTTCTCAAAGGGAATGCTTTCAGGTTTTGCCTGTTTAGTATGAGGTTGCCTCTGGGTTTGTCATAGATGCTACTTATTATTTTGAGGTATGTTCCTTCGATGCCTAGTTTGCTGAGGGCTTTTATCATGAAGAAATGTTGGATTTTATTGAAAGATTTTTTTCTTGTCTATTGAGAGAATTGTGATTTTTGATTTTAATTCCATTTATGTGATGAATTTTATTTATGGATTTTCATCAGTTGAACCAACCTTGCTCCCCAAGAATATAGCCTAGTTGCTCCTGATCAGTTTATTTCTTGATGTGCTACTGGATTCAGTTTGCTAGCATTCTGTTGAGAATTTTTGCGTCTATGTTCATCCAGAATATTAGCCTGTAGTGTTTTTATTTTTTTTTTCATTGTGTCTTTGTCAGGCATTGGTATCAGGGTAATACTCGCGTCATAGAATGATTTAGGAAAGTGTCCTTCCTGCTCAAACTTTTGCAATAGTTTCAGGAAAATTAATATTTGCTCTTCTTTATACATCTGATAGAAGTTTGCTATGAATCCAGCCAGTCTGGGGCTTTTATTGGTTGGTAGACTTTTTATTACTGATTCAATATTGGAACTTGAAGTTGGTGTATATAGGATTTGAATTTATTCCTGATTCAGTCTTGAGGGGGTTGTGTGTTTCTAGGAATGTATCCATTTCCTCTAGGTTTTCTAGTTTGTGTGCATAGGTATGTACATAATAGTCTCTGAGGATCTTTTGTATTTCTGTGGGATTGGTTGTAATATCACCTTTGCTGTTTCTAATTGTGCTTATGTGGATCTCTCTTTTTTCCTTTGTTAATCTAGCTAGTGATTTATAGATTTTTCTTTAACCTTTCAAAAAACCAACTTTTTGGTCATTTATTCTTTGCATTGATTTTTGGGTCTCAAATTCATTTAGTTCTGGTCTGGTTTTAGTTATTTCTTTTCTTCTGCTAACTTTTGGGTTAGTTTGTTCTTGTTTTTCTAGTTACTCTAAGGGTACCATTAGGTGGTTAATTTGAAATCTTCCTGAATTTTTCAGGTAGCTGTTTAGCACTACAAACCTTCCTCTTGAAATTGCTTTTGCTATATCCCAGAGATTTTGGTATGTCATGTCTTCGTTTTTATTTCAAATAATTTTTTTTATTTCTGCCTTAATTTTGTTGTTCACCCAAAAGCCACTCATGAGTAAGCTGTTTAATTTTCATATAATTGTTTTACTTTCAGTGATTTATTTGGCAATGGTTTCTATTTTTATCTCACTGTGGACCAAAAATATGGTTGGTATGATTTTGATTTTTTTGAAGTTATTGAGGCTTGCTTTATAGCCAAACATGTGGTCACTCATAGAGTATGTTCCACATGCAGATGAGAAGAATTTATATTTGGTAGTTGATGGATGGAGTATTCTGCAGATGTCTATTAGGTCCAATTGGTCATGCGTGAAGTTTAAGTCCACAATTTCTTTGTTACTTTTCTGTCTGGATGACTGGCGCAATGCTGTAAGTGGATTGTTGAAGTCCCCCACTATTATTGTGTGGCTAAGTCTTTTCATAGGACTAGAAGTACTCATTTTATGGATCTGGGTGCTCTAATGTTGGGTGCCTATGCATTTAGAATAGCTAGGTTTTCTTGTTTAATTGAACCCTTTGTCACTATATTATGTCTTTCTTTGTCCTTTTATACTGTTGTTGGTTTAAAGTCTGTTGTATCTGATATAAGAATAGTGACTCCTGGTATTTTTCTTTTCATTCTTTCTTTTTATTTTCTGTTTGCATGATGGATCTTTCTCCAGTCCTTTACTTTGTTCCTGTAAGTGTTGTTACATGTAAGATGAGTCTCTTAAAGATAGCAGGTGAATGAGCCTTGCGTTTTTTTTTTTAATCCAACTTGAAGTTCTGTGCCTTTTCAGTGATGGCATTTATACCATTTATATTTAGTATTGGTATGAGATGTTTCCATACTGATTATCAGGAAGCTGTTAGCTGGTTGCTTTGTAGTTTCAAATGTGTGGCTGCTCTATAATGTCTTGGGCTATGAACTAAGTGTGTTTATGTGGCAGTAGGTATTGTTCTTTCATTTTCAGGTTTAGAATTCTCTTAAGCTGGTAAGAGAATTCTTGTAAGGCTGGTCTGCTGAAAACAAATTCCCTTAGTTCTTGCAAATCTGGAAAAGATTTTATTTCTCCTTCACTTATGAAGCTTAATCTAGTGAGATATAAAATTCTTAGTTGAAATTTTTTTTTCTTTAAAAATGCGGAAAATATGTCCCCAATCTTTCCTGACTTGTAAGGTTTCTGCTGAGAGTCTACTGTTAGCCTGATGGAGTTCCCTTTGTATGTGATCTGACATTTTTCTCTAGCTGCTTTTAAGGCTTTTTTTTTTTTTCAGGTTTGACTTTGGACAGTCTGGTGACTATATGTTTTGGTGATCTTCATTTCATATAATATCACACAGGTTAGGTGTTATCTGGATATCTTATATTTGGATGTTTACCTGTCTAGCAAGATTAGAAAAATTTTCTTGATTTATTCCTTCAAATGTGTTTTCTAAGCCATTTACTTTGTTTCCTTCTCTCTCATGAATGGCAGTGATTCCTAGGTTCAGTCACTTTACATAATCCTATATTTCTCAAATAGTTTCTTCATTCTTTGAAAAAAAATCTTAAAAAATTTTTTTTTCTGACTGGGTTTAAAATTCTTTCTTCTGCATGGTTCAGTCTATTGATAAAGGTTTCAAATGTATTTTTGAAATTTCTTAAGTGAGTTTTTCAATTCCAAATGCTCTGATTTCTTTTTAAGATATTTATCTCTTTCTTAATTTCCTGAATTGTTTTAGAAGTTTCTTTGTGTTGATTTTCAATGTTGTCTTGAAATCATTGTACTTCCTTGCAGTCCATGCTTTGCTTCCTTTATCTGTCATTTCTGAGTTTCTGTTTTGATTAGGGATAATTGCTGGATAGCTAGTGTGATCCTTTTTAAGGATCACAGGGTCTCACTCTGTCACCCAGGTTGGAGTGCAGTGGTGTGGTCACAGCTCACTGCCACCTTGACCTCCCCAGACTCAGGTGATCTTCCCACTTCAGCCTCCCAACTACCTGGGACTATGGGTGCATACCATCACACCTGGCTAATTTTTATATTTTTTTGTAGGGATAGGGTTTCACCATGTTGCCTAGGCTGGTCTCAAACTCCTGGGCTCAAGCAGTTTGCCTACCTCAGCCTCCCAAACTGTTAGAATTACAGGTATGAGCCACTGCACCCAGTCTCTAGACATTTCATGGTGTCAGATTTTTGCATTGGCTTTTTTCTCATCTGGAGACACTGGAACTTCTAGTTTTTGTAATTATTTTCATACAGTAGGGTTTTTTCTTTTTCTGTAGTATTACTGTTTCTTTTTCTTTTTAATTCCCTTTTATTCCCTTCTTAGATGGTGTGACTATAGAGGATGTTGGGCAGAATCTTTTGGCCTTGCTTCTGTAGCCCTGTGCACTTCTGTCAATAGGTTTTGTATTGGGCTGTATGGTCCAACCTATAAGCCAGTAGATGACACTTATGGGTAAGTAACAGCTGCAGCCAATGCAGGTGGACATATACTCCATCATTGTTTATTAAGACCTCTCTGTTTCCTCAGGCAATGGGGTGATCCATGGAGGGCTCAGTGGTCTGAGCTCCATGCTCAGCCCCAGGGAGACAAGAAAAAGATGGGAGGGGCCAGACAGGGCTGGCCCATCTACAGTTTCCCTGATGGCGGGCACTAGTACTAAGGGAGAATTCTGTAGGCAGCCACTAAGTGCCCAGAGCTGTGCCTAGTCATGGAGCTGAGAAATCTCCTCTGCCCAAGCTCTTTGCATGGGGAGGGGGACAGCCTAAATGCCTAATTCATGAGAGTGAATATACCAGATACCTGGAGATCTGCCTTAATGTTGAGTGCAGAGGACCCTGCTGCACTATAATATGCACAGAAAGGATGGGTCAGCTTAAGATGCTAATCTAGGTGAATGGGATATGCCTGGTCATGTGTTGAAGAGCCCCTCCACTCCCTTAACCATGATCTCTTCACTGGAAGAGTGGGTTTGCTCAGGCTGCTGATTCAAGTTAGTGGGTGCTCCAAATGCCCAGAGATATCTGCTAGGGCATGGAGTGGAGAGGGCCCCACTTCACCACGATCTCTTCACAGGTAGGGTGGGTCAGCTCCGGTTGCTTAACCAGGCAAGCAGATGTTCCACATGCCTGGAGATCTGCTCGGGCATGGATCAGAGAGTGTCTTACTTTACCACAGTCTCTGCATAGGAAGGGTAAGGCCATTCTGGCTGCTGATCAGGGAAAGTGGGTGCTCTGAATACTTTGAAGTGTGCCTGGGTGTGAAGTGGAGAGACCCCCTGGAAACCCCCTGCTGCAGCAGGATATCTGCACAGGCAGGGTGGGTCAGCTCAGTCTACTGATCCATGCAAATTGGTGCTCCAAATGGCTGGAGACCTGCCTGGGTGTGGAGCTGAGAGGGCTCCGAAGCACTACAATTTAAGCTCAGGAAGGATGGGGTGGCTGCGAATGCTCTAAATACCTGCAGATCTGCCTGGGCGTGGAGCTGAGAGTGCTCTGATGCACGATGATCTATGCCCAGGGATGTTAGGGCAGCTCAGACTGCTGATTCAGACCAGTAGTGCTCTGAATGCCTGGAGTTTTGCCTGGGGGTGAAATGAAGAGAGCCCTACTGCACCACAATCTCAGGGGAACTGGCTGGGGCACCCAGCAATACACACACACAGACCTGTTCTGTATTGCCGAGCTGGCCCTGGCTGTAGCTCTTGTTGCTCAGGAGAAACCGCAGATCTCTTCCTGCTACAGGCCTGCAATTTGGGAAAGCACAATTTCAGTACCTACTGTTGAGGCACTTTCCACAATTCTGGCTGTGGTTCCCCCTGCCCCACTCCAGAGCAGGCACCTCAACCTCTGGACTGAGACTAAAATGCCTGCATGACCATGTTGCTGGGTCACTAAAGAATGACTGTCTTTATATGCACTCAGATTAAAAATGGAATCCTGATCTTGGTCCTCATTCTGGGAAAATTCCTGAAGCTTTTCCTGGTGTCTTTTATCCCTCTCAGTATTTCTAAGCCTCTTTCCAAGTTAACTTCAGGACTTGGGGAAACAGTGTTCTCCATCAGCCTGGGTTGCTTGGATCCCCAGTGGAAAGGTGAGTCACAGAAGGAGACTCTCTGCCTCTCTCATATCCGGGGGAATCACTCACTTTTATCAGCTGGGTGCTTTCATGATGGGTGTTTGCCTACATTCTCCTTTCTGGGACCTGTGGTGTCCTTCGTGAGTCCATGAATAGATTCCTGCTTTCCTTCTTAAAGCTCACAGAACTGATCTATTTCCAAGTAGCTGAGGCATACTAAAAGCTCCTAATCTGCCATCTTGGGCAAAAAAGGGTCCACTGTCCAATAATAAACACACACTTTTTGTGTTCTTATACATACATATGTACATACACACATGCATATGTGCATTCATGTACATGTATGTTGTATTAGTCTGTTCTCACGCTGCTATGAAGAAATGCCCAAGACTGGGTAATTTATTTAAAAAAAAAAAAAAAAGAGGTTTAATTGACTCACAGTTCCACATGGCTGGGGAGACCTTAGGAAACTTATAATTACGGCAGAGGCATCTCTTCACAGGGCGGCAGGAGAGAATGAATGCAAGCAGGGGAAATGCCGGACACTTATAAAACCATCAGATCTCATGAGACTCACTCATTATCATGAGAACAGCATGGGGGAAACTGCCCCCATGGTCCAATTACCTCTACCTGGTCCCACCCTTGATTTGTGGGGATAATTACAATCAAGGTGAGAGTTGGGTAGGGATACAGAGCTAAACCATATCATAGGTATACATATACATACATACATTTACATCCTCTTCCTTATCATTACATCTTCTTTACCTCTCCCTTTCATGTTCCCTCTGATTTTCTCACACTAGGGAAAATGGAATTACGTAGAAGGAAATTGCGAATGTTCAGTGTTATCAAAACTGCCACCTAAATACTAAATATAGACATTAACAGGTCAGAGTAGAAGAAAAGGATAATATTTACACGACAATATGTAAGATGTATTTTATAAATTGACATTTATTTGTAAGAAAAGGCTCTTATTAATTTAGTAAGTGATGGTTATACTATTAACAGTATAGAATATGTACTGCAAATTGAGAGTCCATATCATACTAAATGTCAAAACAATAGAGGCAATGCTATTAAAGATGAGAGTTATTGAAGAACATCAGTAATAATATTATTTATAATTTTTAAAAGCACTAGCCAATGCAATTAAACAAGAAGAAAAATAGGTATGAATACCAGAAAAGGTAAAATTATCATCAGTATTAAGTGATATGTTTAATTATTAGCCAGTGTAATTAGTCAAGAAAAACATGAAAGCTAGAAAAAAGGAGTGAAACTTAACATTATTATTAAACGTTATGATTATACCTATGAAACACAAGAGAATAAATTCAAGAATTGTTGCAAATGGTAGGATGTTTATGTGGCAATTAAAAATTATGGGAATATAGAATAACTAATAGCAGAAAGAGATGGTCAGATTGGCTTATCAAAACATTCAGAACCTATACAAAAAAACATTAAAAGTACTAGGAAATGATGTAAAAGAAATCTGCCTTGAATTAATAGAAGTATGTAACCCATTCAACTGTATAAGGGATTATATTGTAGATGTGGCAATTTTCCCTAAATCATTAATGATAGAATTAGTAACATTTATAGTACTTACCAGTAGCCAGGCATGGAGTTAAGTTTATACTTGTTTTTGTTTCTCCATTATCTTTACAATTCTCTTATGAAAAAGTGAAAGTATTATGACTATTTATATAGATGAGACAACAATCACAGAAAATTTAGCTTTCTCATGTTCACACAGCTATTAATAACACAGAGAACCTAAATATGCCATAGTCTCTCCAAGTTGTCAGATTTTATTTTGTATTCAACAATAATTCATTTAGAATATAAGATTAGTTAAGAAAAGTTAGGAGGAGTAATGTGAACAATTAAATTTGTTTGATATATATTTAAATGCTAACATATCTTGCATAGGTCTAGAAATAAAAAGGCAACTTAATGAAACAGAATGGAGAGATAAAAAATAGACACCAGTGCATGCACTTCAGAATATGAACAATTTCAAAATAACGGGAAAAGCTTCAAAAATCGTGTTATAATGATTGGGTATGTCAACTAAATTGTATATCATTACACCAAATGGAATCACATGCAAATGACACTTATGTGTAAAGAGTGAAAGAAAGTCATGAAAATAAATGTTTATGTGAATTTATAAATAATCTTGAGTGGGAAAAGTCTTTCTATGAATGAACCAGTATCCAGAATTTACAAATAAAGACTGATAAAATTTGTTTTAAAATGATTTAAAGCTGCTAAGAAAAAAAAACCTTATAAACACAATCAAAATTCAGAATACGAGCAAACATACAACAATTTAAAAGGTAAAGTTTATTTTTCAACACTTTACAAAGAAAATTTCCTTATTAAAAAGCACTCACAAATTAAAAAGAAAATGAGCCAATGGTAGTTCGCAGAAAAAGATTAATGAAGGCCAATAAAATATTTTCAACTTCACAAATAATGAGGTGAGATTCTGAAACAGAAGTTCCCTAATCTCACTCGCAGGCACGCGATGGGGGTGTGGCTCATTTCTTTGGTGCTCCGCTGCGCATACCCCTAGGGGAGCATGCAGACGGGCAAGTCCTGAGCATCGCCGACCCCACAGCACCTTCGAGGGTTGAGTGTTTACAAGCCCCCGAAACCCCGGTGGGCGTGTGTTACCATGCCACTCTCAGTGTTGCCCTCTGCAGGCCGCTTGTGTTAGTCAGCTCAGTTAGACCCTCTCTGCCTTGTCGCAAGGACAGAGGGCTTTCTGTATCCTGGGTTCTTTATGTAGTGTCCAGAAAAATTGGATCACACGTGGGGTTGGAGAATGAGTGCAAGGTTTTTTAATGAGTGGTGGAAGTAGCTCTCAGCAGATGAATGGTGAGCCGGAAGAGGAATGGAGTGGGAAGGTGGCCTTCCCCGGGGTTTGGGCCATTCAGCTGCTGGCGGGGCTCTTCTCCGACCACCCCCAGCGGAATTCCACATAGTCCTGCTGTCGATGACCTGCATTTGCTGGTGCCTGTCGGTGTGCTCTTCTGCTCTTCTTGACCTCCAACTGCTTGTGTGTTCTTCGGCTGGCATGTTTCTCTCAACATCCAGCCACTTGTGTTTGTGCCCGCTATGGTCTCTGTGTTTCTGTAAGCACAGGATGGGGGCATGGCAGGCCAGAGTTATCTTGGACATCGCAACATTTGGGTGTGAAAACACAACTGTCTGTCCTCACCTAGGTCCGTGGGCACAGGCCCGAGGGTGGAGCCCTCACCAGGGACCCCACCTTTCTATACCCAGCACTTCCCTGCCCCCCTCCCATATCAATTCCGTTTGTCTCTCCTCAAATTGTCAGATATTAAACAGTATTGGAGAGGTTGTGAGTGAATGGACACTCACAGGCTGTTGGAGGGATGGGCTACTTTCTGGGGCATAGTTGGTAAAACCCATCACAGTTAAAAATGACGTGTCTGAGCCCTTCTACTTCTAGAATGGATCCTAGAGATAGAGCCTCACGCATGTGCAAAGATTTGCTTGTTGCAGTAATGTTTGTAATAAGTCAAAATAGTTTAAAAATGATGGAAACTGAATTATAGAGTAGTACACAGATATTATAAAGAATGTGCCCTATATGTGTGTGTCTAAACACACACATATATGGATATATGGATGTATATACCTTTTAATTTATGTGCATCGGTAGTCTTGACTTATCCATTGTTTTGCTTTCCACTGCTTTAGATACCTGTGGTAAACCAAGGTCTGAAAATAAATTTAAAATTCTGGAAATAAACAATTTATAAGTTTTAAATTGGACACCATTCTGAGTAGCCTGATGAAATCTCACATTGTCCCATTCCGTCCTGTCTGGGACATGAATCAACCCTTTGCTGAGCCTGTTCGCTCTGTATATGTCTCTGCTGTTAGTCACTTAGTAGCCATCTTGTTATGAGATCAACTGTCATACTATTGCAGTGCTTGTGTGTAAGTCACCCTTAATTTACCAAATAACGGCTCCAAAGAGCAATAGCAGTGATGTTGGCATGTTGTTATAATTGTTCTATTTTATTATTAGTTATTGTTGTTCATCCTACTCTGCCTGATTCATAAAGTTTATCATAGGTATGCATGTATAGAAAAAAACTTAGTAAATGGAGGGTTCAGTACTGTCTGCGGTTTCAGGCATTCATAAGGGATCTTGAAATGTATCACCCATGGATAAGAAGGGGCTACTGTACTTAAATTTATATACTTATAATCTGTTTTATATAAATAGCTACATATAAAATATTAGTATCTATATACTTGAATGTTATACAAATTCTTAGAAAGAATGAAGATTCTAAGATTACAGTTGTAACCAGCAGTAATAATTTCTGGGGTATTGCTGAAGCTTTGCGTCCCATGACTTGTAGTTTTATTCCTATTACTCTCTGGATTTCTTTTTACCATAAGTGTATGTTCATTTTTGTAATTAAAAATCTAGTTAAACATTGATTCTCTTTTCATTTGACTCAAGAATATATTGATCTTACTCTTCAACTTTAATTAAGCTTCTAATCTGTATTCACAATGGTGGGTTTTATCATACCCTGGAGAGACAGCAGAGGGGATCTTTATGATCTTATCCAATGACCTCATTTCTTCATACATTATTAACTTTGTCCTCTATCACTAATGATAGAAAAATTATTTTTTATTGAGAACCTGCTAGAAGATAGACATTCTGTTGAAGGGTTTATCTGTATAATATAATTTAAGCTTCACTGCACCTATTTGGAATGGTAATAAGAACCCCATTTTATAGATGATAAAACTGAGACTCAGATGGTTTTTGTAACTTATCCCAAAGTAGTTGAATAAGAATGTAAGGCAGAGCTAATGTTCCTTTCACTAGTTTCTACTGCTTTCCTTGGTGAGTTATTTAGGATTTTTGTGTATCAGTCCACTCTCATCTTATGGGAATCACTCTCCATTTCTTGTTAACTTTTTGATTTATTCTCACTAATGAATACAACATGAGAAGATACTTTTAAAATCATTTGAAATACAGACTATAGTATCTCAGAGGTTACATCTCAAGTAACTTCAGGGACAGACAGATGAATGCAGTGGGAAGGAGCTAAACTGCAGGCCAGTGTAAACATTTCTGGGGTCCAACTTAGCACCATGACATGCCACGTGGGACCTCTCCACAAAAAGAAATGGTAAAATAGTACCTAAGAATCCTATTTTCACATGTTTTCTTATATTGAGAGGCCATATAGCATGATGGTCAGGAACATGAAAATGGAGTAGGGTAGACAATGGATCAAAATCCTGGCTACCTCATTTACCAGTTGTGTGGCCAAAGGCAGGTTGCTTACTTCTGCAAAGCTCAGTTTTCACCTCTGAAAAATTTTAGCAAATTGATTTCTTTTTAAAGAAATATCTATCCTTGCATTTCTATTATTCCTTTCTTAACTCTAAAGTCACCTTACTCTCTATGCAAAATCCATAAACAGGGACCTCAGTGTTTCTAATTTTCAATAGATTGCTTTGTTCAAAATTGTTAGCTATTTATTATCATTATTATTATTTTTTATTATTGATAGTATTTTTAGCTAAGGATTTTGGTAAGAAACAGGCTAGCCTTGAACTTCATCCAGGCAGAGATGTTGTTAGTACCAAAAGGATCTTAGAGTATGGCTGTTTCACAAAGAAAGCATTATTGAAAATTAAAGTTCAAGAAACATTGCCTATATGGTTATTTGTGGGTATTTAATTTTTAAAAAGTGATTTACTCTCCGAAAGTTATTAAAGAAATTTGGTGGCACTGGTTACCAAAAATCTGTCACAATTAAAGCAGTTGTATCTGAGTAAGAATCACTTCATTATAGATCATCACTAAACTGTCATTAAGCACCTGCTGTGTTATTAATAATAATCCAATGAACAATACCAATCTCCTTATTTTGTTTATTGTGCATTTCTACAACTTTAAGTGACAGAACTTTTTTCCATGTCCAGTATTCTTTGTAGAATAACTACTGAGGACAAGACCAAGGCATTTGCTTTAAAAATTCCTACATATTATCCCCCTATGTCCTTTAAAAGCCTCATTTTGTACCTTGCATGGAGTAGTGTTTTGATAATTTCTTTAGTAAAACTAATGACACACTTCAGTGCTACAAATTTTTATGTAAAAGAAATACAGTATTGATTCTATTCAGTGTTGCCCATTTGTGAAAATATAACCTGATGATGTTCTAGTTAATTATCATATAGTTACATAAATGTAACAGGAAAAATGCCATTTTCTATAGTGTTCACTACGAAATTTAGCAGATCTAAATCTAGATGTTGTTTTACATTTTCCTTGTCTTTGTTGTTGGTTTATTAGAGATTCTTTGAAAGTCTTAGCAAAAAAAGAAAATTTGTGTTTTCTCAAAAAATAAACAAAGTTGATCTCTGTGGATTTATTTGACAGAGGTTTAAAGATCCACTAATACTGACTGTGGCCACTAGTCCTAATCATGATTGTTAATCAGATATTTTGATAGAAATAGTAAGGGTAAGATAAAAGATATGCCAGTTGGGTACTAATTACAGAATGATATAGCATTTGCATCATTTTAGAAAACAGGCCAGAAGCTATTTTTATTATTTTAGCAATTTTTATCTTTATTAGTAGAGCAATGTTCATATAATATGCTGCATCTTGAATTTTAGGTTGAAAAAGATATCAACGTTTTTCACTAATTCATGGGAGTTGGGGGCCATGAGTTATCCATTGTTTTACTCATAACCTAGGATCACATAGTGGAATACAAAACAATAGTAATATTTTCAACAACAGCATTTTCAAAAGATTTCGTATGTGAATTTTTCCCTTTCCTTGCTCTGGTCAGTGCTAGAGCTTCACCTCCCCAGCTTTTCATCCCCACCACCATGCTGGGCCAGGGGTTACCCAAAACTGGAAGGCGGCTCCTGCTTCTTGAGATGAAACACAAAGCATCACCCCTCCTCCTGCTCTGGAGTTTCTGGCAGATGCTCCACACATGGAATAAAAACTATGTCTGTTGCATAATTTTTAGATATTTGCTGCCAGGCTACTTGTGTTCAAAAGGAAAAAAAAAAAAAAAAACCTCTTGTGGACCAAAAAATAATGTTAAAACTTTCAAATGTGTGTAAAAGTACGAATTGTCTGGAGACACGTAGGGGAAACACCTACCATTCGATTGAATTGAACTGTGTGTGGGTGTGTCTTTGTGTGTGTCTTTGCATGCACGTGCAGTGGTTTGTCTAGCCAGTTCACTATGAATAGTAGCAATACTTTCCCCAAAAGGAGATGTATGAAACAAGAAGCATTTTGAAAAAGGAAATGCCCTATCCACAGGGCCACTTCATAACAAAACTATCTTTGATTTTCTACAGGCGTTTCTGGTGCTTGGTTACACTTCTATCCATGTTTCAAATGATTGTAATCATAATTCATACATCATTAGTAATTTATATGTCGCTCAAATGAGTAGTTTTCTGAAGCACATCACGGTGGGCCAAAGGATGTGAACCATTAGCTGTTTCACCACCAAGGTTCTCTCCTGGAGGGAGCAGGTGGCAAAGGGGTCAACAGGGCAAAAGCGCCATCTATGTTCTTGTCTGAGAAAAGAAGAAAGGGTAACTTATCTGTAATTTTGTTTTAAAGTAGTGTATTTGTTAATTCAACACATTTACTAAGAACTCTTATATGCTGGGAATCATGTTAAAAGCTGGATTTATAATAACAATGCCCTTCCGGAGATACAGTCTCACGAAAAGTCAAGACAGTGGGAAACAGTAGGAAAAGTATTCCAGCTACTGTGGGAGAACATGACAGGAGGTATGGCTTCAAGGATTATCAAGAAGTTCAGTGTGGGTGAGGCACAGAGTGTGAGAAAAGCCAGCAAAGAGCTGAGGTTGCAGGAGCAGTTGGGGGTACAGTGGCAGCAGATCAGATTGATATTTTGGATGATGTTTGGAGAGGGAATTAAATGAGCAAACATGAAAGCAAAGAGACAGTTTAAGAGGCAACTGTAGTAATCCCAGGGAAAAGAGATGGAACCAGGGCTTGGGCAGTTCATAACAAGTCAGGGAGAATATTTAGAAGGTAGTATTAACAAAAATTACAGAAAGAAGAAAAGGTTACCCATAACCCCACCATCAAAAGACAACCGGTATAATTCCCATCAGACATTTCTGTGTGTATATATATATTTATATATCTACATATATGTGTAATCACTAGCACATTTATGCTTACCACCTACATATTTTTTATTGTGTTGCAGAGCCTAGGTGAAGTAGATGGAGTTTATCTTCATCACTGTATATCTTTTTTGTTAAGGTTTTTTTCCCTAATTTGGTCATACCCTCTCTCTTCCAGGTGCTTGATATCTTTATTTTGTGTCACATCCATTTTCATCCAGGCATTTTTTTACTTCTAACTTCTTTATTTCCTGTACTTATTATCAAAACCAACCCCATTTTTATAGGGTTGCTTTCCGGATCCAGTGGTAGGGAGAATAATGGATCTGCAAAGTTGTCATCCCTGAAACCCGTAAATAGGTTACTTCATATGGCAAAGTGCACTTTGCAGACCTGAGTAAGGACCTCAAGATTGAGAGCTTACCTTGTAATAATACAAGCCCACCTGGATTGGCTCAAGGTAATCACAAGGGTCCTTAAAAGATGAAAGAGGAAGGCAGAATCAGAGAAGATATGAAGATCGAAGCAGGGATGTATGTGTGTGAGAGAGGGGGAGATTTGAAGATGCTATACTACTACCTTGAAGATGTAGGAAGGGGCCAAGGGATGCAGGTGGCCTCTGCACACTGGACAAGGCAAGAAAACCAATTTTCTCCTAGAGTCTCCAGGAAAAACGCAGCCCTGCAAACACCTTAATTTTAGCTCAGTCAAACCCGTTTTGGACTTCTGACCTCCAGAATTGTAAGACAAGAAATTTGTGTTTTAAGCTGTTAAATTTGTGCTAATTCATCATTGTAGCAATAGGAAACCAGTATGGATATCCGTGTTGAAACATAGTAGAGTTAATCATATTGAGGGATCAGTAACTGACAAAGATTAACATGTTACTTTTTTTCTGTTTGTGTGTGTGTGTGTGTGTGTGTGTGTGTGTCTGTGTGTGTGTGTGTGTGAGACAGGGTTTTACTCTGTATCTAGGCTGAAGTGCAATGGTGCAATCACGGCTCACTGCAGTCTTGACTTCCACAGCTCAAGTGATCTTCCATCTCCCAGGCTCAAACAATCCTCCCACCTCAGCCTCCTGAGTAGCTGGGACTACAGGCATGCACCACATTGCCCAGCTAATTTTTGTGGGTTGTTTTTTTTAGAGATGAGGTTTCACCATGTTTCCCAGGCTTGTCTTGAACTTTTGGGCTTAAAGCAATTTACCTGCCTTGACTTCCCAGAGTGCTGGGATTACAAGCATGAGCCACTGCACCTGGCCTATCTTTTCTTTTTTAACTCCAAGGAAAGACTTACTAATGTTAAAATTCTGGAAATCAGTCTGGTGGAGGAGATATTTGGAGTTTGGGTGCAGGCAGGTGAGTGGCAAGTGTGGGGGATGTGAGGAACTTCCTTGAAGTCCTTCTCAATACTCAGGTTCCCAGGAGTCACCTTGCTTCCTTCAAGTTTCACAGAGACTCACCAACCAGCTGAGTTCAGTGCAAGATTTGCATGAAAATTTCTTTTCAGTTATAATGGATTTTTTAAAAATGTGCATTTGTGTGCATCTATAATCTCAGTGTGAATGTGGATTCAGATACTGTGGAGCACAGTTTTACATGTTGAATTTTACTTATTTTTATATTTAAAATTGATATTTTGAATTTTGCATCAGCTTAGCTCATTATTTCCAAGGGGTTGTGCACTGACATGTCTTTGAATTATGATCTCTCCCCAAAGGGAATTTCTTGCGTCTTGAATAAATAACAGATGTTGAATGTGAGGGAGCTGGGGCTGGAAGAGAATGCGTTTGCAGAATATGAGAGGATATTTTCTGTTGGTGGATGGAACTACAGGATTGAATAGATGTTCAATGAAATGTAAGAAATAGAAAAGCTAGAGTATCACTTGACACTTGCATTGTTTTCAATTTATTGAAAACATCATCATCCCTTTTGCCTCAGAGACACATCTGATGCAAACTCTGTCACTCATCCTTTTTTTCTACTAGTTGGAGAGGAAAAAGAAAAAAGTTTTTTCACTGTATCTTACAGGCCTCTAAACCAAAGCTTTAGACTCCAAGAACAAAAGAATATCAAAGATCTTATTGGACTGTGAAGAGAAAAGTGATCTCTTAGGAAACTGGGGCTTTATAGATTTAAATTTGCATCTGAAATTTTCCTAACCTGAAGCATAGTCAACTTTAAATAGACACAGGTGAAGCCCGCCTCTTTGATGGACTCTCCTGGTGGTGTTCCAGGACTCCCTCAGAGCATATTACTGTGATCCTCTCTGAATATTTCAGAGGATGGAAAAGTGGGGCTGGCACCAAATCAGGAAGAAGGTGGTGACAGAGTCTCAATATCAAATGACTCTAGGATGATTACAGAGGGTTGCCAGATAACTTACATTTGTATCACCTGTAAGTATACATGATCTCAGTACCTCAGAGCAATGCTGGGACACCAGTGGAGAAGACATTATAAACCCCATTTAATAACCTTGGGGATGATGCCTAAGAGATGTTAAATCGTTTATCTCACATTACAGTCTTAGTAAGTTGTAAAGCCAAATTGGCACCTTGGATTAATACTTTGTCCAAAGCTGAAACCAGCATACCCTGAACTTGTCTTTCTTCAGGAGTAATCTGCCAATGATGCCTTGAAGCCTAAACATCTGGAGTACCTAAAAAAAAAAAAAAAAAAGAATCCTGTGCTCCACCTCAGATCCTCTGGGTATGGAATTTGGAATTCTGTAATTTAAGTAAGTTCCCCAGGGAATTCTTTTGCGCACTAAAGTTTGAGAACTTCTAAGCCTCTGAAGTCCCTTGCTACTCAAAGTGTGATCTATGGACCAGTATCTCACTAGCACCAGCATCACCTGGGAGTTTCTCTGTGAGAAATGCAGAATCTTGAGAAAAATTCCAGACATACTGGATCAGGATCTGCATCATAAGAAGATTCTCAGGGATTTACAGGCACATTGAAGGATCAGAAATAGTGGTATAAACCTCAGCGTTGAAGGCTAATAAAATGTCTCCTAAGATGGAATGAGAAACAATTGGGACTTGGTACATCTGACTTTTGGTTTTCCCTGAATCAAGTCTGCTGAATTCTCATTTCTCTGTTTGGCATAGCAAGGGTCAAGGGCTACACATTAGAGCGCCCACTCAGTCTTTGACTGTGTGTCAACAAGCTTATGGAAAATGCTGCTCCGCTCTCCAGACTGCAGGAGTGAGGCCCATCAGATAGGAAAACTCTAGCTATCTTGTTATCTCTGCATTCAGTCTGCTACACAAAACTGAACCCTGTGATAATCCTGATCAGCATTAAGAACTGAAACTTGAGGAAAGAGAATTTGAGTAAGTGGAAAATTCTAGAAAGGGGACCCCAGGAGGGAATGGAAGTTATCAACCAACACAGGTGCCTGGACCTCCCATTCCTGGAGAATTTCTGTTTCCAAAACTGTAATAGTGAATAGAAGGCTACCTGTTGAGCTTAAGATACCGAGAAAATACTTCTGATAATTGGCACCTACCTTGCAAAATTAACAACTTCCTTATCCCTTTTGTGAATTTCATATTTGTTTCAGAAAATCCAAGTGTTTCAAATATTCATAAATTCCAGGGTTTAATGTCGTTTTAGTAATTAGAAGTTCATAATGGAGAGAGAAAACAGCAGATTTCTTATACTGTTTCCAGTATGTGATTCATACATGACAGGTCACCTGTTAAAAGCTAAGTGAAATTGCCATTATACTCAAGTGGCAGGATATATTCCTGACTGACGCAGAATGAAAGGGTGTGATTTAAAGGGCCAGATAGAAACTGTGTTTCTAGTAGTTACTTGAAGAGACAGCATATTTTCACTTTAGTCTAAAATATTGTGATAGAAAAGAGAAATAAATGTACATGGAAATAAAACTTGTAAAAATACTGAGCAAAAATGGATTCTCAATTTTTTTTTATCAAGGAAAAGCATTGATTTACTCATGTTAAATGTTTTTCTTTAAAAAAAATTCCCTGCTTATGTAGCTCCCTAAATCACAGGAGAACCAAGCAGTCATGATGTTTCCCATAGGATCACATGATTTATATTTAATTTCAAATACTTGGTGCTTTGAAATCTTTTAAAATTAATCTTAAAGCACACATATAAAAATAGAATGGAAGAGAGTATATTCCATCTCCTTTGAGGAAAAAGAATTCCTAACAAAGCAATCAGACTCTAGGATGCCATCAGCACACCTTTGAAAAGTGAAAGCAGACAGTATTAAACTTTTAAAAGCTTACTTTGAAGGAATGTGGAATTTGTTAATATCATTTTAGTGAGGAAGAAAAGAAGAGACTGTGTTACATTATTTATTCCAGGATCTTTGAAGGCAGCTGCTTTTTTTCTTTTCTCAGCTGGTTTGTTTTAGTGTTAATGAGCATTAAACTCATATATCAAAGACAGAATAACAAACCTTTAAATGTCAACCCAAAAGAGATCTTTATTTTTCTATTTGCAACTGTGAAGCAGTGAGGATAATTTAAGACACGAAAATGTGAAAAGTTACCTGAACATTTATAAAGAGAAAACTGGAAGAGGCATAAAATTGCAGAGTAGTTTTGAGAGAAAGAATTTTAACTGTGTATTCAGCACACAACAGGGAGGGAAAAGAATACTCCCTTAAGGGATTGACAAGGTAGAGTTAGAGACATGCAGTAAAAATTTAGAAATGTAGCCCATTATATTTGTCTCTGAAATGATAAGTGTGAACATTTAGGCACTAACTTTATTGTAATGTACAAGGATGAGCTGACTGATTTGGAAAGCAAAATTTCAGGTTTACAAATGATACTAAATGAGAAAAGAAAGTAAATAATGAGCAGTCATTCAGGCTCCACTAAAGGACTAAATTGTTGCAGTGCAGTTGCTGAGGCTAACAATAGTGGATGTGCTGAGTTTAGGGCAGAGTTAAATATTCCTTTTGTAGATAGCAAGAGCAGGTCTCTCTGAATGAAGGTGTCACAATGTGCTGACTGAAAAGAGGTTTGAATTAGAAAAATCCTTCAAACTGGGTGATTCAACAAATCCAATGGAGAGAGAAAACATTATGATTCAAGAATAGAATACACACCTGGGCATAAAGGAATTCTTAGGAGTTCTTGCAGCTAAACTAGGCTGGTTCTGAGCATGTAATTTAGGAGAAAGTTGGAATGTACTCATACAAATGAGCAGGTTATCTCAGAGAATTAAAGGTGCGCCTTCTTTCTCCCAGGACCGAAATTTTGTTACTGCTGCTTCTGTTGTTATTCTGGTTCTTCTTTACCTATCACTACTATTATTTCTAAATTTGATTACTTTTTTACTTCCTTGATGCTTAGGTGGCCTGTGACTTTAACGGTGGAACATGAGTTGAAAGTGTGCAAATTAGGGTGTAACTGTGCAGAGAAGCCATGCAGATCACACACTCAAAGACAGATGTACATATCTACGGACTATCAGGTCACCTTCGTGACCGGACTGAAGATCACATGACACCTCCTGCTCAAACCATCTGTCATTGGGACTGATATTCCACTATTAAAGATTCAGTTCCTGAAGACATTTTTAGGTCTTACAGTTACCCAAGTGCAGCAAATACTATAAGAGTGGTGATCTCCTATGTCAGAGTGAACTCAATGTTAGCAGGAGATTAATGAATAATTGTTATATTTGCCTTCTTTGGTTGCTAGTACAGCTTCTCACATTTACAAACCCCTGTTCTGTTAGGCACTCTGAATTCCTTACCCTTGATAACAAGAAAGAATCCAATAGAAAATTCACTTTGAGCTGTTAGTGATTCTTTTTATGGTTTCTGCTATCCAGAATAATGTATCTGCAAAGAAGAGAATAGAGGACAGAAAGATGGGGTAATGCTTAACCAAACCCAAGGAATAACTTATGAAAACCTTTCAAGCAGTTTAGCACTTGCAAGAGAGAGATAATTTGGAATAGTTGGGAGCTCCCCTGATATTCTTCAAATAATTCTGTCTCTGTATTCATGAGTATGTTACTGGAAGGTAAGATCAATACTTTATGAAAATTACAGTCACATTTTCATAAAGGAATAGATATTTTTTCTTACAATTCAATGATTTTCTAGGTTGTCCATTTTACTCTCAACCCTCAAAAGCAAGCTGATTTTGGAGCACAAACGTAAGACATCTTTGAAGACAAATGTATTCCCCACTCCATACCAAAAAATATAATGCAATCCAAATCCAAATAATAGAATTTTGAATAAGGTTTCTTTTGTATTTTATGTGACAGAATTTTTTCCTTTAGACTAGGTAAAGGAGGATATGTCATAGTACAAAGAATATTGATGACAGAAAATTGTAGGAAGATATAAGAACGAAGAAAAATTTTGTTGAGAAATTATTTGCAACGTTGTTTCAGAGCACAGTCATCTTTTATTTTGTTTGCTTTTAAGAATTCTGAACTAGGATGCTGCCAGGAAACAACACACTCAAACTAGGTACTTGAGGGGAATTGAATGAAGAAATCACTTATAAAAGAATGGGTGGGGCTTATAGGGAAATTCAAAAGGGATATTGCAGTACTAAAGGGCTAGCAATAATAGGAACTGTTAGTCAACCCAGACCTGAAGGGGCAAGGAAGAAACCAGAAAGAGAATCTTCACAGCCAAGGCTATCTGACAGCCCTATAGCCTTTTTCGAAGATGCAGCAGAGAGCTGGAAAAATAAAATCCTTAGCCAGTCTCTCTCTCTTCCCATCCAGTGATTTCCTTTTCCTCTTTCTCTTTGGAAAACCCAATGGGAAGCCAAAAGTCAAGGGAGCTTGTGGACACAATCAATACAGATCAGCCCTTTGGAGCAGAGCTTGGTGGGAAAAGGCAGGGAGCAGACCTTGAGGGCTGAATGGAGGATCTCCAACACAGTTGCTCGTTGGCATTGAATCAAATTTTCATTCAACCACTTTCAATTTTTATACCTGAATTGTTCATTTTTCCATATTTGTAGCATTTCAGCCATCTGCCCATTGGTAGTCTTTTGTTCTCATTCTGTCCTTGACAATTTCACAAGATTTGCATTGCCTTATCACCCACTAACATCATCCCGTGGTGCCGAGTACAGCCACAGTTGCCACCGGTAGGTCTCAAATTGAGGCAATATTCTGACAGCTATTCCTGGATTCCACAGCTGTTCTAGAGCTCAGAAGGGCCACATTCCACAAGCTGTTAGGAAACAGCTAATGTGTTCTCAAATTACTGTTACTGAGATTTTATATCAAGAAGGAAAAGTGGGTTGGTTACTAAGGAACAGGTGAAGAGAAGAAACAATACTTCAAATTGTGCTTTAGTTTGCGCTCCCCTAGTTAGGTGCAATAAGAATTAACATGGGTAGGTTCCCCACTTTCTTCTCTCTAGAATCCTGTGATAGTCGAATTTTTCTCACTCTCTCAGCTCCTTTAGAGGGAGTGTTTTTAATTGATATGAGAGATGTTGGGTCAAGCTACAGTATACGGTAAAGGAATTGCAGAAGGGTGAAAAAGAAAACAATACTTATGTGAGGGCTGGATGTACAGGGAAAGCTGGGATAATTGTGACAAGACTGTCTGAAGCATCTGGAGTTTAATGGAAATGGACAGGAAAGCAAAGGGGATTGCTGAGGACTATGTATTTGGAGCCTTATCATTTTTTATGTAAGCAAATATTTTGAGTTTTGGTTAAAATTCTTATTTGCTGACTACATTTCCTCAAACCAATGTCATTACTTTGAATCAAGACTACATAGATAACAATTTGTAAAAGCTACTCTTTTGGAGGTTGTGGGACATAATTCTAGATCTTAGATAGGCACAGAGCTGTCCAAGTCATCTCTCTAGACCCACAGCTGAGAGATTATGTACCATAACTGCCAAATTGTTAGAACAATTTTGGAAAGATGAATGACGTGTATTGGTAGAAAGAGATATTGTGCTTGAATTAGTGGTTATTGGAAAAATTAAAGAAAATCATGAAGATCACACTGATATTAATTATAAAATTTTGAAATAATCAATCTTATGATAATTCATTAAATTAAGAGTATAGGCTGGGCATGGTGGCTCATGCCTGTAATCCCAGCACTTTGGGAAGCCAAGGTGGACAGATAGCTTCAGGCCAGATGTTTGAGACCAGCCTGGGCAACATGATGAAAGCCTGTCTTTACAAAAAGATACAAAAATTAGCCAGGCATGTGTGGTGGTGCATGCCACTCAGGGGCCTGAGGTGGAAGGATCACCTGAGCCCAGGAGGTTGAGGCTGGAGTGAGCCGTGATCATGCCACTGTACTCCAGCCTGAGCGACCGGAGTGAGACCTTACCAGCTGCACGAGAGGCTGGGGCACAAGAATCACTTGAACCCGGTAGACAGAGGTTACAGTGAGCTGAGATCACACCACTGCACTTCAGCCTAGGTGACAGAGTGAGACTCCTTCTCAAAAAAAAAGAAAAAAAAAAAGAGTCTGCAGAACTCACAAGATTTCCTCCCATGAACACCTAGTTCCTTAAGAAATTTTAAATTATTTTAAAATTATTTTATTTATGTAATTGACAAATAAAAGGTGTATATATGTATTGTGTACACATTGGTTTGATAGATATATAATTGTGAAATGGCTAATTCAAGCTAATGTATATATTACCTTATATATTTATTATCTTTTTGTGGTGAGAAGAGTTAAAATCTACTCTCTTAGCAATTTTTAAGAATACGATATGTACATTGTTATTAACTATAGTCATGGTGTTGAACAGTAGATCTCTTGAACTTATTCTTCCTGTGTAACAGGAACTTTGTATCCTTTGTACCAAGATCTCTTCACCACATCCACCACCCCAGTTCTCTGCTTCCACGAGTTCTAAAAGTTCACACATAAGTGAGGTTATATGGTCTTTGTCTTTCTGTTTCTGGCTTATTTCACTTAACATAATGTCCTCCAGGTTTATCCATGTTGTCATAAATGACAGGATTTCCTGCTTTTTTAAGGTTGAATAGTATTCCACTTTGTGTGTGTGTGTGTGTGTGTGTGTGTGTGTGTGTATAGTATATCACATTTTCTTTATCTATTCCTTTGCTGATAAACACTTAGGTTGATTCCATATCTTGGCTATTATGAATAAGACTGCAATGAACATGGAAGTACAGGTATTTCCTTGACATAATCAATTTCTTATTCTTTGGCTATATACTCAGTAATGGTAAACCTGGATCGTATGGTAGTTACGTTATACTTTTAGTTTTTTGAGACATCTCCATACTGTTTTCATAATGGCTGTACTAATTTATATTCCCACCAAAAAGTGTGCAACAGCTCTCTTTTCTCCCCATCCTCATCAATGTTATCTTTTGTCATTTTGATAATAGCCATTCTAACAGGTGTGAGGTTTTAACGGGTGTGAGCTCACTGTGCTTTTAATTCACATTTCCTTGTTATATTGAGCATTTTTTTTACATACTTGTTAACTATTTGTATGTCTTCTTTTGAGATATGTGTATACAGTTTCTTTGCCTATTTTTAAATCAGGGTTTTGTTTTTGTTTTTGTTTTTTTACTATCAAGTTGTTTTGATTTCCTTATATATTTTGGATATTAACCCCTTATCAGATATATGGTTTGCAAATATTATTTTCACATTCCGTAAGTTGTCGTCTCTTCAGTCTGTTGATTGTTTTCTTGGCTGTTCAGAAGCTTTTTAGTTCTATGTAATCCCATTTGTCTATTTTTGCTTTTAAGTTCATATGCAGAAAAGTAATTGCCCAGACCAATGTCATGGAAATTTTCCCGTGTTTTCTTCTAGTAGTTTTACAACTTCAGGTCTTACAGTTAAGACTTTAATTCATTTTGAGTTGATTTTTTTGTATATGTTATGAGATTATTCTTCTGTATAAAGCTATTCAGTTGTTCCAACACCATTTATTGAAGAGCTTATCCTTTCCTAAATGTGTGTTCTTGGTTCCTTTGTAGAAAGTCAACTAACTGTAAATGCATGAGTTTATTTCTGGGCTCTCTATTCTGTTCCATTGGTTTGTGTGTCTTTTTTAAAAGGCCAATACCATGTGTTTTTGATTACTATAGCTTTGTAGTATATTTTGAAGTCAGGTAGTGTGATGCCTCCAGCTTTGTTCTTGCAGAAGATTGGTTTGGTTGTTTGGAGTCATTAATAGTTCTATACATATTTTGATTGTTTTATCTATTTCTGTGAAAAATGTTATTGGAATTTTGATAAGGATTGCATTGAATCTGTAGACTTCTTTGGGTAATATGGCCATTTTTACAATATTAATTCTGGAAATTCATGAACACAGGATATCTTTCCACTTACTTGCATTTTCTTCCATTTTTTTTTATCAGTGTTTTATATTTTTTAGTGTACAGGTCTTTCACCTCCTTGGTGAAATTTGCTCCTAAGTTATTTTATTATTAGTTGGTGTAGCTATT
Organism: Homo sapiens; assembly: GCF_000001405.40. Lineage (NCBI taxonomy): Eukaryota > Metazoa > Chordata > Mammalia > Primates > Hominidae > Homo > Homo sapiens. The sequence continues at coordinate 153,303,311 of NC_000002.12, forward strand.
ACAAATGAGACTGTTCCCCTGATTTCTTTTTTTGGAAAGTTCATTGTTAGTGTAGAGAAATACTACTTATTTTTGTATGTTGATTTTGTATCCTGCTGCTTCATTAAACATGTTGAATATATTCATTCTTTCTAACACTTTTGGATGGAGTATTTATGGTTTTCTATGTATAAGAGCATATTGTCTGCAAACAGACAGTCAACTATTTTGCAATTTAGATACCTTTTGTTTCTTTCTCTTGCCTATTTTCTCTGGCTAGGATTTCTGGTACTATGTTGAATAGAAGTGGTAAGAGTAGGCATCCTTGTCTTGGTCCTGATTTTGGAGGAAAAAACTTTTAACTTTTCAAAGTTGAGAATAATGTTAGCTGTGGGCTTGTCATATATGACCTTTATTGTGTTGAGGTACATTCCTTCTATACTTAATTTATGGAGAGGTTTTTTCATGAAAAATATATTGAATTTTGTCAAGATTTTTTTTGGCAGGGGTGGGGATAGATAGAGGAATTCACAGCCTCTTTCTAACACCCCTGAGACTAGATACCCCAAGAGATTTGCTGCTTTTGTAGGAATTGTGATCAAGACAGTTTGAAATTGCTTATAAAGGCCAGAATCTTCAGACATTGCCGGTGAGTACAATGCCAGCAGCCATTTCAGAAACTACTATTCTCAGAAGAACCTGCCAGGTCCAACATAAGATTTGTGTGGATTCAAGTTGGAGACTGGGGTCTCTGGGCATGCACTGGGGTGGTGGGGGACTGGCTCACTGTCTATATGGTTGGTAAGGTAGACTGGACCATTACTCATTATCAGATGCCACCACCATTAGTAAATGTGAGCAAGAGAACACTGTTCTGTTTTTGAGTCCAGACTAGACAAGTAACTATGGCACACCATTTACCAAGGGTCAATAGAATGGGAAGTAGATATTCAAAAATGCCTAAGTCAGCTTCACATGAGGGCAATTTGTAGAAATTAGTAAGGATTGGATGCTGCTTCTCTGCTGAGCCTGCAGATTCCACCTATAGATGAACTTAATTGGATTGAGGCAACAAAGAAATAAAATTGATTGACCATCAAGGAACAGGATAAAATTTGAGCCTGAGGTGCTAGGACAAATAAGAGAAGGAAGAAGTTACTCAAGTATTCTCCAATTCATTGAAAATTGATGCTTAAACTGAGACCCCACTGGGTGGGTATAAATAGGACTCCCTCACAGCAGCCTCATGGGGACTAGAACCACCAATATGCTACCAGTGAGACATTAGCAGAATTATTGTGACTTATGACGGAATAACCTAGTGGCTAATTTTCCCTCCCCATAATTAAGGCAAAATCTTGGAGAGGGAGGTGTTAAATACTACAGCTTTGTGATTGTTTTCTAGGAATTCACTCATTTCCCAGCTGGGCAAATAAAAAATAAATAAAATGGGCATGGGCACAGGTTTCATGTGTACTCCAGCCCATCGGTATTAACCTTATACATTCCAAGTCAGTTTTCCTCATTTCCTCTCATAAAAAGAAATGATTCTTTTTTGGTGCAATAGATAATAAAAAACATTTGCGGAGAGGGCTGGAGATAGAAGGCACATTAGAGGGATTGTGGAGAAAGTTGTAGTGGGTTAGCTGAGGGTTAAGGGGTGGGTATAGGCTGAAACATTTTTAATTAGTTTTTCTGAGGATTATATAATCACATTTACAGTTTTGGAAAAATATAATTTTGGGGGGTAATTTAAATTTTTACTTTGATTCAGGCATTCAAAAATATATTTGTTAGGCACTAGCTTGGAATAGTAGGAGAGTAAAAGGCCAACCCACCACTGGTTCTCAAGGAACCCAACTTGCAGGTGCTTCGTGTATTGTGGTGTCCTGTGGGTTTGCTGACTGTCCAACCTTATCAGTATTCTGTGATGGAACATATAGGTTCTGGGTTCATAGCAATTATGGTAGAAATGAAAACAGGAACAAAATTTGTCTTTGGTAGCGTCAATCTCATTGTTCTACACAGGCCTCCTAGGTTCTAGGAGTATCTGTCATCAAACCCCTTCAGATTTACCCACCTTGTATTCTGCTGCCTTTTACTGATCTTAAAATCTGCACACTGTGCTATTGGAGGTGGTTTCATAACTTCTCAGGATTTCGAAGTGTTTTATTTGTAAAATAATGATACCAATCTCTGAACTGTAATTCATTGTGTTGCTAAGAAAGATCAAATGAGATAACAAATGGGAAGATGTTTTGGAAAGTGTACAGGGTTGTACAAATTGAATAGAAACAGAATGGTTTACAACTCTGGTTGTAAACCCTGGATAGACCTTACAGTTTGGAGCACTTTCCAAAATGCCACTCCCTAGGCTCCTCCCCTAGAGATCCTGATCCAGTTGATCTGGGGTCCTAGAATTAGAATATTTTAGGAGCAATTCTGTTGTACAGGCAGTGTTGAGCATTCCGTTTACCCCTTAGAGAGTTCATTACTTCCCCCATGACAGGTTTTATTTTTTATGTTTACATTTTAGGTTTCATAATGAAATATAAAGTAGGGACTCTATCTCCTTTTAAAGGAATTTTAGCCACCAGGAAAATGTTTGCTAAAGCATCTTCACTGGACTTTTGATACTTCCCATAGGTTTTGCCGTGTTCTCCCACCCAGGAGGGCAAACGTTGGAATGGTCACTGTGTTCATAACCAGAAAAGGAGTGGAGCACCCAGTCGAGCATGTGGCATGAACGGCTGATGCTGAGTATTTTAAACCTCAGCATTGTAAACAGAAGTTTAATCTGTTGACTGGGGATTTCTTTATGACCCACATGCTTTGAGAATATTCTGGTGACTCACTTCCCTCCTCAAGTCCCCTTCTCCAAGTTGCCCACTCCCCAGCAAACACTGCTGGGTCGTTTCCTGCTTTCTTGTGTGCATGAAGATAAAATACTCAGAAAAATTGGGGAAGATTTTATAATTGCTGTCATGAGCAGCTGCATGTTGAAAAAAGGTGAACTAACTTCAGCTTCTTTTTTTTCTGTCAGAATGTATTTAGTGTGAATTACTCATGTGCGATACAATATTTGATAAGCTTATATATAGCCAGCCACATATAGATGAAAATTTAGAATTCAGTTTTTAATCATATGACAACTAGCATCGAATTTCCAGTTATTTTTGCTAAACATCTGTCCAATTTATTTACTAGAGTACATTCATATTTACAGTTTCCTTTCATAAAAACAATTCTAAAATGATTAGCTATATGCTTGTTTACCCAATGCTAAAGGCAAGTCTGAAAATTTGCAACTGCATTTAAAGCCATCATTCTAATCACTGCCAGGCATTCCTATACCCTATATGCGATTTTTGTGCTATTTAAAACATAATATTATAATAATTCTTTTGAAAAATAGAAATAGGGACCATTAAGCATAGGAGATCGTGCTTTATTCTCTCTCTCCCTTTTTGTTTTTTCTTTCTAAGATGGAGTCTCGCTCTGTTGCCCAGGCTAGAGCGCAGTGGCGTGATCTCTGCTTCCTGGTTCAAGGGATTCTCCTGCCTCAGCCTCCCAGGTAGCTGGGATTACAGGCACACACCACCGTGCTCAGCTAATTTTTTCCTTTTGGTAGAATTGGGGTTTCACCATGTTGGCCAGGCTGGTCTTGAACGCCTGGCCTAAAGCAATCCACCCACCTTGGCCTCCCAAAGTGCTGAAATTACAGGCATGAGCCAACGCACCCAGCTCATGCTTTTTTCGCTTAGAAAGTCATAGAAAGGTACTTTTTTTCTATATATCCATGACATTGATTGTATGCTGGAGAACTTTCGTTTTTCAGCATTCATGTATGTCTTGATTTAAGACAATCTGAAACATAAAGCATCAATTAATCTAATAAACCTGGAACAAGTATTTGCATTATGAAAATGGTTCATCACAGAGGTCTTTAAAGGTTAGCTCTGAAATTGTTAAGCCGATACATTGCCATTGGCATGGTAAATTGAATCTAGTGATTCATTTGTGGGAAATTATCTTAAATTTTTTTGAAAAAAGCATTACAATTATGCACACAGATTTGCTCATCATCATGTTACGTAGGCTTTGAAAAAAATAGAAATGGCCTAAATACCTAACAATTGCGCAATAGTAAATAAATGGCATTAAATTTACTGGATGAACAATTACAAAGTTTTAAAGATGAATATTTAAAAATATTATAAATTTTACACTTTAAAATAAGATTCTAAATTTCATGTTATGTGTATTTAGTCACAATAAAATAATCTTATAAAATATGGAAGTAATATTTATTAGCATATATTGCAGTGTAAATTGTGGCTATGCTACAATTTATATAGAAATTATAGGATATATGTACACAGATGGAAAATGACAAAAGTAATTAAAAAATCAAAATTGTATTATTTAAAGTGGTGAGATCATAGATTTTTTTTCTAATTAGTATTTTTAACATTACTTTACATCAGAACAAGCTTTACCACTTTGAAAATGTAATTAAAGATACTGGCTGTCTATATAAAAGATCAGGGACCTATCTCAAATTGTTATCCTTATTAGTCCTATCATCTATTCAGATGTATAAATAACTCAGTACATTACATTTATTTTCATAGTGCATATTTCATGCAAGATGGTGCTGCACATAAGCAGATTTACAGATATGAACAAGAAAAAACACTAGATATATTAGTGTTTGTGTGGGTGAGAGACAGAGGTAGTTATTCAATATCCCACTTGAAAAACAAGACAAAAATATTCAGAAAAAAATGCTGCTGATGAAACTGATGAAAACCTGGGGGCTATTTTTATTTTCTATGGACAGTAATACCTCTTTATAACAGTGCTGAGTACTGACAAGTTCTTAATAAAACCTAGACTTATCTTTTAAGCACTCAAACTAAAAAGCAAATAAACATTAAAAATATTTTGAAGGGAATCTTTCTGAAATGTATTACACACTTTCCTACTTTTCTAAATGGTTTCCAAAGAATTTAACCTGACCTTGTCCATTTGACTTAATTTATGGCCCTGCATTGCTAAGCTGGTAGCATGCTTCAGTTTGTGTGATTCTTCTATCTCTTCCTTTGCTATAAAATCACTTATTTAACAAATGACACAAGTCTGTATCGACAGAACCACCTTCTACTTCCATTTGAATTTCCTATGTTCAATTTTCTCAGATCAGGGAAACACTATAACAAGCTTCCTTGAGCTTTGTATATTATGTGATTAATAATGTAAGTCATATGGCTCCTCTGGGGAGTAAAGGGCTTGAGGTTTTTGGAAAGGTCTTTTGATAGCCTAGAGTTCTTGTTCTAAATTCTGAATGTACAACTGTATTCTGAAAGATCAAGCTTGCAGATGCCTGGCTCTCAGATAAGTGTTGAGTCACAGAACTAATGTTATGTTAGAAGCAGAGGGGAACGCCGATGAACAAATTATGTTTTGTTAATGTATGATATTTTTGCTCTTTATATTATGACAGAGGATTAAAGAATCATGAGTAGAATGGAATAGAAGAAATAATCCAAAAAGAACACCAGGAATTGGAATATGTTTAAAGAGGCAGAAAATGGTACATAGAATAATGACATACAGGAGAGAAAGAGAAAAAAAATTTTTTTTAGATTAGATCTTTTATTATTTAATATGTTTGAGGCTTTGTCCATAGCAGTTGAAATGTGGGTTTTTCTGAATGTTCAGCAATCCAACTGAAGGAAAGAATTAGGAGATTACATAGGTTCCAAAAAATGAGAGGCAGAGTCTAGAAAATGATATCATCTCTAAATAAAACTGACACTTAAAATTTTGGTATTCTGAAGCTATTATCAGAGATAACATGGAAAACATGTACAAACTCAAAATATAACAACCTCACTCCCTCTGGCAAAAATAAACCCCAAAACCAAAACCTCTTCTGCTTCTAAGACTCTGAGTAGGAAGTTGAACTAAGAGGCACACAAGTGTACCCTTTAGTGAAGAGACATGAGACAGCATTGATGTAAGAGTTAAGAGATCTGGGTTCCCAGAATTACCTTTCTATAACATGTACAAGTCCTGTCCCCTTCTCTAGACCTTTGTAAAATATCATTCGTAAAATGAAGAATTGGAATAGAACATTGCTATGCTCCTTTTAGAGCTCAAATAGAAAGTCATCATCTTTCACCACTTCTCCCTAACTTTGGAAGAAGTTGATCAATATCTTCTTCTTGAAGCACTTTTTTTTTTTTACCTCCATGACACATGCTCTCCTTGATTTCCAAAATTTCTTTTCCTTAGCTTTGTCAACACTTTCTTTTCTGACAAGCTTCAAATATTAATCAGAGTTCATAAGTTTCATCTCTGAGACCTCTTTTCTTAGATACTCTAAAATCCTAGGTAAACTTATCCACTCTCATTTTTTGATTTTTTTAAGTTAAAATTCAGCATAATAAAGAAATTACATATAGTATAATTTGTAGTTTTACAAATTAGAGAATAATTATAAAGCATATACCTAGGTAAATACCTAGGCAGTAAAACAGTTCTGTGACTCAACACTTATCTGAAAGCCAGACTTCTGGAAGCTCAACCCTTCAGAATATAGTTGTACATTCAGAATTTAGAACATGGCCTCTAGGCTATCAAAAAAAACTTTCCAAAATCCTTAGTAAAAACACTGGCAGTAAAAAACATGGTCTATACTCATAAGCCCCTGAGATTTTGGGGATCATTTGTTTTTGCAGCAAATCTAATACGTCCTCCTCTAAAATTTTTACTTTAAAAACCTATAGGTAAGTTTTATGGCTATCTTGAAAATCACATTCTTTATGGCTTTAATGAAACCTATTCTATAATTTACCAGGGATTAATTTTTTGTTATTTTTGAATATTTGAGAAAAGTTAGTTTAAAAAATCATGCATGAATGATAAATTTTGTTACATAATCTTTGCTTATTCATTATCCTATTATCTGTTAATGTAGTAAATTACATTGATTTTTTTGAATGTTGAACCAACCATGCATATAAGCTTAACTTGGTCATGATAACTTATTCTGAATTCAGATTATTAATACAGCTGACCCTTCAACAATATGGGTATGAACTGCCTGGGTCCAATTACATGCAGACTTTTCCCCATATTTTGCCACCCCTGAGACAGCAAGACCAACCACTCCTCTTCCTCCTCCTCCTTGGCCTACTCAATGAGAAGGTGAAGACCTTTATAATATACTTCCACTTAAGGAATAGTAAATATATTTTCTCTTCCTTATGATATTCTTAATAACATTTTATTTTCCCTAGCTTACTTTATTGTAGGAATACAGAATATAATACATTAACATACAAAACATGTGTTGACTATTCCTGTTATCAATAAGGCTTCTAGTCAACAGTAGGCTATTAGCAATATAGCCTACTGCTATACTGACTCTCAGGTTTTCTGGGAGTCAAAAGTTACAGATGGATTTTGAACTGCATGGGGGTACAGTTCCCCTAACCCCTGCATTGCCCAAGGATCAGCTATACTTAAGAATTTTGTGTTATAAAAAATCAGTGATGCAAGAATGGCTACATCTCTGTGGCAGCTCTGACACACTTGACATCTTATTCTGGCACCCAGATGGAAGGATCAATTCCTATCTGGGATGTTACATTGTTTGGCAGAAGAGTGCTGGAAGAAACTTGTGATGCCTTTTAAATCTTCTGCTTAGATGTATTCAAATGTGTTCATTAAATTCATCCGTACACCATTGGCCCAAACAAGCCCATATATAAGAAGGAAGACAATATTTTCAGGGAATAAAATTTATGACAGAATACAAATTTTAAACAATGTAATTTTAAGAGCAAAGGTAAAGAAAAGGATCATAAGCAATACATACAATCTTAGAAGTTCATATACAGTGCAAGTTTTGGTAATAAATAGGAACAATTTATGTTTTAATTCAAAGGAACAAAAACTCAAGATTTTAGTGTTTTGGAATCAAGATTTGGAGAAGTAGGATTTATACTTGGAAGACGCAAATGGAAGAGTATATTTTATTCAAAACAAATATCCAAATATGAAGAAAGGCACATTAGAACTGCATGTTAAGAAAGTGTATCAGATATCTATTGGTGCATAACAAATTACTTGGAAACATAACAGCTTAAAACAACAAACGTTTATTATCTCCCAGATTCTAGGTCAGGAACACGGGAACAGTTTAGCTGAGTGGATTTGGCTCAGGGTGTCTCATGACGTAATAAAAGTGTTGGCTGAGTTGCAGCTGTCTCACGTTTGACTGGAGGAGGATCCACGACCGTGCCTCCCTCACGTGGCTGTTGGCTGGCCTCAGAGGATCTGTTCAAGACTCACTCATAGCCGCCTCCACAGGGCTGCCTCATAGCCTGCAGCTGGCTCCTCCCAAAGCAAGTGGTCCAGGAGAGAATGAGACTGCACTCAAGAAGGAAGCTATGGTGTTTTCACAATCTAATCTCAGAAGTGGCATCCCAGAATTTCTGCCATACTCTATTCTTTTGAAGCAAAGTATTCAGTCCAGCCTGCAGGCAGGGGGACCATGTGACTACCAGGAGGTGAGGAGCACTAAGAAGTATATATGTTTTTATGAAGATCCATAACTCTGTAAATGGATAAGGTAAGATGCTGAATGACAATCAGTTGATAAAGGATGACTCTCACTTTTTGTTTTATAAATGTGTATCATTTGAATTTTTTAAATGATGATATTATTCTGTTACTAAAGAACAAAAGTAAATACAAATAATGTAAATTGCCAAAGTGATTTTTAAGGTCTTCCATGATGGTGTCTGAATATTCAGGTTTATGTCATTATTAATCTATCACTATAGGGCTTGATAAGAATGTGAAAGACCTGACCTTGGCCCAAGATCCTGACTTTCTACGGGACAGTCCTGATGGATTTGTCCTGCAGAGGGATTGTAATAATTCTGAGAAGAATGTAGACTGGGCTACAGGTTAGCTCTGTGGAGTTGAATTAAGGCTTCCATGACACGGGGGATGCTTCCATTAGGTGAAAACTTGCCAAAAACTTATTCTAATGATGGAGGCTTTTTTCAAACATAGACACTTATAAGAATAATTTGGGAGTTTTTTGGCTGAAAGTGAAAGAAAAGCCAAATCCAGTTGGGTTTTACAGAAGGGAAATGTGTTGGCTCAAAAAACATTTCAGAGGCTGATGTTCAGGGGCTGTTTGATTCATAGTTCCACAATATCATCAGGGTTCTGATTCTTTATCTTAATAGGTTTTTCAACTGTGCACTCCTCTGTGTGTTGATTATTCCTCATGTTTGCAAAAGTGGCAGCATCAAATCTAGAAATTCCAGGGTTAATGTCCTTACATCAGCAAATCCAACAAAAAGAAATAAAGTGTTTTTATACATTAACAGTAAAAAATATTGTTTGCTCTGACTGGGCTAGGCCATGTGTCTATTTCTGATTGGATCATCGCGTTGAGGTGGTGGTATGTTCAAACTGGCTTTAGCTCATCAGAGTTCAATCATAAAGCTGATTTAAGAGGTCGATTTAAAGGGGGTGAATTTTATCCCAAACCCAAGTCTGAGATGGTGTAAATGAGTTATGTTCCAAAATAAATTTAGACTAATATTACCAGCGAATATGAGAACTTGATATTGGGCATCAAATAAAAAAAATTATTACTTTATAGGGACACAGCAATTCTCCACACCAATCGGAATGGCTGTTATTAAAATGTCAAAAAATAACAGATGCTGGCTAGGTTGCAGAGAAAAAGGGATGCTTATACACTGTTGGGAGTGTAAATTAGTGCATCCACTGTGGAAAACAGTGTGGCAATTCCTCAAAGACCTAAAATCAGAATTACCATTCAACTCAGAAATTTCATTACTGGATATATACTCAAAGGAATATAAATCATTCTATCATAAACGATTACAATATGTAATGAACAGTATGTTTATTGCAACACTATTCACAATAGCAAACACATGGAATCAACCTAAATGTCCATCAATGGCAGCATGGATACAGAAAATGTAGTACATATACACCATGAAATACTATGTAGCCATAAAAAAGAATGAGATCATGTCCTTTGCAGGGATATGGATGGAGCTGGAGGCTATTTTCCTTAGCAAACTAACACAGGAACAGAAAACCAGTACCACATGTTCTCACTTATAAGGGGAAACTAAATGATGAGAACAATGGAAATACAGAGGGGAACAAGAGACACTGGGGCCTATCAGAGGGTGGCGGGGTGGGAGAAGGGAGAGGATCAGGAAAAATAACTAATGGGTACTAGGCTTAATACCTGGGTGATGAAGTAATTTGTACAACAAACTCTTGTGACAGAAGTTGAGCTATATAACAAACCTGCACACGTACCTCTGAACTTAAAAGTTAAAAAAAGAATTTATTTTAAAGGATTGTTTTTGCTTAAATTTTATAACTTGGTAGCCCAATTCAAGCAAAAGTAAATAGAAATATTAACACTTATGTAACACTTATGTAAAAATTACATCGGCATTTAGTACTTGAAAGATATAAACTTAGAGGCTTAAAATGTTTGTTTGGCTAGTTCCAAGAGTATTTTTATTTTTCCTTTTTTAAAAAATTTCTTTAAGGGTTATGACTATTTCTCCAGTTTTTCCAGTTATACCCTTTTCTGTGTGTTGACTATTCTTAGCCTGGCTTCTCTCATAGAGGCAAGTATTATAGCAGCACTAATGAACTAAGAAAATATGAGAACAATGTCTCACCAAATAGAGAATATTAATAAAAATATAGGCATTATAAAAATAGAACTAAAAGGAAATTCTGGATTTAAAAGTATACTGAAATAACCTGATAATTTCACTAGAGGATCTAAGCAGCATATTTGAAGAGGCATAAGGAAGAATCAGTGAACTTGAAGATAAATCTGTTGAGATTACCTGGTCTGAGGACAGGTTAAAAATGAAGAAACATGAACAGAGCTTAAGAGACCTATAGAACACAATCAAACATAGCATATTATGCATATTGAGAGTTCTAGAAGAAGAGACAGATTGAGGCCATTTTCAATAATGGATAACAATTAGACATTAGATCGGCAAAGAAGTAGGTGATTTGAACAATGCTATAAAGAAACTAGACCAAAAAGACACCTATAGAACATTCCATCCAGTAACAATGGAATATACATTTTATTTTTTCTCAATTATATTTGGAGCATCCTTCCAAAATACCATGTTAGGTCACAAAACAAACTCAATAAATTTAAAAACACTGAAATAATACAGAGTATATTTTCTAATAACAATGGAATAAAATTAGAAGTCAAAAACAGAAGGAAATTTTTAAAATTCAAAAATGTGTGGAAATTAATATACTCTTAACAAATGGGAAAAGAAGAAACCACAGGGAAATAGATAATACTTTGAGATAAACAAAATAAAAATACAACATGCCCAAACCTATGAGAAGCAACAAAAGCAGTGCTTAGAGGGAAATTTATATCTGTAAACATCTACATTTAAAAAATAAGGTCTTGTCAGTAACCTAAACTTCCACCTTAAGAAACCTGAAAAAAAGGGAAAATGAAACTCAAAGCAAATAGAAGGAAAATAACAGTAAAGATTAAATAAATGAAACAGAGATTAGAAAACAATAGAATCAATAAAAACAAACTTGGTTAAAATAACATCTTCCTTTTACTTAAAATATAAAGACACAGTTTAATTAAAATTAAAATATATGTCATGGAAGTACTAATGATAAGAAAAGTAGAGAGAATATATTAATATCAGGCAAATAGTTTTCAAGAAAAGGGTTATTATAAGAGAAAGGGGACATTTTCTACTTATAAATCATCAGTTTATTAAGAAGACACAACAACCTTTTTTTGTTCATGCAGACTATTAGAACAAAATCTAATAGACATGGTGGCTTATTTATTTCTCACCTTTCTGGAGGCTGAGAAGTTATCCATGATCACTGGTAGATTTGGTGCCTGGCAAGGACCCACTTTCTGGTTCAGAGATGGTGACTTCTCATTGTGTTCACACATGGTAGAAGAGATGAAGCAGCTCTCTGGGGCTTCTTTTATAAAGATACTAATCACCTCCCAGGAGCCCCACTTTCTAATACCAGCACCTGGGTGAGCAGGTTTAACCATATGAATTTTGGGAAAACATAATCATTCAGACCATAGCACAGTCCTAAATAAGAATGAACCAAACAACAATGTTCAAAATATATAAAGCAACAGTTTACAAAACTAAAAAGATAACTAGGCAAATTTATAAATATAAAGATTTTAGCCATCATTCCATTATTGATACAATAAGTAAACAAACAAAAAAGCAAAATCAAAGTCTAGAGAACATGAACAATTATCAACCAGGTTGGTATCATTAACATTCATGGAACACTAAACCTCAACACAGCAGAATATACGTTCTCTTTAAGTGCACATTAAGTAGTTGCTAAGATTGGTCATAAAACAAGTCTCAACAAATCCAAAGAATTAAAAATTCGAGTTTATAAAAACTTTAAACTTCTTATTCATATTAAAACAAATAGGCAAGCTACATACTGGGAAGAAATATTTGCACCATTTATATCTTGCTAAGAACCTGTATCTAGACAATATAATATACTCCTAAAACTCAGTAATAAGAAAAAAGAATCCAATTTTTAAAAAGCAAAAAGTTTGAATAGACACTTCTAAAGGATGGACAGTAAACACATGAAAAAGAGCTCACCATCATTAGTAATCAGGGATATACAAATGACATATCCCACGGAGTAGTGTAAAACAAAAGGACTGAAAAAAAAGAAAAAGAAGAAAGAAAAAAGAAAACAAAAAAAAGACTGACAATCTCAAGCATTGATGAGGATGTGGGGCAATCAGAACTCTCAAGCAGTGCTAACAGGAATATAAAATGGTATAACCAATTTAAAAATCTCTGGAAATGTCTTATAAAATTAAACTCCTACCGCCACTCTGACCCAACCCTCCTAATCCCAATTATCCAACAGAAATAATAATTTTTTTAAACGTCTAAAAACACTTGTACAGGCCTGGCATGGTGGCTCAAGCCTGTAATCCCAGCACTTTGGGAGGCCGAGGAGGGTGGATCATGAGGTCAGGAGATCGAGACCATCCTGGCCAACATGAAGAAACAATGTCTTTACTAAAAATACAAAAATTAGCTGGGCGTGGTGGCGGGTGCCTGTAATCCCAGCTACTTGGGAGGCTGAGGCAGGAGAATTGCTTGAACCAGACAGTCGGAGTTTGCAGTGAGCCGAGATTGCGCCACTGCACTCCAGCCAGGCAGCAGAGCGAGACTCCGTCTCAAAAAAAAAAAAAAAAAAAATTTGTACAACGTGTTCACAGCAGTTCTGTTCATAAAACCCCCAAGCTAGAAACAATCCAAATACCAAATACTTACCTGTAGGAGAATGAATAAACATGAGATACTGCTCAGTGTGAAGAAGAACAAATTAATAATACAAAAGGGGCCCGCACAGGTAGGGGTGAGGAATAAGTGACGTGGCAGAGATTGACTTTGTAGGGATTCAAGACAACTTCTAGAGCAACAAATATTCTGTATCTTAATAGCTTTGTGGGTTATATGGGTGAGTGCAATTTGTCAAAATTAATATAACTGCACTCTGAAAATCTCTACTTATCACTATAAATAATAAAAAGAGAAATCCTTCTTGGAACAAGATAGGTACAAATAAATGTCAACTTATCTTTTTTTGCCTACCTACATATAGTTTTCTCTCACTTTTAAGGTTAAACCAGAGGCAAAGTTAAAAATTAAAAACTCTTGCTAAGGGAAAATAGTAATATTAAGCAAGTAGACAAATACCTTAGAAATTCAACCATAACATGGTGTTGCTTTTGAGCTCCTATAGTTTTATACTGCAGTGATGGAAGTTAGAGTTTATTCAATATAGTTCATGTTTCAAAAATGCATGGTTATTGAAGAGACACTTTATCATTCCCTAACACCTGCAGAGGTTCATAACCCACTCCATTTGTATCTTTAAAGTTCTTGGTGGATAAGCAGAAATGAGGAATATTTAAAAGTTCTTTGACTTCTCACCTGCTGACCCTAAGTGTAAGGAGAATCTTTAATCAAGTAAACTGTAATTCTTTGGGGATAATATTTTATATATTTTATGCTAATGTTGAGGTGGTTTCTGATTCTTTTAAATGAATGCTGACATTCTGAATTGATCTTCAATATTCTATGAGAAATTAATTATTGATAAAACTTTTCTTATTAAAGTCTAAGGTTTTCATTCTGGCAAGATAATTTCTTGGTGGAGACAGCCGACTGCCTTTCCCATACTGATACCAGGCAGTTACTCTCCCTTTTAAAACTTTCAGTAAAGTGTGAATAAAACCACCTTGTTTGATATTTTCAATACAACTGAGATAGCATATATTTTGCAAAAATATTGTATTAATAGTTATCTAATATCAGAGACAAAATATCAGAATATAAAATATGAAAATAGGCAATGAAGTCCTATTATTACTAGTTTTTTCCCTACATTTTGTCTTATGGGAAAGAGAGAATTTTTTTTTTCACCAAGTGCCTTGCAGATTTTTTCTAGCATTCTCTCTGGGTATGTACTTCTCAATCCCTGGTTGACAAATTTGTGAGGATCAGTGATACAGTGAAATCAGAAAAACCTGCTGTGAATTATGGCTGTGCTATGTTATCACAGACCTAAAAATAAAAGCTAAAATTTTAAGACTTCTAAAAGAAAACATGTGCTAATATCTTTGCAACCTAGGGTAGGCAAAGATGTATTAGGAGAGTTTTTTTTTTTTTTTCCTTTTAAAACATAGACATGGAAGACATTTACATTCATCTCCCATTCTGCATATAAACATGACTTCTGATACAAGGAATCACTGTTTTGGCTTGGAAATTCAGCTCCTCTCCACTCTTATTCATGTGATTGGCGTGGAGCCCTGCTCACAAGGAGTGGTGGTGGACATGTGGAACAGATCTAAGCCAATAAAGGTGTCCCATTCCTCTGTCCATCTTGATTTGTTCAGGAATGGGCAGGTGACCTAAACCAAGCCAATCAGAGTAGATCTCTCTTTACATAGAATTTCCAGAACAGGAGGTATTATGTAAAGACTCTGCCTCTTCTTAATTGGGTTTGACTGGGTTTGCAAGTCCTGTAAGCTCTGACAGGCATTTTCCAATCATGAGGAAAGAGCCCTTTGATTACAGATGCAGCATAGAGGAAGTGGAGTTAAGAGACAGAATGAATGAAATTAGATATTGGATGACATTGTTTTAGCCTTTGTTTCCAGCTGGGCCTGATGTCAGATGTAGCCTTGGACTAGTCAGTGGCTGGAAACAATGTATTCCATTTTTTGCTTGAGGCTACATTGAATTGGATTTTTCTATGCAACTGAAAGTATCTGCACTAATATTATCTATGACACAGAATTACTAAGATGTACTCTTGTAAGAATATCTAGAAATCATTTTGTGATATGGCTATGTAGTAAAATGGGGGAAAGTTAGCATTTTAATCCTTTATCACTTATTGGCTGTGTTATCTTTTATTTTTAATTTATCAAGAATTTACTCCCTTTCAGGCACTGTGAGGGTAATTTTAGACATTTTATCAAATTTCTTCCTTCCAACAATCCAATAAAGTAGTTATCTTTAACTCATTTCACAAATAAGGGACCCAGGGTTCAGAGAAGTTATACAACATTCCTCTCATAACATAAAAGGTAAATATCACAGGCAGGATTTGAATCCCTGTGTGTATTACTCCAAATATGTGCTATTGGTTATCACTTAATATCTTTCAGTAGTTTTCATCTGTAAATTGCAAACAATAATATTTCCCACTATTAATATATTACAGCCTTATTGTAGGGCGAAACCATGCAAGTACTTTATAAACTACAAATGACTGTGTCATTTTCGCTATTGTATTATTTTACTTTCTAAGATACAAGGTCTCAAGGTCTCACTCTGTCATCTAGACTGGAGTGCAGTGCCATGATCATGGCTCATTGCCGCCTCAAACTCCTGGCTCAAGCAATCCTCCCACCTCAGCCTTCTGAGTAGCTGGGACTACAGGTGCATATCCCCATGCCCAGGTAGCTATTTATTTTTTATTTTTTGTAAGATGAGGTCTTGCCACTTTCCCCAGACTGTTCTTGAGCTCCTGACCTCAAGGAATCCTCCTGCCTTAGCTTCTTAAAGTGTTGGAATTATAGGTGTGAGCCACTGCACCCAGCCATGTTCACATTTATTAAGCCAGATTTAAATATAGTGATTAACAAGATTGTTTCCATCCTATATGTGTAGTTCATTGATATTTGAGCCCCAGGAAGATGTCTATAAAAGCCATTGTTAATATAAATTTATAATTTTTGACAATTGCTACATTCATTTTTCACTTTTGACCTGCTGACCTATAGATCCTCACCGTATTCCTTTGAAGTAAAGAGCACAAAAGTTTAACTAGCTTTTTAAAAGCATACTAACTTTCATGGTTCCCATTTCTCATGCAAGGAATCAGGGGAGAGGGAAGGGTGGGAAGAGAGTGGGAGTCAATACTTGCAGAGAAAAATACTGGCCATTTTAGTGGAAGGGGAGACCAACCATAAAAGATGGGGAGCTGAAAAAAAATGTGTGATTGAACGAGTAGTCTAGCTGTTCTCAACTCTGACTAGACCATAAAGTTATCTATGGATCTTTTTAAAAAATACATATAACTGGGTTGCACTCTTCATCAATGAAATCAGATTTCATGGCTGGGGCACATGGTATTTTCTTTAAAGCTCCACAGGTGATTTCAATGTGCAGCTAGGCTTGATGGCCCCTAGGATAAAGCAGGAAAAAGTGACACTTTTCTTTACGTAGTTGTATATATTTTTTACGTGTTTTAATAATTAATTTACCTATTAATAAACTTACTAATGTGCATTTATTCACTCATTCATCCTTTTAAACAGTGAATCAATTATCCACCTATTCACCCGTTTATTCAGCCACTCATTTATTTGTTCACTTATTCATCCACTTACTTGGCTAGCCAGTGACCTAGTCAACCCATGCATATTTATTGAGTGCCTAAGCTCTGTGCTTCTAGAGATATAAAAGTGAACATGACAGATGAGGTCATTGCTTCATAAAACTACCAGTTGGTTATGGCAGTGTTTCTCAGAGTGAGTGTAACAGTGCTAAGAAACATTACTTCTTTGGCTTATGAAAAGATATTTTGAGAAACATTTGCTTATGGACTAATTCTGAAGTTATGGAAACTTTTGCTTTAATGTTATTTGCATGGAATTGTAATATCTCTGTATCACTGACACATTTAAGGATACTGGAAATTCTAATTTAAAATTCGCTGAAGTGAGATGATGACTGATGGAAATAAATAATGCTGAATTACCACTTCCCTCCCACTTTATACCAAATAAAGTTCACCTTAATATCTTCAGCTGAAAGATAAAAGAGAATGATTATAAGTAGCTTTGGTTCAATTCTTAGTTCCTTTTCTGTTTGCAGATATTTCTAATCTTCATTAAAAGGCACATTTATATATCTTTTAACCCATTCAATTAAAACTTCTCTAACCTCCCACCTCATCAAATTGAGCCAAATCTGGAGTTGATAGGCTCTGTTTTAGCTGCTACTTATTTGTACTGATTCACTGAGCCTTAATATAGCTCATGTTAACAGAGTCCATGGTTACTGTTTTGAGTGAGAACAGGATATAAGTACTACATGTTCCTGGACATCAATACAAGCTTGATCTTTCTTAGTTGCTAAATCCCAGAATTGTTAAAGATGTTTTACTCTGAGGGAATAGTGTACATTTTAAAGTGGTTGTCTTTACTTTTTAAAAAACTATTTGTCAAATGTCATCACAAATGAACAATGTCCAGATTGTACCAATTTTATACACTCTTAAATTTTTAAAACTTCCCACTTTCATGTGTAATTTCCTGGAACAGGAGCTTCCCAACTGAGTTGCTAGAAATGTCCTTGATAGGTGCTGTGGCCTTGACAGCTTAAGTTCTTTAGAATTATTTTGGCTTACTTTGCCTTCATGAAATCTGTAGTTTTTAAATGTAAGTATTTGTTAAATAATTTTCAGTGTAAGCATAATATAAGCACATATTAAGTTTCTTCCAATGGCAAAAAAATCATACAAAAAAGTAAAAATCTATCACCTTCATTTTTCCACTACCAATCCCATTCCATAAAAAGTTAACTACTGTTGTTTCTTAAGAACATCTAGAGATTTTATATGTAAATAATATTGTAGCCTAGATTCCCCCAAAAAGGTTAAGAAAGAAAGAGATAATTTATCTAACCAGTATCTACCTCCATTTGATCAAAAGTTTACACAACAAACTGTAACTCCCCTAAACTTCCCAGTGGAGCATACATGGGTGCTGGGCAGTGACTGTTGGGGAAGCCTCAGGGCAGTACATGCAAAGTGTTTGGTAGGGATATGAAGTAAAATAATGTCAAATTAAGCCTCATCCTCCATGAAAGCTTTTGCATTTTCCACTGCCCAGTGAGAAATGCAAAAGGTTTCATGAGGAAAAAGAGTCAAGTGAGTCTAAGAGTCTGAAGTGGTACATAGAGATGTTTAACATATTTTGTGTGTAAAGTTGTGTGTGTGTGTGTGTGTGTGTGTGTAAATTTAAGTACGGAAAAACTATGAATTTTTTTTTCAACTTTTGTTTTAGGTTCAGGGGATACATGTGAAGGTTTGTTACTTTGGTACATTGAGTGATGCTAAGGTTTGGATTACAAATGGCCGAGGTACTGGGCATAGTATCTAATGTTTTTTCAACCCTCCCCACCTCTCCACTCTAGTAGTCCCCAGTTTCTACTGTTGCCAACTTTGTGTCCATGAGTACCCATTGTTTAGCTCCCACTTAAAAGTGAGAACATGAAGTATTTGGTTTTCTGTTTCTGCCTTAATTTCCTTAGGATAATGGCCTCCAGCTGAATCCATGTTGCTGCAAAGGGCATGATTTTGTTCTTTTGTATGGCTATGTAGTATTCCGTGGCATATATGTATCATGTTTTCTTTATCCATTCCATCACTGATGGAAACCTAGATAGATTACATGTCTTTCGTTATTGTGAATAATGCTTTGACAAACATGTGAGTACATGTTTCTTATTGGTAGAATGATTTATTTATTTATTATACTTTAAGTTCTGGGATATATGTGCAGAATGTGCAGGTATGTTACATAGGTATACATGTGCTATGGTGGTTTGCTGCATCCATCAACCCGTTATCTACATTAGGTATTTCTGCTAATGCTATCCCTCCCCTTGCTCCCCACCCACTGACAGGCCCTAGTTGTGATGTTCTCCTCCCTGTGCCCATATGTTTTCATTGTTCAACTCCCACTTATGAGTGAGAACATGCAGTGTTTGGTTTTCTGTTCCTATGTTAGTTTGCTGAGAATGATGGTTTCCAGCTTCTATGTTTCTGCAAAGGACATGAACTCCTTCTTTTTTATGGCTGCATAGTATTCCATTGTGTATATGTGCCACATTTTCTTTATCCAGTCTATCACTGATGGGCATCTGGGTTGGTTCCAAGTCTTTGCTATTGTGAATAGTGCTTCAATAAACATACGTGTGCATGTGTCTTTATAGTAGAATGATTTGTAATCCTTTGGGTATATATGCAGTAATGGGATTGCTGGGTCAAATGGTATTTCTGGTTCTAGATCCTTAAGGAGTCGCCACACTGTCTTCCACAATAGTTGAACTAATTTATACTCCCGCCAACAGTGTAAAAGCACTCTATTTCTCCACATCCTCTCCAGCATGTGTTGTTTCCTGACTTCTTAATGATTGCCACTCTAACTGGCATGAGATGATATCTCATTGTGGTTTTGATTTGCATTTCTCTAATGACCAGTGATGATGAGCTTTTTTTCATGTTTTTTGGCCTCATAAATGTCTCCTTTTGAAGTGTCCATTCATATCCTTCACCCACTTTTTGATAGGGTTTTTTTTTCTTGTAAATTTGTTTAAGTTCTTAGTAGATTCCAAATATTAGCCCTTTGTCAGATGAATAGATTGCAAAATTTTTCTCCCATTCTGTAGGTTGCCTGTTCACTCTGATGATAATTTCTTTTGCTGTGCAGAAGCTCTTCAGTTTAATTAGATCCCATTTGTCAGTTTTGGCTTTTGTTGTCATTGCTTTTGGTGTTTTAGTCATGAAGTCTTTGCCCATGCCTATGTCCTGAATGGTATTGCCTAGGTTTTCTTCTAGGGTTTTTATGGCTTAGGTTTTACATTTAAGTCTTCAATCCATCTTGAGTTAATTATTGTATAAGGTGTAAGGAAGGGGTCCAGTTTCAATTTTCTGCATATGGCTAGGCAGTTTTTCCAACACCATTTAGTAAATGGGAAATCCTTTCCCCATTGCTTGTTTTTGTCAGGTTTGTCAAACATCAGATGGTTGTAGATGTGTGGTCTTATTTCTGAGGCCTCTGTTCTGTTCCATTGGTCTATATATCTATTTTGGTAACAGTACTATGCTGTTTTGGTTACTGTAACCTTGTAGTATATTTTAAAGTCAGGTAGCATGATGCCTCCAGCTTTGTTCTTTTTGCTTAGGATTGTCTTGGCTATACAGTCTCTTTTTTGGTTCCATATGAAATTTAAAGTAGTTTTTTTCTAATTCAGTGAAGAAAGTCAATGGTAGCTTGATGAAAATAGCACTGAATTTATAAATTACTTTGGGCAGTATGGCCATTTTCACAATATTGATTCTTCTTATCCATGAGCATGGAATAATGTTTTTCCATTTGCTTATGTCCTCTCTAACTTCCTTGAGCATTGCTTTGTAGTTCTCCTTGAAGAAGTCCTTCACATTCCCTTGTAAGTTGTATTCCTAGGTATTTTATTATCTTTGTAGCAATTGTGAATGTGAGTTCACTCATGATTTGGTTCTCTGCTTGTCTATTATTGGTGTATAGGAATGCTTGTGATTTTTGCACACTGATTTTGTATCCTGAGACTTTGCTGAAGTTGCTTATCAGCTAAAGGAGATTTCGGGCTGAGACAACAGGGTTTTCTAAATATACAATCATGTAATATGCAAACAGACACAATTTGATTTCCTCTCTTCCTTGTGAATACCCTCTATTTCTTTCTCTTGCCTGATTGCCCTGGCCAGAACTTCCAATACTATGTTGAATAGGAGTGGTGAGATAGGGCATCCTTCGTCTTTTGCCGGTGCTTCTGGCCTTTGGCCATTCAGTATGATATTGGCTGTGGGTTTGTCATAAATAGCTCTTATTATTTTGAGATATGTCCCATTAATACCTACTTTATTGAGTGTTTTTAGCATGAAGTGGTGTTGAATTTTATCGAAGGCCTTTTCTGCATCTATTGAGATAATCATGTGGTTTTTGTCATTGGTTCTGTTTATGTGATGGATTATGTTTATTGATTTGCATATGTTGAAGCAGCCTTGCAATCCAGGAATAAAGCCAACTTGATTGTGGTGGATAAGCTTTTTGATGTGCTGCTGGATTCAGTTTGCCAGTCTTTTATGGAAGATTTTTGCAAAAATGTTCATCAGGGATATTGGCCTGAATTTTCTTTTTTTGTTGTGTCTCCACCAGGTTTTGTTATAAGGATGATGCTGCTCTCATACAATGATTTAGGAAGAAGTCCTTCTTTTTCTATTGTTTGGAATACTTTAAGAAGGAATGGTACCAGCTCCTCTTAGTACCTCTGGCAGAATTTGGCTGTGAATCCCTCTGGACCTGGGTTTTTTTTTTTTTTTTTTTTTTTTTTTTGGTTGGGAGGCTATTTAAGGCCTCAATTTCAGAACTTGTTATTGCTCTATTAAGGGATTTGACTTCTTCCTTGTTTAGTCTTGGGAGGTGTATGTGTCCAGGAATTTATCCATTTCTTCTAGATTTTCTAGTTTATGTGCACTGAGATGTTTATAATATTCTTTGATGGTAGTTTGTATTTCTGTGAGATCAGTGGTGATATCCACTTTATCATTTTTATTGTGTCTGTTTGATTCTTCTCTCTTTTCTTCTTTATTCATTTGACTAGCAGTCTGTCTATTTTGTTAACATTTTCAAAAAAACAGCTCCTGGATTCATTGATTTTTTGAAATGCTTTTTGTGTGTCTGTCTCCTTCAGTTCTGCTCTGATCTTAGCTATTTCTTGATTTCTGCTAGCTTTTGAATTCGTTTGCACTTGCTTTTGTGGTTCTTTTAGTTGTGATGCTTGGGTGTTGATTTTAGCTCTTTCCCACTTTCTCCTGTGGGCATTTAGTGCTATAAATTTCCCTGTAAACACTGCTTTAGCTATGTCCCAGAGATTCTGGTATGTTGTGTCTTTGTTCTCATTGGTTTCAAAGAACTTATTTATTTCTGCCTTAATTTTGTTATTTACCCCGTAGTCATTCAGGAGGAGGTTGTTCAGTTTCCATTTAGTTGTGTGGTTTTGAGTGAGTTTCTTAATCCTGAGTTCTAATTTGATTGCCCTGTGGTCTGAGAGACTGTTTGTTATGATTTCTGTTCTATTGCATTTGCTGAGGAGTGTTTTATTTCCAATAATGTGGTTAATTTTAGAATAAGTGTTATGTGGTGCGGAGAAGAATGTATATTCTGTTGATTTGGGGTGGAGAGTTCTGTAGATGTCTATTAGGTTGGGTTGGTGCGGAGCTGAGTTCAAGTCCTGAATATCCTTGTTAATTTTCTGTCTCCTTGATCTGTCTAATATCTCCCACTATTATTGTGTGGGAGTCTAAGTCTCTTTGTAGGTCTCCAAGAACTTGCTTTATGAATCTGAGTGCTCCTGTACTGGGTGCATATATATTTAGGATAGTTAGTTCTTCTTGTTGCATTGATGCGTTTACCATTATGTAATGCCCTTCTTTGTCTTTTCGGATCTTTGTTGGTTTAAAGTTTGTTTTATCAGAGACTAGTATTGCAACTTTGGCCTTTTTTTTTTTTTTTCGCTTTCCATTTGCTCGGTAAATAATCCTCCATCCCTTTATTTTGAGCCTATGTGTGTCTTTGCACATGAGATGGGTCTCCTGAACACAACACACGATGGTTCCTGACTGTTTATCCAATTTGCCAGTCTATGTCTTTTAATTGGAGCATTTAGCCCATTTACATTTGAGGTTAATATCGTTATGTGTGAATTTGATCCTGTCATTATGATGCTAGCTGGTTATTTTACCCATTAGTTGATGCAGTTTCTTCATAGTGTCGATGGTCTTTACATTTTGGTATGTTTTTGCAGTGGCTGGTACCAGTTTTTCCTTTACATATTTAGTGCTTCCTTCAGGAGCTCTTGTAAGGCAGGCCTGGTGGTAACAAAATCCCTCAGCATTTGCTTGTCTGTAAAGGATTTTATTTTTCCTTTGCTTATGAGCTTAGTTTGGCTGGATATGAAAATCTGGGTTGAAAATTCTTTTCTTTAAGAATGTTGAGGCCAGGTGCAGTGCCTCACACCTGTAATCCCAACACTTTGGGAGGCCAAGGCCGGTGGATCATGAGGTCAGGAGTTTGAGACCAGCCTGACAAACATGGTGAAACCCTGTCTCTACTAAAAATACGAAAATTAGCTGGGTGTGGTGGCATGCGCCTGTAATTGCAGCTACTCAGGAGGCTGAGGCAGGAGAATCGCTTGAACCCAGGAGGCAGAGGTTGCAGTGAGCCGAGATAGGGCCACTGCACTCCAGCCTGGGTGATGGAGCGAGACTCTGTCTCAAAAAATAAAAAAAAAAATAAATAAATAAAAGTTGAATATTGGCCCTCACTCTCTTTTGACTTACAGGGTTTCTGCAGAGAGATCTGCTGTTAGTCTGATGGGCTTCCCTCTGTGGGTAACCCTATTCTTCTCTCTGGCTGCCCTTAACGTTTTTGCCTTCATTTCAGCCATGGTGAATCTGACAATTATGTGTCTTGGGGTTGCTCTTCTCAAGGAGTATCTTTGTGGTGTTCTCTGTATTTCCCAAATTTGAATGTTGGCCTATCTTGCTAGGTTGAGGAAGTTCTTCTGGATAATATGCTGAAGAGTGTTTTCCAACTTGGTTCCATTCTTCCCAGGTACACCAGTGAAACGTAGGTTTGGTCTTTTCACATAGTTTCATAATTTTTGGAGACTTTGTTCATTCCTTTTCATTCTTTTTTCTCTAATCTTGTCCTCACACTTTATTTCATAAAGTTGATCTTCAGTCTCTGATATCCTTTCTTCTGCTTGATTGATTTGGCTATTGATACTTGTGTATGCTTCATGAAGTTCTCATGCTGTGTTTTTCAGCTCCATTAGATCATTTATATTCTTCTCTAAACTGGTTATTCCAGTTAGCAGTTCCTGTAACCTTGTATCAAGGTTCTTAGCTTCCTTGCATTGTGTTAGAACATGTTCCTTTAGCTCGGAGGAGTTTGTTATTACCCACCTTCTGAAGCCTACTTCTGTCAATTCGTCAAACTCATTCTCTGTCCAGTTTTCTTCCCTTGCTGGCTCGGAGTTGTGATCCTTTGGAGAAGAAGAGACATTCTGATTTTTGAAATTTTCAGCCTTTTTGCACTGTTTTTTTCTCATCTTCATGGATTTATCTACCATTGGTCTTTGATGTTAGTGACCTTCAGATGGTTTTTGTGTGAGGGTCCTTTTTGTTGATGTTGATGCTACTGCTTTCTGTTTGTTAGTTTTTTGGTTTTTTTTCTCATAGTCAGGTCCCTCTTCTGCAGGCTGCTGGAGTTTGCTGGAGGTCCACTCCAGACCCTGTTTGCCTGGGTATCACCAGCAGAGGCTGCAGAACAGCAAAGATTGCTGCCTGCTCCTTCCTCTGGAAGCTTCATCCCTGAGGGGCAGTTGCCAGATGCCAGCCAGAGGTCTCCTTTATGAGGTGTCTCTCAACCCCTTCTGGGAGGTGTCTTTCAGTCAGGAGGCATGGGGGTCAGGGACCCACCTGAGGAGGCAGTCTGTCCCTTAGCAGACCTGCAGTGCTGTGCTGGGAGATCCATTGCTCTCTTCAGAGCCTGCAGGCAGAAATATTTAAGTCTGCTGAAGCTGTACCCACAGCTACCCCTTCCCCCAAGTGCTCTGTCCCAGGGAGATGGGAGTTTTATCTATAAGCCCCTGACTGGGGCTGCTGCCTTTCTTTCAGAGATGCCCTGCCCAGAGAGGAGAAATATAGAGAGGCAGTCTGGCTACAGTGGCTTTGCCATGCTTTGGTGGGTTCTGCAGACAGTTCGAACTTCCCGGTGGCTTTGTTTACATTGTGAGGGGAAACCCGTCTACTCAAGCCTCAGTAATGGTGGACGCCCCTCCCCATACCAAGCTCAAGCGTCCCAGGTCAACTTCAGACTGCTGTGCTGGCAGCGAGAATGGCAAGCTGGTGGATCTTAGCATGTTGGGCTCCATAGGGGTGGGCTCCGCTCAGCAAGACCACTCGGCTCCCTAGCTTCAGCCCCCTTTCCAATGGAGTGAATGGTTCTGTCTTGCTGGCATTTCAGGTGCCACTGGGGTACAGAAAAAAAACTCTTGCAGCTATCTCGGTGTCTGCCCAAACAGCTGTTCAGTTTTGTGCTTGAAAACCAGGGCTCTGTTGGTATAGGCACCCGAGGGAATCTCCTTGTCTGCGAGTTGCAAAGACCGTGGGAAAAGCGTAGTATCTGGGCTGGATAGCTTCATCCCTCACAGTGTGGTCCCTCAAGCTTCCCTTGGTGAGGGGAGGGAGTTCCCAGACCTCTTGTGCTCCCTGGGTGAAGTGCTCCCCACCTGCTCCTGCTTGCCTTCCATGGGCTGCACCCGCTTTCTAACCAGTCCCAATGAGATGAACCGGGTACCTCAGCTGGAAATGCAGAAATCACCCACCTTCTGCATTGGTCTTGCTGGGAGCTGCAGACGGGAGCTGTTCCTATTCTGCCATCTTGCCAGCCTCCCCAATTTGTTTTCTTATAGCTGTATACTGAGTAATGAGATTGCTGAGTTGAATAGTAGTTCTAAGTTCTTTGAGAAATTGCCAAACTGCTTTCCACAGTAGTTGAACTAATTTACATTCTTATCAACAGTGTATAAGAATTCCCTTTTCTCCACAGCTTTGCTGGTATCTATTGCTTTTTGACTTTCTTATCATAGCCAGTCTGACTGGTATAAGATGGTATCTCATTTTGGTTTTGATTTGCATTTCTCTGATGATTACTGATGCTGGACATTTTTTCATATGTCTGTTGGCCACTTGTGTGCCTTCTTTTGAGAAATGTCTGTTCATGTCTTTTGACTGTTTTTAATTATGGGCATTTGGTTTTTATTTGTTCAATTGTTTAATATCCTTATAGGCTCTGGATATTATACCCTTGTTGATACATAGTTTGTGAATATTTCCTTCCATTTTGTAGGATGTCTGTTTACTCTGTTGATAGTTTATATTGCTGTGAAGAAGCTCTTTAGTTTAATAAGGCCCCATTTGTCAATTTTTGTTTTTGTTGCAATTGCTTTTGAGGACTTAGTCATAAATTCCTTCCCAAGGTCAACGTCCAGAATGGCGTTTCCTGGGTTTTCTTTTAAGATTCTTACAGTTTGAGGTCTTACGTATGAATGTTTAATTTATCTTGAGATAATTTTTCTATATAGTGAAAGGCAGCAGTCCAGTTTCATTCTTCTGCATATGGCTAGCTAGCTATCCCAGCACCATTTATTGAATAGAAAGTCCTTTCCCCACTGCTTACTTTTATTGCTTTGTGAAAGTTCAGATGGTTGTAGGTGTGAAGCTTTAATTCTATTTTCTCTATTCTGTCCCAATCATCTATGAGTCTGTTTTTGTACCAGCCAACTGCCATTTTTGGTTACTGTAGCCTTATAGTATAGTTTGAAGTCAGGTAATGTGATGTCTCTGGCTTTGTTCTTTTTGCTTAGGATTGCTTTGGCTATTTGGGCTCTTTTTTGGTTCCATATGAGTTTTAGAATAGCTTTTTCTAGTTCTGTGAAAAATGATGTTGGTAGTTTGATAGGAATAGCATTGAATCTGTAGATTTCATTGGGCAGTATGGCCATTTTCATGATATTAATTCTTCCAATCAAATATCCTCCATTTGTTTGTGTCATCTCTGATTTCTTTTAGCAGTGTTTTGTAGTTCTCCTTGTAAAGATCTATCACCTCCTAGGTTAGATGTATTCCTAGATATTTTATTTTTTGTGTGTCTGTTTTAAATGGGATTGCATTCTTATTTTGACTCTAAGCTTGAACATTATTAATATATAGAAATGGTACTGATTTTTGTACATTGATTTTTTTTTTTTATCCTGCAACTTTCTTTATCGAAGTTGTTTATCAATCCCAAGAGCCTTTCAGTGGAGTCTTTGGGGGTTTTCTAGGTATAGAATCATATCATTCACAGCGAGAGATTGTTTGACATCTTCATTTCCCATTCGTATGCCTTTTATTTGTTTCTCTTAACTGAATGCTCTGCCTAGCCCTTCCAGTACTATGTTGGATAGCAGTAGTGACAGTGGGCATTCTTGTCTTCTTCCAGTTCTCAAGGGAATGCTTTCAACTTTTGCCTATTAAGTATGATGTTGGCTGTGGGTTTGTCATAGATGGCTCTTATTATTTTGAGATATGTTCCTTCAATGACTAGTTTGTTGAGGGTTTTTATCATGCAGGAATATTCAATTATATTGAAAGCTTTTTCCATGTTTATGGAGATGATAATATGGCTTTGGTTTTTAACTCTATGTGTGGAATGACATTTATTGATTTGCATATATTGAACCAACTTTGCACCCCAGAAGTGAAGCCTACATGATCATGTTGAAATAACTTTTCAAATTGCTGTTAAATTCAGTTTGCTAATATTTTGTTGAAGATTTTTGTGTCTATGTTCATCAGGGATATTGGCCTATGTTTTTTTTTTTCATCATGTCTTTGCCAAGTTTTGGTATCAGAGTAATGCTCTAATAATTCTACTAGGTGTACAGTAATTCTACTAGGTGTACAGCTCCTCCTTGTACACCTAGTAGAATTCACCTGTGAGTTCATCTGGTCTGGGGATTTTCTTGATTGGTAGGTGTATTAGTCAGGGTTCTCTAGAGGGACAGAACTAATAGGATGGAGATATATATATAAAGTATTAACTTACATGATCACAAGGTTCCACAATAGACTGTCTGCAGGCTGAGGAGCAAGGAGAACCAGTCCGAGCCCCAAAAGTGAAGAACTTGGGGTCCAATGTTCGAGGGCAGGAAGCATCCAGCACAGGAGAAAGATGTAGTCCGGGATGCTAGGCCAGTCTTTCCTTTTCACGTTTTTTTTTGCCTGCTTTATATTTGCTGGCAGCTGATTAGATTGTGCTCACCAGATTAAGGGTGGATCTGCCTTCCCCAGCCCATTGTCTCAAATGTTAATCTCTTTTGGCAACACCCTCACAGACATACCCAAGATCAATACTTTGTATGCTTCAATCTAATCAAATTGACACTCAGTATTAAACATCACAGTAGGTTTTTTATTACTGATTCAATTTCAGGACTCAATATTGACCTGTTTTGTATTTCAGTTTCTTCCTGTTTCAATCTTGGGAGATTGTGTGTTTCCAGGAATTTATCTATTTACTCTAAATTTTTATAGTTTGTGTGCATAGAAGTGCTCATAATAGTCTCTGAGAAGGTTTCGTATTTCTGTGTTTCTGTGGGTTTGGTTGTAATGTCACTTGTGCCATTACTGCTTGTGTTTGTTTGGATTTTCTGTCTGTTTTTTTCTTGTTAATCTTGTTAGAGATCTATTGATCTTGTTTGTCCTTTAATTTTTTGTTGCGTTGATTCTTTGTTTGAAACTTTGGATTTCAATTTCATTCATTTCTGCTCTGATTTTAGTTATTTCTTTTCTTCTGCTAGCTTTGGGGTTAGCTTGTTCTTGTTTTTCTAGGTCCTCTAGATGTGATGTTAGATGGCTAAAATAAGATCTAACTTTTCAAGGTAGACCTTTAGCATTATAAACTTTCCTCTCAACACTGATTTTTCTGTATCCCAGATATTGTGATATGCTGTATAATTGTTTTCACTTATTTCAAAGAATTTTTTGATTTCTAGCTAATTTTTTTCCTCAAAAGTCATTCAGGAACAAGTTGTTTAATTTCTGTGTAATTGCTTGTTTATGGGGTTATTCTTGATATTGATTTCTATTTTCATTCCACCGTGGCCTGAGAGTATTGTTTTTTTTTTTTTTTCTTTTCTTTCCCTTTCCCTCTTAGGGTGTGCAACAATTGGGAATGCTGAGCAAGGCTTTGCCCCTATATCCCTATGCACTTCTGTTGGAAGGTAAGATGTGGTGGCTCAGGCTGCTGATCCAGGTGAGCTGGTGCTCTGAGATCTAGAAATCTGCCTGGGCATGGAGTGGAGAGGGCTTTGTTGCACAATGATCTATATCCAGTAAGAGTGGGGCACCTCAGGCTGCTGAACCCAATGCATGGGTGCTCAGAATGTCTGGAGACCTGCTTTAGGGTGAAGCAAAGACAGCCCCAATGTACCATGATCACAGGGGAACAGGCTGAGACAACCGTCAATGGCACATGCAGACTGGTTCCAGGTCACTAAATTGGCTCTAGTTGTCTCATTGCCTAGGAGACACTGCAGCTATAGCAGTTGTCTTCCCACCCCAGGCTTGTAATAGGGAAGAGCACAATTCCTGCCTCTAGTGCTAAGACGCTTTCCACAGTTAGGGCTATGGAGGTCCCTACCCTGCTCCAGAGCTGGTGCTCCAGTCCCTGTCCAGAGATTAAAATGCCTGCATGGCCATGCTGGCGGATTGCCACAGAATGGCCGACTGTATGCACCTACCATAAAAATAATTTTCTTCTCTCAGTCCTGGATTGGGAAAAATATCTGAAGCTTTACCCAGTGTTTTTCCCTCACAGAATGTTCAAGCCTCTTCCCAAGACAGCTCCAGTGTTTGGGGAAAATAAAGTGCTCTCCCTTGGCCTGGGCCCTTGGATCCCAAGTGGAAAGGTGAGTCACGGAGGGAGGTGCTCTTCCTCTCTCATGTACTAGGACTTTACTCATTTTTGTAGCCAGATGCCATCACAAGGGCCGTTTGCTGGCATTCTCATTTTTTGGATCAATGGTGTCCTTCACAATTCTGTGAAGGAAATTTCCATTTTCCTTCTTGATTTAAAGTTCACAGAGTTGGTCTTTATGCACTATCTTGCTATTTCCAAGTGGTTGAGGCAGGCTAAAAGCCTCTAATCTACCATCTTGAAAAAAAACTGTCTTATCAAGTTTTAAACTCATGATCTGTGCCGTTACATAACTCCTAGAAGATGAGATATTTTCCACATCACAAAAATTTCCTACTATCCATATTGGTTGCCAGAAACATTATAACCAAGCTTAAGAAAGTTACTCATAGCCAAATAATTTCAAAAGCAAAAATATGAAAAGTCTTCAAATATTTGTACCGCAAAAATTATATTTATTATTGTATGTAGATGCTTTTTAACGCATTTATTCTACTATGTGAGGCATCTCCAAAATAATTGTGTTAAACTACTGAGTTTAATTTTGAATCCTCAAATAGCCTTGTATTTTTATTGCTTTCCTGAACCCTAGGATGAACACAGCTTTTCCTTGAGTCTTTTCTTTGGAAACAGTCATTTTAAAGGACTCAGATATAATCTTAAAAGACAGCTATTGGTTAGAAGAAAAAACATAGCTAATATGCATGTACACACATATACATACATTAAATAGTTATAACACAGTGTTTCAGGAAAAGTGGCAGAAACTTGAAAGATCTGATATACTGAAGACATTAACAAAAAAAGAAATGAGAAAAGTAGGCCTTGATGACCTCAAGTAAACCTATGTGACTTATAGGGATAATAATTTTCATTGGATTGAATGGAAAAATACAATGGGCAATATTGAGATGTCTGCAGTCTCAATTTAGAGAAGCTCTGATATTTGTTGGTATAGATCATTGTGTCAAAGGCAAGAAAAATATTCATTTAATGAGAATCTATCAGTCTAGGAATAGAGGCTGTGCTCCCAATGAAGGTTTATATATAGTACAACTGACTTATTCCACTTGAACCAGTAAAGTTGGGTCAGCAGAAGCTTTCTTTAGTTATCTCTGAAATTGATAAAAGAAAGCTAACTAAAGTTAAGGGCTTTTACTTATTGATTGCTTCTACTGCAGCATTCACCCTGTATAAACAAAATGATAAAGATTTTTTTTTTTTAATTTTGGCAAACCACTCATGTCTGAACTGAAATGGAAATCTTAGAACCAAACCGAAATTTTAGGTGTTTTTTCAGAATTTAGTTGCCTTTAAGATATGAATTATTTCTTTATGTTCTATCACTGTGAATTATGGATGAAGTAACTTGACATGTTATAAAAATGTGATAGTCTGTCTGAAATAT
This sequence comes from Homo sapiens, assembly GCF_000001405.40. NCBI lineage: Eukaryota > Metazoa > Chordata > Mammalia > Primates > Hominidae > Homo > Homo sapiens. Next base: position 153,334,744 of record NC_000002.12, read on the forward strand.
TTTGATTACATATTTTTCTGAAGTCTTTTTCTTCTTTTTTCTTTAAATACAGTGTTCATTTCTCATAGTCTCCCATGCTTGAGGACTATCCTCTGAATAGTTAAGCTTGCTCTGAGCATGACAAGTGATATGGTTTGGCTGTGTCCCCACCCAAATCTCAACTTAAATTGTATCTCCCAGAATTCTGACATGTTTTGGGAGGGACCCAGGGAGAGATAATTGAATCATGGGGGCCAGTCTTTCCCATGCTATTCAAGTGATAGTGAATAAGTCTCATGAGATCTGATGGGTTTATCAGGGGTTTCCGCTTTTGCTTCTTCCTCATTTTTTCTTGCTGCTGCTATGTAAGAAGTGTCTTTTGCCTCCCACCATGATTCTGAGGCTTCCCCAGCCACATGGAACTGTAAGTCCAATTAAACCTCCTTTTCTTCCCAGTCTCCAGTTGTCTTTATCAGCAGCATGAAAATGGACTAATACAGTAAGTTGGTATCAGTAGAGTGGGGCATTGTTGAATAGATACCTGAAAATGTAGAAGCAGCTTAGGAACTGGATAACAGGCAGAGATTGGAACAGTTTGAAGAGCTCAAAAAAGACAGGAAAACATGGGAAAGTTTGAAACTTTCTACAGACTTGTTGAATGGCTTCGCCCAAAATTCTATGGTGATATGGACAATAAAATCCAAGCTGAGGTGATCTCAGATGGAGATGAGGAACTTGTTGGGAACTGGAGCAAAGGTGACTCTTGTTATGTTTTAGCAAAGAGACTGGCGGCATTTTGCCCCTGCCCTAGAGATTTGATCTTGAGAGAGATGATTTAGGATATCTGGTGGAAGAAATTTCTAAGCAGCAAAGCATTCAAGAGGTGACTTGTATGCTGTTAAAGGCATTCAGTTTTATAAAGGAAGCAAAGCATAAAACTTTGGAAAAATTGCAGTCTGACTATGCAATAGAGAAGAAAATCCCATTTTCTGGGGAGAAATTCAAGCCGGCTGCAGAAATTTGCATAAGTAGCAAGGAGCCTAATGTTAATCTCCAAGACCATGGGGAAAATGTCTCAGGGCATATCAGAGAACTTCACAGCAGCCCCTCCCATCACGGACCTGGAGGCCCAGGAGAAAAAAGTGGTTTTGTGGGCTGGGCCCAGGGTCCCTGTGCTGTATGCAGCCTAGGGACTTGGTACCCTGTGTCCCAGCTGTGCCAGCTGTGGCTGAAAGGGGCCAATGTAGAGCTTGGGCTATGGCTTCAGAGAGTGGAAGCCCCAAGCCTTGGCATCTTCCATATGGTCTTGAGCCTGCAGATGGACAGACATCAAGAATTGAGGTTTGGGAACATCCACCTAGATTTCAGAAGATGTATGATAATGCCTGGATGCCCAGGCAAAAGTTTGCTGCAGGGGCGGGATGCTCCTGGGGAACCTCTGCTAGGACAGTGCAGAAGGGAAATGTGGGGTATGATCCTCCACACAGAGTCCTTATTGGGGCACTGCCTAGTGGAGCTGTGGGAAGAGGGCCATCGTCCTCCAGACCCCAAAATGGTAGATCTACCAACAGCTTGCACTTTGCACCTGGAAAAGCTGCAGATGCTCAATGTTAGCCCATGAAAGCAGCCAGGAGGGAGGCTGTACCCTGCAAAGCCACAGGGACGTAGCTGCCCAAGACCATGGAAACCCACCTCTTGCATCAGCATGACCTGGATGTGAGACCTGGAGTTGAATGAGATCATTTTGGAGCTTTAAAATTTGACTGCCCCCTTGGATTTTGGACTTGCATGGGCCCTGTAACCCCTTTGTTTTGGACAATTTCTCCCATTTGGAACTTCTGTATTTACCTAATATCTGTACTCTTATTGTATCTAGGAAGTAACTAGCTTGCTTTTGATTTTACAGGCTCCTAGACAGAAGAGACTTGCCTTGTCTCAAATGAGACTTTGGACTGTGGACTTTTGAGTTAATGCTGAAATGAGTTAAGACTTTGGGGGACCATTGGGAAGGCATGATTGGTTTTAAAAATGCGAGAACATGAGATTTGGAGGGGCTAGGGGTAGAATGAAATGGTTTGGCTGTGTCCCCATCCAAATCTCAGCTTGAATTGTGTCTCCCAGAATTCCCATGTATTGTGGGAGGGACCCAGGGGGAGGCAATTGAATAAGGCCAGACTTTCCCGTGCTATTCTTGTGATAGCAATTAAGTCTCATGAGATCTGATGGGTTTATCAGGGGTTTCCACTTTTGTTTCTTTCTCATTTTTTTCTTGCCACCATGTAAGAAGTGCCGTTTGCCTCCTACCATGATTCTGAGGCCTCCCCAGCCATGTGGAACTGTAAGTGCAATTAAACCTCTTTTTCTTTCCAGTCTTGGGTATGTCTTTATCAGCAGCGTGAAAAATGGACTAATACAGCAAGTATTTGAAATATGTGGATAGGAATAAGAATTTTTGATTGAGACAAGGTAGGCTTATTTGAGATATCATAATTTACAAATAGCCTAAGAAACAGAATTTCTTGAAATTTATAGTTTACTTAGAATCAGTGGGAATCTTAAGAACTAGCAAATCTACCATTGCTCATTCTTTTCCAGCTGCCTACTCCTGTACTAAACATTTTTTAAAATTGCTTTGGGAAAAGTAAATTTCCTTTCCTTTCACTAATGATCATAATAAATAATATTTGGTGTAAAGCAGAAAAATCAGTAAGACAGAAAATGCAAGGAAAAAATTATGTAAAATCTATAACACTCAGAATCTGTTAAATACAGGATATTTAAGAATTGACAATAATCCTCATCCTACTGTTTTTTATTTCTCAGCAAGTGCAATGAATGTTGGCATTGTTTCTCAGACTTTGGTATGACAGTAAACTATAAAAGTATTTATTTGACACTAATTATAATTAAGGCATAGTGAGATAATCAATTGATGCAGTCTATAATTCCCTATTCTTAATTTTACAAAATAAAAATTCACAGCGATGGGAGACCTGGTCCAGCCCTGTCCATTGTGACCCACACCTCCTCAGGACTGAGCAGAAAGAGCTGCTGCAATGTAAGTTGATCTAACCTAGTTGGAAAGCAATTTATTAATAATAGTCAGAGACCTCAAATATGGATGTTCTTTGGGATTCTAATCTAATAAAATAATTAAAGTAGTCTAAATAATACAAAATACAGATAAACTTCATGCATAATATTAATAATGGCTGACCATTATAAAGTACTTATTATTATAGAACAGCAACTGTGATATTTCAAATGGATCATACCGTATAATCATTATCAAAACAATTCTGACATATTTACTATTTCTTCCTATGATCTCAGTACTTTGGGAGGATCACTTCAGGTCAGGAGTTCAAGACCACCCTGGGCAATTTATTGAGGCCCCCATCTCTACAAACAATAAAAAAAATTAGCCAGTCATGGTGGCAAACAGTGGTAGTCCTAGCTACTCTGGAGGATGAGGAGGGAGGATCAACTGAGCCCAGAAGATTGAGGCTGCAGTGAGCTATGATCCTGTTACTGCACTCCAGCCTAGGTGACAGAGCAAGACCCTGTTTCTAAACATATATGAAAAAACAAAAATATAAAAATATAAATTAAAAGATAAAACAAAAATAAAACAGTAAAATTTATTAATTGATGATTATACAACTAATAAGTGATAAAACTGGGATTAAAACTTAGTAGGTGGAAATTCAGAATTCACACATTTTTCGCATTTTGAAATTTTTTTAAAAGTCTGCAATTATTTTAATTTTAATTGACAATTAGAAATGATATATACTTATGGTGTACAATATGATGTTTTGATATAAACAGACATTGTGGAATAGCTAAATCAGGCTACTTAACATATGCATTACCTCACATATTTATAATTTTTTTGTGGTTGGAAGAACACTTGAAATCTACTCTCTTAGCAATTTTCAAGTTTATGATATATTGTTATTAACTACAGTCACCACAATGTACAATAGAGCTCTTGAACTTATTTCTCTTGTGTAATTGAAATGTTTTGTCCTTTGACCAACATCTCCTTAATCCTGCCCCTCGCCCTTGGCCTCTGGTAATTATCATTTTATTTTACTCTCTGTTTCTATAAGTTGACTTTCCTAGATTCCACAAATAAGTAAAATGATGCGATATCTGTCTTTCTGTGCCTGGCTTATTTTGCTTAACATAATGTCTTCCAAGTTCATCCACGTGAACTCCAAATGACAGAATTTCATTTTTTAAGGCTGGATACTATTCCACTCTGTATATATACCACATTTTCTTTATTCATCTGTTGATGGACACTTAGGTTGATTCCGTATCTTGGCTGTGTTGAATAATGCTGTAATAAGCATGAGAATGCAGATATGTCTTGGACATACTGATTTCAGATCCTTTGGATATATATCCAGTAATGGGATTGGTGGGTTGTGTAGTTCTAGTTTTAATGTTTTGAAGAACTTCCAACCTGTTTTCCACAATGGCTGTGCTAATTTACATTCCCATCAGCAGTGTACAAGGGTTCCCTTTTCTTCACATTCTTGCCAACACTTATCATTTACCTTTTTGATAATAGCCGTTCTAACAAAATGAGACAATATCTCAATGTGGTTTTAATCTGAATTTACCTGATGATTACTGATGCTGGCCTTTTTTCTTATAATTGTTGGCCATTTGTGTGTCTTCTTTGGAGAAATATCTATTCATGTCTGCTAATTTTTAAATTGAGTTATTTGTTTTCTTACTATTGAATTGCTTGAGTTACTTAAATATTTTGGATATTAACTGTGTGTCAGATGTGTGGTTTACAAATATATTCTCCTATTCTGTAAGTTGTCTTTTTACTCCGTTGATTGTTTTCATTGCTGTATAGAGGTGTTTTAGTTTAATGCAATCCATTTGTTTATTTTTGTGTTAGTTGCCTATGCTTTTGAGGTAATATCCAAAAAATTCATTGCCTAACTCAATGTCAAGAAGCTTTTTGCCTGTGTGGTTTTATAGTTTCAGGTCTTATGGTTAAGTCTTTAATCCATTTTTAGTTATTTTTTAATACATTGTAAAATAAGGGTCTAATTTTATTTTTTGCACGTAAATATCCAGCTTTTCCAGTACCAGTTATTGAAGAGACTATTCTTTCCCCATTTTATGTTCTTGTATCCTTGTGAAAGATCTGTTAACCATAAATGTGTATATTTATTTCTGGGCTCTTTGTTCCGTTTCATTGTTCTATATGCCTGTTTTTATGCCTGTAACACACTGTCTTTATTATTGTAGCTTTATAATATAATTTGAAAGAGGATGTATGGTGTCTGCAGCTTTGTTCTTCCTGCTTAAGATTGCTTTAGCTATTTTGGGTCCTTTGTAGTTTTATACAAATTTTAGGATTTTTTTCTGTATCTGTGAAAAAGGTCATTGCGATTTGGTAGGGATTGCTTTTGGTAGAAATTACTTTGGGTAGTATAAACATTTTTACAATATTAATTCTTCTAATCCATGAACACAAGGTGTCTTTCTATTTATTTGTATCTTCTTCATTTTCTTTTTTTCTGATTCACAAGCCTTTTGTATCTTTATTTATTTATTTATTTAGCCTAATTTCTCTGGATAGGACTTCTAGTACTATATTAAATAGAAGTGGTGAGAGTTGGCCGGGCAAGGTGGCTCACGCCTGTAATCCCAGCACTTTGGGAGGCTGAGGTAGGTGGATCACAAGGTCAGGAGTTCGAGGCCAGCCTGGCCAACATGATGAAACCCCTTCTTTACCAAAAGTACAAAAATTAGCTGAGTGCATTGGTGTGTGCCTGTAATCCCAGCTACTCAGGAGGCCGAGGCAGGAGAATTGCTTGAACCCAGGAGGCAGAGATTGCAGTGAGCCGAGATTGCACCAACGCACTCCAGCCTGGGCAACAGAGCAAGACTCCATCTCAGAAAAAAAAAAAAGTGGTGAGAGTTGGCATACTAGTTTTGTCCCTGAACTTAGAGGAAAAGTTTTCAGATTTTACCATTGAATATGAACATTGAGATCTAGTTTGTTGAGAGTTTTTATCACAGGAAGATGTTAAATTTTTTCAAATGCTTTTTAACTTTGACATCTATTAGCCAATTTCCCTGAATTCAATGTACTTTTTAGGAGAGGCAGCATGATAGAGAACACTGGATCTCAAAGTGTGGTTCCCAATCAGCAACATCAGCATCATCCAGGTATGACTAGTTAGAAATGCAAATTCTTGGGTTCTAGCCCAGACCTACTGAATCGTAAGCTCTGAGGTCTGATTCAGAAATCTGTGTCTTAATAAGCCCTCTATGTGACTGTCATGCATGCTAAAATTTAAGAACCACCAGTTTAGTAAAGGAAGAAAAATTTTATTGAAATTACCTGAGTTTAATCACATTCCACACCCAACTTTGTAAATTTGTGCAAATTATTTAATCTTCCATTTCTTTCTTTACAAAGTTAAGGATAATAATAAGTATTGCATGGGTTTTCTATAAAGATTATATAATATTTGCTAGGAGTAGTGAGTGCTTAATAAATGGGAGTTATTGCCATAGGATGGTTCATTCTGAAAGGTCTAGCTAACAGCCCTTCACAAATGCCTAATATGCCTTACTCACATCTCATAAGACACTTCAGTGGCTAATATATTATGCCAAATTGGGATTCAAAAATAATGGCTTTCTAATTTGGAAATGGTGTCCCTGATACAATTAGCTCTTTGCAACTAGAGAATCTATTATAGTCTGTTTGTTAAGTACTAAGCAAATTCTCCTTCTTACAGCATATCAATGATTAGCCTTGCTAGCTTTTGCGTATGGTGCAAATTAGGCACTTAAAGTGCATAAGCCGTTCTCAGGGAAATCCACAAAGTGGTAAGTGATAAACAAAATTGAACGCTCTCAATAAAGAATACCTGGGTTTTGTCAGCATTACCAGTAGGAAAAACTGCACAGAATACTCACCTTCTAATTGGCCCCTCTGTTAGAAAACAAATCTCTTGCCTACTGTGCTATAATACTGACAGGAAAAAGGTAAAAAATATAATTGTTATGGAAAGGGCCACTTCCTTGGCAGGCTTACCAGGCTATTATATTTTTTAGGAGCTGAACTTTCCCCAGGGTATTAATTACCCAAAATGACCACCTGGAGGCTGGGTGGGGTGGTGGGGAGCACTTTGTTCAGGGTCTCAGGTTGCAGGGCTCTGTGATAAAAACACCCTCACCATCTGTGATAACCACCAGCAGCCAGCAGCAGCCAGGTAATGAGATCAAATCATTCCCCTTAAACTTTAACCTGTCTGGGTAAGACAAAGGCTCAGCAAAGAGGATATGTCATTAAATTTAATTTAGACTTCTGGAGTTTAGACTTTTGTTTTTATCAATAAAATAAATGTTTAAACCTAAAGCCATTTGCAGGAGCAGACACAGTGAAGCTTTGACTTATTGCCTCTAGATAATGCTAGGTTCTTGCCAGTGCATACATTCCTAATAAAAGCAAGGCACATGAAAATGGCGACTGTTGTCTATTTAAAATATCTCTTCTGGTCTGTGTCCAGTGATCTTACACATATAAGCTTAACTTTTTTGGATGTTTACAATTTTTTTTGAGTTTGTGAATAATATTATAATTATGTTGAGCCTGAATTATAGGTTTGCATTTGCTAAGCAGAAGACACTGTCTGCACTAAATGACTTTTTAAAGAGTTTCCTAATGAGCAGTGGTGTTCAATATGTTGGGAGCTGTGAGCACCACATGAATCAAAGTGCTAGCTATTAAAATAGGTCTTCTTAATTAAATGGAATTATATTTTCTTTAAAGGAGCTATTTGACTTTATCAAACACATTACAATTTGACTTTATCAAACACGTTACAAAGATATGGGGGATGAGTCAGACTCATTACAGGTGGTAAAGAAATGACTGGAGTTGAAATTAAAGTTTCCAATTTTCTCCCTCCTCTTCCTGCTCCTCTTCCCTCCATCTTCTGATTTAGTTGCTTTTAAACTGACAGCATTATAGATGTCTCATCTTCATGCTCACCCTGGTTTTTGCTTAAGGTCTTAGTGTGCCTCTGTCATTTTTGATTTCACAAATAACGCAGGTCACTCCATTACCTTGAACTTGCACATCACCATTACACATAGAAGACTGTAAATATTTTAAACATGATTTCTTGGTAATTTGTGGTTTAATAACTATGAAAATTAGCCTTACACATGTGTCAAGGAAAAGGCAAAAGAGGGAAAGACTAAATAAAAAGAGAACCAATAAGAAAGGCAAGTAAAATCTACATGCTATGTAGTCTATGATCACATAACTCCATGAAAAGTTTCCTTCCAAAATGTGTAACGTTTGTCACTACAATATTTGTTGAATATAAGTGATGAATGACTGAATGACTTTAGGTCTTGTTAGACTACTTAGTTGCCTGCTGGTGCACCATAACTATGATTACAGGAAAAATGGCCATGCGTGATTATAAGGCATCCAAATAAGACCCATTATGTTGTGAGCTAGTGCTTTTCTGTATTACCATATATCTACCAAGATGAGATACAGTCAGAGAGGTGAGGTTTATAAAACATTCTTAACTAAAATATTATTGAACAATGGAAGAAGGTGATAAAAATTAATAGCTATTATGTTATTTAAAAATTACTATGTTTTTTAAAATCAAGAAGAGTTTTATCTCAGTGTTCTGCATACTAACCAACTTACCATGCACATTAGATAAATCCTAAATAATAATTTGTTATAAATCTTCAAGAAGTTATTTTTCTGCTTATAAAAAATATGTTTATTGTTAAAAACTTAGAAAATAGATAAAATAAAAAGTAAAAAATACTTAGAATTCCACACATAAAAATAGCCTCTAACAGATTGGATATTTAGCTCATTCTTGCATAACATTTCCATATTTTTAAAATAATGGACATCACATTTCCTCTGGGGAGCCTTCCTATCCTGCTTATCCTGACTAGGCCAGCTTCCTCTCCCATGATATCCATATTTTCCCCACTTACTTAACTCATCTTATTATAAAATCTATTTAAAGGTTTGTCCACCCCTCCCAATAAGATTTCTAAGTGAAATCTAAGAAATCATGTCTCATTCCTCTTTGTATCCCTAACACTAAACACCCTGCATCTACAAAATTAAACCTAGGATTGTTAAAAGAACAATGTATAAGTTAGTTCAAATATAATTCTCTATCCAACCTTTTTCACTTAACATATATAAAAGTATTATCTTATGTCATTATATTTCCTCAGAACTCCCCCTGCTTTTCCTGAGGCACAGTATTCCATCATATGTCTATACTATAATTTCTTTTTTTTTCCCTGAAACATTTGAGAGTAATTTGCCAACATGATGCCCATCACTCCCAAATATTTTAGTATTTATTTCTCTCAAAAGGATATTTTCCAACATAATCATAATCAAAAATTTATAGATACATTACTACCCTCATTAGAGTATAGATACATATTGTAGATTAGACAAGTTCCACCATTTGTCTCAATAATGTCCTTTGTAAAAGCGAAAGGATGTCAGTCAGAAGCACACACTGAATTCACTTGTCATTCCCTCTTAGTCTTCAGTCTTCCCATAACATTCATGATCTTGAAAGTTTTGAAGAATACAGACCAGTAATTTTGGAGAATGTTCTTCAGTTTATGTTTGTCTAATGTTTCCTCACAAATAGATTCAGGTTATGTATTTCTGGCAGGAATATCACAGAAGTGATGCTGGGGTTGTTGTTGTTGCTGTTGTTGTTTTTTTGAGACGGAGCCTCATTCTGTCACCAGGCTGGTGTGCAGTGGCGTGATTATATAAGCATTCCCCAGCTTTTTTTGTGATTATAGAAAGCAATGTGTTACTGCAAAGAACACAGTACAGTAGAAAAGTTATAATTATACAGGATGGATAAGCTATGAAGATCAAATGTACATCATGTGACTATAGATAATAATAGTGTATTATATACTTGAAATTTGCTAAGAGAGTATATCTTAAGTGTTCTTACCATACACAAAACATGGTAACAGTATGAGGTGATGGATATATTAATTAGCTCAATTGTGATAGTCATTTCACTATGTATGCATGTATCAAAGCATCAAGTTATACACATTAAATGTATACAATTTGAATTTCTCAAGCATATCTCAATAACGCTGGAGAAGAAAAATGATACTTGTATTTCAAGACCTTAAAAATCTAAAAGAGAGATATGTGTTTACAATTAGTAGGCAGAACACAGAAATATAACAAAAGTAAAATCAATACATCTGAAAGCATCAAACTAGGAGATATGAATTTCAATAAGACATTAATTTGACTTCAGGGAAAATAATTTCTGAATATTACGTTTATTCTTCTTTATCTCAAATGTGTTCTAGGGCAAAGTCCTTTCATTCTGTTTTTCTTGCTTTTTTCACACTAGGTATTTTTTATGAGCTTCATGTATAAATTGAGATTATGAAATAGTTGATTCCATCTTCTGACTATTGTAGTCTAGCAACAGTGGGAATGAGAATGAAAAAGGAGTCAACTTTAGTTGCATGTTGAGTTTGCCTGTAGAGTATCCTTAAGGGGCAGCTGACCAAGAAGCAGGGAGAACCTAGAACTCCAGGAACCAGTTGGTTGCCCTGATTTTGCTGCAGGAGAATGTCTTGCCTGAGGGTCTGGTTTATTCTGAATGCCTCTGAAGAGAATAATGTGTTCTCCTGAGGGGCAAAGGAGAATTTTGTTTTAAATAAGGAAATACTCAGGATGAGATAGAGTATGAAATGACTTCTGAGATTCAGTAGGGGGCATACTTAGACTTACCAGATTAATTCCACACCCTGCCCCCAACCCCCACGTGCCCTCCCATTTCTTTTCTTTTCTTTTCTTTTCCTTTCTTTTTCTTTCTTTCTTTCTTTCTTTCTTTCTTTCTTTCTTTCTTTCTTTCTTTCTTTCTTTCTTTCTTTCTCTTTCTCTCTTTCTGTCCTTCCTTCCTTCCTTCCTTCCTTCCTTCCTTCCTTCCTTCCTTCCTTCCTTCTTTCTCTCTTTCTCTCTTTCTTTCTCTCTTTCTTTCCTTTCTGACAGGGTTTTGCCTTGTGGCCCAGGCTGGAGTGCAGCGGCACAATCACAGCTCACTGCAGTTTCGACTTCCTGGGCTCAGGTGATTCTGTCACCTCAGCCTCCTGAGTAGCTGGGACTACAGGCATGCGCCATGAAGCCCAGCTAATTTGTTTGTTTGTTTGTATGTTTGTTTTTTGAGACGGAGTCTTGCTCTGTCGCCCAGGCTGGAGTGCAGTGGCGCGATCTCGGCTCACTGCAACCTCCACCTCCCCAAGCCAGGCTAATTTTTTTATTTTAATTTTAATTTTTTGTAGAGATGGGTTTTGCCATGTTGCCCAGCTTGGTCTTGAACTCCGAAGCTCCAGCGATTTGCTCTCGCAGCCTCCCAAAGTGCTGAGATTACAGCATGAATCATAATGCCCAGCCTCCTACAAAACTTTAAAGTTAACACTTTGCTTTTCTACATGGAAATTACCAAATCTTCTATAGCCTTCTTTTTCTTTATCCTCTCCTCCACTGTTCATTTTCTCTGTACAAATTGCTTTTAGAGACTAGTTACAGTACAGGCTGGAACACCTTCCTTGGTGTCTTCTAATCATAGATAATGGAGTGGTCATTGTAACCAAGGGCTGCACTGACAGTCCTTTGAGGTCGAATACCCTAAATCCATAGACTGTGCCAAAAGTTCTCTCCATGTGGATGTTTTCAACATTTTATAATTTATTTTTTTTAATGAAAGATTCTCTTGGTTTTTCTTTACATGCCAAGGCCTTACCTGAAAACATGCATTTTAATTTGGTATGTTTAACTTTGAGAAATTATGATCCAAAGTGTTCTTAATATAGACCCTGGATTTCCTGAGATACACTAAATTACAAGTTTCTTCTCTGTTGTCTACATAAGTATATGAAATCAAAGCATGTTCTTATTTATTTCATAACTTTTGAAATGAATAATAAATGTTTTCAGTCCTCTACAGTGTACCAGGTTCTATGTTAAACCGTTTATATGCATTTTTTAAAAATTGAATTCCCATTGTAATTCTATATCATAGGTGTCATTATAATTCCCATTTTCCAGATGAGGGAACTGAGGCTTATAAATATTTCATAATTTGTATAAGATCATACCAATAGGGCTGGCTACATAATTTGTGGGACCACGTGCAAGATAAAAACCGTGGACCCCCTTGCTCAAAAATCAGAACAAAAGCTTTTCCTTTTCTTTATCAGTGTCTTTCTCTCAAGTTGTCATAGCGGTTTTATTTGCTGTTGAATATTGTCCTGGCTTGGGCATAAGGATACTCAAGTGATACATGTATACTCTAACAGGTGCCCAGAACCTAGAGCCCTGCCCTGAAGCTTATTGCATTGGGCATAAAAGCCCAACCTGGCCTTAGCCTGCCCAAGCTTCTCCAGGGGCAGAAGATAGCAGTGGTCACAAGGCAGGGATAGGAGGGAAAACCTAGGTGAGATGTGGGTGGCAGAGGAAGAGGGATCAGGCAGCTGAGAATCAGTTCTAGGGATGTGTGGAGATTGTGGGAGGTAGGACTATACCTGCACTGAGGCTCCAAGTCTTTGGTGCACATGCCATTGTCTTATCAGACTTCACTTAAGTCACAAATCCAAAGATAAGTTTATAATGAATTTCAAGACAGCAACTGTAAGACATTAAAACCCAAACACAGGATCCTCTTCTGAGCTGTGCCTTCAGAGGAGTTCGTTTAAAAAAACTGAAGTTGATGAAATTACATAAAGCCATATACCATGAAGGCATATAGCACTTGAGTACTAACAACAGAGTTTGGAATCCATCACAGTTAGGTAGGATGCCAAAGCCTAGTATACTAGAAGTCATGGTAATTTAGTAGAGGAAATAGGAGTCATACATGTTCATTAGGTATCAAAAACTACTTAGTGAAAAGAAGGCTTTTACTAAGACAGGAAGAATCATATGGTCTAATGCTGGGTGGAAAGTCTAGCACCCACCTTTTAGGCAATCTATGCTATTTCAGGGTTTTACTCTTAGTAATCATTATGCTTTCAATCAAATGATTTTGCCTGCATATTATTATCTATGTGAAAGCATGTAAAATGAGTAGTGTTAATGCATCATTTTTATTGCTTTAAAAAAGGTTTCCTTTTTGGTGACCTGGAAACTTTCCTGCCTAGCTTGTTAATTAGGTTTTTCTGAAGCAGTGCTCAGTCTTGACCATGTGATTCTTGGTCACAGACAGTGGCCACCCTAGAGTGTAATGGTCAACCTCCCTGAGAATTTGGAGAGGGGGGTGTCCTCTGTTTGGAGTGGAGGCTGACTCCTAGCTGCAGCTTACTTTGCTTTTATAATTTAATAACAAATTTCCCTATTATGCCTGTGTTCAAATTTCATCTGAAGAAAGAAAAGCAAATCCACCACCAGACGTGCACGTTTCCCAATACCCTTAATAAAACATATTGCACAGTGTGGAGTGACATTTTAAAAGAACAGACCTTTCAGCAGCTTGTCTCTATGCCATTGTGCATAACTAAAGCCTGCTAGGTCACAAAGGGAGATGCAGGGAAGTGGATTAATATGTAAACCAACCTAGGCACCTTCAGATGATGAATTCTAAGGTATACTTTGTGAATTCATTTCATTTTGAGAGCAGTTGTGCCCAGAAATTAATTTGTATTCATAAAGCTTCCCCATTTTCTCTTTAGATAATGACAAGCTTTGTTCTTCTTGAAAAGTTTGTTTTTAACAATGTGGCACATTAATTCTGTAAGATAAATATTTCTAACCAAAGGATGGTATAGAAAATTGTTGATAGAAAATAATATATTTTGGAAAAACATATAGAATGTCCCAGTTCTCACATAGTGCCTGCCTTAGAAATGCAATGGATGGAGTCTGTGTGTTTTGAGATTTTTAAAGAAACTCATTAAAATTCATATATGTAAAGCTTATTTTAACAAAATAGACATAAAAGGACTCTTAATTTCTGAACGAATCACTACAGCTAAAAGCATTGGGATTTAATTGTTGCCCGGTCCCCAGCACACGGCAGTCTTCCACATCAGGTGAGAGCCAGCATCACAGAGCTTAGGGGATTTGAGCTTGCCTCTGAGGACAGGGATCTGAGAGTCTGAGGTCCTTTTGAAGCTTCCATTGTGTATTGCTCCAATAAATGTATTATAGTTCTTTCCAGAGAATGACAAAACATTATCTTAAAACTACAAGTTTTTCAGGCCACCATTACAGACAGTGGCTTAACTATGATAAGTACATTTCAAGCTCCTATGTCTTAGATTCCACCTAATGGACTGTCAGGAAAAAGATGGAGCTTCATGGGTCAAGCATTTATCAGTTGTTGACTTCCTAACAGTAGCTCATCCCTTCTTAAGAATATTACTTCAGAGCAAGTGTGAAAAAAAACAAAAAACAAAAAAAACCCTAAGCTCTGTGAACCGTGCATTTTCTTTTGAAAACTCTGAATAAAGATGCCTCCAATTAGTCAGGGAGGATAAAGGATGCATTTGATTACATGATGGGCATGCAAGCTTTGTTGATGCAATCACTCAACTTTATCATTTTTTTCTATCCTACAGTGCCTGGTGTTATTAAGACAATATGTCTACAGATTTCAAAATAATCCATTGACTAGAAAAATTTGCATCACTATGGCTTCAATAGACAAAGTATTCAAGACAGTGCTTGGAATTAGTAGCTTTCATTTATCCTGCCTACAGGAAGAGGAAGACAAGTTTTAAATGACAGCTCTTAAAGATGGTGGCGGAGTCCCAGGAATGATGTTGAGAATCAGGCTGCATTTCTGAGAAAGCACTCAGAGCTCTTTGCTCTTGTATACTGCCAATGTGGAATCACTTCTAAATTTGCCTTAATCCAACTCCTAGGAAAAGGAAGTTTTACCTGCCACAATGCTCCACACAAAGAAAACCGAGTAAGTCTTGTCAAAGAAGTACTCGGTGGATGCAGGGCGTTTCTCTTTTTGCCAGCTTCCTTGGCTCAAATCCCATGCAAACCATCTCCCTTCAGCACTAGAGGGAGGTGATTAACCATAGAATCCAATTAAAAAAAAGAACTAAAAATCCCTAATTCTTCTTTTGAATGATAAGAGATTTGGACAAAACATTTAACTGAAAAACAATTATCTCAAAAAATTTAAATCCTAGTTGCTTCATGAGCACTCTAGCACTGGGCCGAACCTCCTTTCTGTACTGTTGAACTGACCTTCTCTTCCCTGCCTCACTCTTACCGAGGTATAGTCCTTCCTCTCGCTTCTTTGGTGATTAGCTCATGTAATCTAGGAGTGGCTGTATCATACTTATTTTATTCTAATTGTTGTCCAACTTTTCCATTATTACCACGCATTTCTTTGAGAATCAAAAAAGTTTATTTTAAAAATAAATGGAAAGGATGATCAAAATTAGAAGATACGTAAAATCAGTGTTGGAAGCTTTCTTTCTTGTACCAGAATTGCATACCTCACAATTCATCTTTTCAGAAACGTGTTAGTAAGTACTTTTTATAGCTGCATGCATCATAGTATCATTCGATTTTATTTATGCATGGTCTGTTTCTTTCTTTCTTTTTTTTTTTTTTTTGAGACGGAGTTGCGTTCTGTTGCCGAGGCTGGAGTGCAGTGGTATGATCTTGGCTCATTGCAACCTCTGTCTCCCGGGTTCAAGCGATTCTCCTACCTCAACCTCCCTAGTAGCTGGGACTACAGGCATCCGCCACCATATCTGGCTGGTTTTTGTATTTCTAGTAGAGACAGGGTTTTACCATGTTGGCCAGGCTGGTCTCGAACTCCTGACTTCAGGTGATCCACCCGCCTCAGCTTCCCAAAGTGCTGGGATTACAGATGTGAGCCACCACACCTGGTTATGCATTGTCAAGTTTCTAATTAATATTACCTCAACCATGGTGGAGCTGGTTGGCGTGAGGAAGTATATCCAACAAAAATGGTGCAAGCCTCAATGTACATGAACAATAGGGTTGATGTTAATGATGACGATGCCACCCAAGTTAAGAACAAATGACCTATTCATATAGCTCACTTTTTAAGTTCCTATTTACATTCTGAAGCAGAACGAGAAAAAACTCTGATTTAATTTTCCTAATATCAAGGAAAAAGATAGTCCTATGGCAAAAAGTACTGCTCCAATTTTGTAATCTTCTGTTAAAAATTAACAGAAAAATAAATATTTCTGATGATTTGTAGGTTTTAAGGAGGATAGACTTTATTCTCTTAAGAAAAATTTCCCAGAAAAACTAAGTAAGCTCTATCTAATGGTAGTGTATCTATAATCTTAGAATGAGGAAATAGAAAACATTCTGAATAAATTTAAAATGGTTAGTTGGTGTGTGCAACTTTACTTACTAGAGCTACTTGAACTAAGTAGCATGTATGTTTTTTACTCTCATTTTTTAGTTAATTTGTCTAGGAAACAAGTGATTATGAACTATACAATAACGAGGCTAAAGTTGCATCTGAATTTTCTATTAGGCTATTTTCTAGAGCAGCTTTATGTCCTCAGCAAAATTGGGCAGAATGCATAGAGATTTCCATTATACCCCCTGCCCTAGAACATGCATAGCCTCTCCCAGATAAACGTTCCCAAGCAGAGTAATATATTTGTTATAACTGAGGAACCTACGTTGACACATCATCACCAACCAGAATCCATAGTTTACGTTAGTTCACTCTTGGTGTTGTACAGCCTATGGATTTGGACAAATGTCTAATGACACAAATCCATTCTTTTAGAATCATAGAGAGTTGTTTTACTGCCCTAAAAGTCCTCTGTGTTCTGCCTATTTATCTTTCTCTCCCCAACCCTTGACAACTACTATCTTTTCATTGTCTCCAAAGCATTACCTTTCAAGAATATCAGATAGTTGGATCACACAGTATGTAGCGTTTTTCACATTGGCCTTGTTCACTTAGTAATATACATTTAAGTTTCCTCCCTGTCTTTTCATGGCTTGATAGGTCATTCCTTTTTAGTGCTGAATAATATTCCATTATCTGGATGTACCACAGTTTATCCATTCACCTACTGAAGGATATCTTGGTTGTCTCTTAAGTTTGGGCAATTATAAATAAAGCTGTCATAAATATCATGTGCAAGTTTTTGTGTGGACATCAGTTTTCAACTTCTTTCAGTAAATACTAAGGAGTGTGATTACTGCATCATATGATAAGAGTATGTTTAGTTTTGTAAGAAGCTGCCAAACTGTCTTTTAAGGCAGCTGTAACACTTTGCATTCCTACCAGCAAAGAATGAGAGTTCCTGTTGTTCCACATCCTCAGCAATATTTGTTTGTATTAGCGTTCTGCATTATGGCTATTCTAATAGGTATATAATATCTCATTACTGTTTTTATTTGCATTTCCCTGGTGACATATAATGTAAGGCATCTCTTGATATGCTTATTTGCCATCTGTATATCTTCTTAAGTGAGGTGCCTGTTAAGGTCTTTAGCTTATTTTTAAATTGAGTTGTTTGTTTTCTTATTGTTGAGTTTTAAAAGTTCTTTGTATATTTTGGATAACACTTCTTTATCAGTTATGTCTTTTCCAAATATTTTCTTCCAGTTTGCCTCTTTTTATTCTTTTGACCATGTCTTTTACACAGCAGAAAATCTTAAATTTAATAAAGCTCAGTCTCTTAATCCTTTCTCTCATGGATTATGTCTTCAGTGTTATTCTAAGAATAATTGTCATCACCAATCCCAAAGTCGTTTAGGTTTTCTTGTGTGTTATCTTCTAGGAGTTTGATAGTTTTTCATTTTACATTTAGTTCTGTGATCCTTTTGAGTTAATTTTTGTAAAGGTTATAAGGTCTGCATCTAGAATCATATATTTGCATGTAAATGTTCCGTTGTTCCAGCACCATTTGTTGAAAATGCTATATTCTCTTCATTGTATTGCCTTTACTCTGTCAAAGACCTGTTGACTATATTTACAACAGTCTATTTCTGAGCTCTTTATTCTGTTCCATTGATCTTTTTGTCGGCTCTTTCATCAGTACTACACTGTTTTAATGGCTATAGCTTTGTAGTACGTCTTGAAGTTGGAGAATGTCAATCTGCCAACTTTGTTCTTCTCTTTCAATATTGTGTTGGCTATCCTGAATCTTTTGCCTCTGTCTATAAACTATAGAATCAGTTTGTTGATATCCACAAAATAACTTGCTGGGATTTTGATTGGGATGTATTGATTCTATAGATCAACTTAGGAAGAACTGACATCTTGACATTATTGAGTCTTTCTATACATGATCCATAAATGGAATATCTCTCCATTTATTTAGTAGTTCTTTGGGTTCTTTCATCAATGTTTTGTGGTTTTTCTCATATAGATCATATTCATATTTCATTAGATTTCTACTTAAGTTTTCATGTTTTGGGGATGCTAATGTAAATGTTTTTTTATTTCAAATTTCACTTGTTCATTACTGGCATATAGGAAAGTGATTGGGTTTTACACACTAGTCTTGCATTCTGCAACCTTGCTATAATCTCTTATTAGTTTCAAAGTATTTTTTGTCAACTCTTTCATATTTCCTACATAGACAGTCATGTCATTTGTGAACAAACACAATTTAATTTCCTCCTTTATAATCTATTTCCCTTTTGTTTTCTTTTTTGTCTTATTGTATTAGCTGGACTTCCAATACAATGCTGAAAAGGAGTGGTGAGATGACACATGTTTGCCTTATTCCTAATCTTAGTGGTAAAGCTTTGAGTTTTTCACTCTTAAGCATGGTGTTAGCTGTAGGTTTTTTGTAGATATTCCTTTAACAAGTTGAAGAATTTCTCCTCTACTCCTAATTTACTGGGAGTTTTTGTCATGAATGGGTGTTCGTTTTCATCAAATGTTTTTCTGCATCCATTGATAGGATCATGTGATATTTTTTCTGTACCCTTTGATGTAAAGAATTACACTAATTGATTTTCAAATGTTGAACAAGTCTTACATACCTGGAATAATTGCTACTTAGTTGTGGTATGTAATTCTTTTGATATATCTTTGGATTTGATTTGTTAGTCATTTTATTTTCTTGTAATGTCTTTGCCAAGCTTTGATAGTAGGGTAATGCCTGCCTGACAGAATGGGTTATAGAGTATTCCTTCAGCTTATAATTTCTGGAAAATGTAGTAGAAAATTGGTGTCATTTATTTCTTACATTTTGTTAGAATTATCAGCAAACTCATCTGGGCCTGGTACTTTCTGTTTTGGAAGGCTATTAGTGATTGATTCAATTTATTTAACAAATATAGGCCTATTCAGAGTGTCTATTGCTTTTTGTGTGAGTTTTGGCAGATTGTGTCTGTCAAGAAATTGATTCCATTTAATCAATTTTTTAATGCAACAGATAAAAAAATAAGCCCTAGACATTTCTGTATCTTATGGTTTCAGAAACAGTTTGACTATCATTCCTGAAGTGCCAGAGTTTGAGCAAACATCACATAAGTGGTAAGTTCTCAAAGAAGTGGAGATCTTTTTCCCTTTATACTCACTATAATGACCTGTCTTTAATGCTGGACCGTCTTACTAGGGTGGAAAAATGTTAAACTGATTTATTGTTATGCCAGCAGAAAACTGCCCTTTTAATTCATAGTAAAACATTTTTCTGTGTCCTAATAACTGACTGAAGGGAGGGATTCAGTGAATGAAGGGAAGAAAATATGCACACACTAAGATAACAACAAGGCTCTAAAACGTAGTAGTACACAAATATGCCAAGTATGTGGGAAACTTTATAAGGGATGCTACATGACCATAACTGATAAGGAAGAAAATAAGAGTCAGTAGTTATGAGTCACTCTGGGTAAGGTTGGCAGACACAGAGCTTGTTTACCATCTCCCTGCCCCAGGAAAATCAGACCAACCCAGCATTTTTTGGTCCAGTCCCATTCTACTCCTGTGTGTAAACCCAGTTAATCACTAAGAGGTCAACCACTTCAGTTTGTATTTTTTAATAAAAGGCCTATTTTTCTTCCCTATATCATTCTCCTTAAGGATTAAACCTGACATTTCAAGATGCCAAAAGGTTGTTATCCTAACGCATTGATGCATCCTTTTGCCAAGTTGCCTGGGTTAATGCTCATAATAAAGGCCAATGTTTCAATCATTGCAACAGGAGTAAAGAGAACTGTTTAGCCAGTTATTTTCTGAACTGAAATGTTCAAATATATTGGATTTCTCAATTCCCAATCTAGGGCATCAAATCAAGTGCATTCTCTAGAGAAGAATAAACTGACAGCTCCCTCTCATCCAGCTCAGAACAAAATATCACGTTATTCAATAGAGTAAAAGAAAACTTTAATGATTTTTTCGTGAGGAGTGTGAGAACAGGCTAATAATTTAGCTAAATTTGTCAGTAAATCTGGACAAAGCTTATATTGCAAATGTTTTCTTTCTTAACATTAAATCAAAAGTCTAGAAGAAAGAATATGAATATTATAAGCATGTAATATATATTACATTTTTACAAAGAGATGTTATGAATAAATGTATGCTATATTTCTGACTCCGATCATATTTCTGTATTCCCTCATTCTGTATTAGATGCCCTCCCATAATTAATCTCTGTATATGTCTGTCAAAGAACATTGTAATCAGTATTTACTATTTCTTTTGGTAGAACACAAATGCTTAGAACATAGATATTTCAGTTGTTTCTGTTTGTGAACCCAGCCCATGGCATAGTGTCTTATATAAAGTGATAATTATAAAATAGATAAATATATGAATATGAAAACAATGGATCAAAAGTGTGATGGTTTTGTAATATCATTCCTGATTTCAGTTTCATCCAGTTACTAAGAATTTGGCCTTCTTAATCAAACAGCATGTAAACCTGAAACATTCCTTAACTCTCGGCCCTGGGTGATTTACTGGTCCTCTTTAAGTGTTAGTTTCTTGATATGCAGTGTGAGAGCAATTATAATGCCTACAAGGTTTTCATGAGGATCAAATGAGGGGACTCATCCAGAGTTTTCAAAAGACTGTGTGACTCATAATAAGTGCTCAGTAAATGTTATAAAACGCATATTTTTTTCAAAATTAAAAGTCAATTATCACACTTCTTAGAAATCATGGCTTGGCCCTTATATGAGAATGTAAAAGAATTAGAATATGAATGAGCTTTGGAGTTAAGATACCTGGCTTTGAATTCCACTTTTTAGCAGCCGGAAGGGGTCTTAGGCGTCTCTAAGTATTTCACAGAATAAGGATATTCAAATTAATTCATGTTTGTTGTGAGAATTAAATGGAATAATACTTGCAAAGTACCTAAAGAAGTGTAGTAACACAATATATGATTCACTTTCCATTTAGTAGACTCAATAAGTAGATAAAGTTAGCTTTGCAATGCAGAAATTATATATCAGTCACCCCAAAGAAATTCAGAAAAAGTAGATTTGATGACCATGGATAATAAAAAATTTCCATTGATATGTAGTAACGCTGAGAGTAATGATTAAAACTTGACATTGTTAAAGGTCAGAACTCTTCTCCCTACTTGTTCAGGTGGTTTGATCTTTCTGGAAAAGTCTTTGAATGGGATAGAAAGGTCAGTTTTATGTCAATGTAGTAAGCCTTGGGGCATCAGGACTGTGTCTGGTAACTATCTTTCAAAGTGCCTCTCTTAGTGAGGGATACACTAGAAGAAAATTCATACAAAATTGTTCATCAATGACTGGCCAATTTTTGTTCTATCTCCTAGTGCTGCAGAAATGAGAGAGTGCACAACGTGCCAAATGTACTAACATTCTAAAAGCAGGTAAAAGTTTATAGTGTTATAGCTCAGTCTAGCTTTCTTCCTGTAAAATACATTTAAAATTAATGTATGAATCAATTCCCTAGATAAAAATAGACTTGTTGAGAGCCTGTGTATGGGGTGCGCTATCATTCCTCGAATTGTATACATAGAGGACAGAGAGACAAAGAAATAGAGATCTGGAAATTTTCTTCTTCCTCTTTTTTTTTTTTTTTTTTTTTTTTTTGAGACGGAGTCTTGCTCTGTCGCCCAGGCTGGAGTGCAGTGGTGTGATCTCGGCTCACTGCACGCTCTGCCTGCCAGGTTCACCCCATTCTCCTGCCTCAGCCTCCCGAGTAGCTGGGACTACAGGCACCTGCCACCACGCCCAGCTAACTTTTGTTTTGTTTTTTGTATTTTTAGTAGAAATGGGGTTTCACCGTGTTAGCCAGGATGGTCTCGATCTCCTGATCTCTCAATCCACCTGCCTTGGCCTCCCAAAGTGCTGGGATTACAGGCGTGAGCCACCGTGCCCGACAGAGATCTGGAAATTTTCAATTAATTTGATTATTGTAGATAGTAAATACTTCTTTTTCTGTATAGGTATATCTCTGCTGTGTTAGAATTTGATGCATGCAACAATAGATAAAAGTTTAATTGTATACTTTCTGTTTTATCTTGACTCAGAATTGGGAACACATTTAATGAAAAAAATCATTCAGACTTCAGCACTATACCTCAGCAAGTAATTTGAGTAAAAACTGAATACTGAAGGTGTTTATTTCAACTTGATTATTCTTTATTACATTGCATTACTGTTTTATACTGATTAAAATGCTGACTTTCTATGTTAATAAAAGATTATATTAAATTTTTTGATTTTCCAAAATTGGCAAGATGGAAATATTTACAAGAAGTTCTACTTGCCTGTGTACTAAGTAATGGAATATAAGATTTCAAAATTAAGATGACCAAAAGCAATTTGGGGCCATAAACTGTTCTGGTGTTTGTTTTTCTTGAGACAATTGTAAAGCTTGCCTAGAAACTTTTAAGATACCTCTATATAAATATTGAAATAAGGGTATGGAAGTGGAGTCTTCAGCTGTACATAGTCACTCCAAGCCTAATTCTCCATCCTCACTCAGGTTTATTACCCTGACCCTTATTTGTGCTAACAGTTATCAAAAAAGACATTGTATATTTGTAAGCGTATTCATTAAATTGATGCATTTGAAAGGAACAAATTTTAATTCTAAATATCTGTTTTTTGTAGTAATTTTAATGGGAATACATCTTAGCCACAGCACTAATTTACATCATTTTATACTCTCATGTTAAATCCCTATAATGTAATGTCACTGTATATCCTCCCAAGAGGCATTTAGGGACATATAGCTAGTTCATGATGGAACTACATACTCATATGATCAAACAGAGATGTTAAGGATTCATATGAACCGAGAAATGAGGTTTTCACATATGAAAGCAAATTTACCCATGTGCTTGCAGTTCTGCAGGCTACTTAAAAGTGCTGTGCAAAAGCCTTTTAAATATAACTCTTGATTCCCATTGCATCTTTGCATTTCATCATATCCCAAAATATACTGCTACCTAAAGTCTAGTGTTAGGAACATGCACTATGATGAGATGTTTGAAAAATAACATAATTAAAATATAAATCCAGTATGTATGTCTTTATCAACTTTAAATATCTCCAAATTTACCTGGATGTAATAGCAACATAAAAGTTTTAGATGCCTAAGGACGTCACTAGCAGAAGGTAATGTAGAACCAAAATTATCACTCCACCACTTAGAGTAACAATTGCAGACATCCACAGGGAAGAAACCTGATAGTGAACTTCACAAAAGCTAAGGACTAAGGTTACCTCCCAGATAATTGGTACCTGATGGGAGGCACCTGCACCAATGAAGAATTTTGTATGCTAGTGAGACTTTTATATTTTCCCCTTTTATTCTTACTAACCTGTTTGAAAAATAGCTGATATGGATATTTTTTTCCTGAGGTAGGTCCTAGTGGTTTGAAAGAAACTATCTCTAATTAGGCCAGAGCAATTCATGTAGAAATAATATAAAATGAATTCCTTTAAAATGTTTAATTATGAAGTATTATAAATATATATAAAACTATATAGGACATATCCATGTGCCAGTAATCCATATTTACCTGATGTTTCTTTATATCTAATTTTTAAAAACTGAAACATTCAGATATAAATAAATCACTCCTCCCGATTTTCCCCTCCCTCCCTTTGTTTCTCACCAGAGGTTATCACTATCTTGTAGCTGGTAGGACACATCATCAGGCATGTCTCTATACTTTTTAAAACATAGGCATGAGATCATAAATAATACAAAAAAATATTTTGGATGCTTTCCTATTTTATACAAATGGTATATTATACAAATCCTTTCACAACCTGCTAATTTCACTGAAGATTGTTTTTATGATTTATCTATTTTAATGCATGTAAATTAGTTCATTCATTTTAATTTATGTATAGTATTCCATTATATGAAAAAACACTTGATTTCTTTATTGATGGTAATTATCAATGATTTTTACAAAATGATAAATGCATTCTTTTGTACATGTAAGAAATACTGAAGTTTATATCGAACTGGAATTGCCAGATCAAAGGGTATATGCTTTTGCAACTTTAATGAATATAGCCAATTGCTCTCCAGCGTTATTTTATTTTACCAAATCATACTCCCATTTACAGTGGATAAGAACTCTTGTTAATTCATATACTAAGCAACACCTTTTAATTTTTGTCAAAGTGATTTATATTTCATGGAAACTAGTAATAATAAGAATCTTTTTATTTAAATTTTTATTAAAGTGAAATATCAACACAAAATTGAGTAAAACAGGAAAAACAGTCAGACTTCAAGTTTGCAACTTTCTTTTAAAATCCATTGGATGCAGCACAAACAATTGGCTGAAAATATAAAGAGAGACGGTGCCTACAGAGAGAGTGAAGATGTGAGCACTCACCTGAGCTGGACACAATGGGACACCAAAATCCAGCTTTCAGCAAAAAAAAAAAAAAAAAAAAAAAAAAAAAAAAAGTGACATATGAGAAGGCAGGAAGTAACACAATAAGATGAGCAAGGATTAATTAGAATAAAACTCAGATATGACACAGATGTTGAAAGTATTTGACAGGGAATTTAAAATAATTACAATTCATATATTAAAGATGCTAATGGAAAAATGTGGACAACATGCAAGATCATATGGGTAATCTCAGCAAAAAGGTAGAAACTATAAAAATGAGTCCAATTGAAATACGAGAAATGAAAAATATGAGACAGAAATGAAGAATTCCTTCAAAAGCCTCGTTATAGGTTCACCCTGGAGGAAAGAAGCATCAGTGAATTTGCAGCAAGGACAATAGCGGTGGGGCCAAGATGATCAGCTAGAAGCAGCAGTGATAGGAGGCTCCCATCCAAAAGAACCAAAACAGTGGGCGAATCCTGCACTGGCAACTGAGGTATCCAAGTTTCTGTTATCAGGACTGACTAGGCAGCTGGCATGACCCACAGAGAAGGAAGAGCAGTGGGGTATGACAGCCCACCTGAGAGCCACATGGGGCAGGGGAGCCCCCAACCCCCAGCCAAGGGAGGTGGTGAGTGAGCGTGCTACCCAGCCTGGGAAGCCCTGCTTTGTCCATGGAACTGTGCAACCGACAGACTGGAAGATCCCACTAGTGAGCCCATACTACTGGGGCCTGGGGTCCAAACCACAGAGCCACGCAGATTCTCAACAGCCACTCAGCTGGAATCTGCTTAAGCTGATGTCTAAGCCATCTGAACTCCTTGGGGGAGGGGCGGCAGCCAACACTGGGACTGTTAGCTTCCTAACACACTAAGATCCCAGAGCAGGGGAAGGGCAGCAGCCATCTCTATAGCTCTGGGCTGCACTTTTCCCCTGCTGGAGCCAGGGAGGCTGGACAGCTTGATCCCAAGTGGTATTCCCCACAGCCCAACACACCAGCTGTGGCAGACTGCAGCCAGAGTGCCTCTTCAGGCCTGACCCTTACCCATCCCTCCTCACCAGGTGGGGCCTCCCTGTAGTAACTCCAACAACTCCAGCCAGGGGCTCAGGGACAGAATTTTGATCTCCCTGAACCTGAGCCCCTAGGGGGAGGGGTGGCCATAAGCTCCGTGGACCAGCAGACTTAGTCTTTCTAAGGAGTCTAGTTCTGAGGAATCTGGGCAGCCCAGATGAGTGGGATTCCCCCCAGCATGGCACACCTCCTCCACCAAGGGACAGCCAAAATGTACTGTTAAATGGCTTTTGCTCCCTTTGCCACCCAACTGGGTAAGACCGTCCAACAGGGATTGTCAGACACCCTATACAGGAGCACTCCTACTGGCATCAGATTGGTGCCCCTCAAGGTCAGAGATCCCAGTGGATGGAGCAGGCACCCATTTTTGATGTTCTCCAGCCTCTTCGAGTGACATATCCAGGCACAGGATTGAAGCAGATGAATAGGGCCTGAAGTGAACCCCCAGCAAACCACAGCAGCCCTGCAAAAGAGGGACCTGACCATTGAAAGAAAAACAAACAAACAGGAATCAACAAAAAATGTCCCCACAAAAACCACATCCGAGGGTCAGCAGCCTCAGAGATTGAAACTAGGCAAACTCATGAAGATAAGAAAGAATCAATGAAAAAACGCTGAAACCTAAAAGGCCAGAGTGCCTCTTCTCCTCCAAATGATCACAACACCTCTCCAGCGAGGGCACAGAACTATACAGAGGATGAGATAAATGAATTGACAGAAGTACGCTTCAGAAGGTGGGTAATAAATAACAAATTCTGTTGAGCTAAAGGAGCATGGTCTAACCCAATGCAAAGAAGGTAAGAACCTTGATAAAAGGTTACAGGAGCTGCTAACTAGAATAACCAGCTTAGAGGGGAACAAAAATGACCTAATGGAGCTGAAAAACACAGCATGAGAACCTCATAAAGCATACACAATTACCAATAGCCAAATCAATCAAGCAGAAGAAAAAATATCAGAGTTTGAATACCATCTTACTAAAATAATACAGGCAGACAAGATTTTAGAAAAAAAGAATGAAAAGGAACAAACAAAACCTCTGAGAAATATGGGACTATGTAAAAAGACCAAACCTATGATTGATTGGAGTACCTGAAAGAGAAGGAGAGAAAGGAACCAAGTTGGAAAACATACTTCAGGATACTATCCAGGAAAACTTCCCCAGCCTAGCAAGGCAGGCCAATATTCAAGTTCAGGAAATACAGAGAACACCACTAGGATACTCCACAAGATCAACCCCAAGACACATAATCGTCAGATTGTCCAAGGTTGGAATGAAGGAGAAAGTACTAAGGGCAGCCAGAGAGAAAGGCCAGGTAACCTAGAAAGGGAAGCCCATCAGACTAACAGCAGATCTCTCAGTAGAAACCGTACAAGCCAGAAGAGAGTGGGGGCCAATATTCAACAATCTTAAAGAAAAGAATTTTCAACTCAGAATTTTATATCCCGTCAAACTAAGCTTTGTAAGCAAAGGAGAAATAAAATCCTTTTCAGACAAGCAAATATAGGGGATTTTGTCACCACCAGGCCTGCCTTGCAAGAGCTCCTGAAGGAAGCACTAAATATGGAAAGGAAAAACCAGTACCACCCACTGCAAAAACACACCAAAATAAAAAGACCAATGACACTATGACACTACGAAGAAACTGCATCAACTAGTGGACAAAATAACCAGCTAGCATCATGATGACAGGATCAAATTCACACCTATCAATATTAACCTTAAATGTAAATTGTCTAAATGCCCCTATTAAAGACACAGATGGGAAAATTGAATAAAGAGTCAAGACCCATCCGTGTACTATTTTCGGGAGACACATCTCATGTGCAAGGACACATAGGCTGAAAATTATACGGATGGAGGAATATTTACCAAGCAAATGGAGAGCAAAAAAAAAAAAAAAAAAAAAGGCAGGGGTTGCAATCCTAGTCTCTGACTAAACAGACTTTAAACCAACAAAGATCAAAAAAGACGAAGGATATTATATAATGGTAAAGGAATCAATTCAACAGGAAGAGCTAACTATACTAAATATATATGCACCCAGTACAGGAGCACCCAGGTTCGTTCATAAAACAAGTTCTTAGAGACCTATACTTAGACTCCCACACAATAATAGTGGGAGACTTTAACATCCCACTGTCAATATTAGACGGATCAATTAGACAAAATTAACAAGGATATTCAGGACTTGAAATCAGCTCTGGATCAAGTCAACCTAAGAGACATCTACAGAACTCTCCACCCTAAATCAACAGAATATACATTCTTTTCAGTGCCACATGGCACTTATTTTAAAATAGACCACATAATTGGAAGTAAAACACTCCTCAGCAAATGCAAAAGAACTGAAATCATAACAAACATTCTCTCAGAACATAGTGCAATCAAATTAGAACTCAGGATTCAGAAACTCACTTAAAACCACAAAACTACATGGAAATTGAACAACATGCTCCTGAATGACTCCTGGGTAATAATGAAATTAAGGCGGAAATCAAGAAGTTCTTTGAAACCAAGGAGAAGAAAGGCACAATGTACCAGAATCTCCGAGACACTGCTAAAGCAGTGTTAACAGGGAAGTTTATACCACTGAAATGCCCACATCAGAAAGCTAGAAATATCGCAAATTGACACCCTAACATTGCAATGAAAAGAACTAGAAAAGCAAGAGTAAACAAATCCAAGAGCTAGCAGAAGACAAGAAATAACTAAGATCAGAGAAGAACTGAAGGAGATAGAGACACAAAAAATCCTTC
This sequence comes from Homo sapiens, assembly GCF_000001405.40. Taxonomy (NCBI): domain Eukaryota; kingdom Metazoa; phylum Chordata; class Mammalia; order Primates; family Hominidae; genus Homo; species Homo sapiens. The sequence goes on from NC_000002.12 coordinate 153,363,425, forward strand.
AAAGAATCACTGAATCCAGGAGCTGGTTTTTTGAAAAAATTAACAAAATAAATAGACCACTAGCTTGACTAGTAAAGAAGAAAAGAGAGAAGAATCAAATAGACATAATAAAAAATGATAAAGGGGATATCACAACTGACCCAACAGAAATAGACACTACCATCAGAGAATATTATAAACACCTCTACACAAATAAACTAGAAAATCTAGAAGAAATGGATAAATTCCTGGACATATACACCATCCCAAGACTAAACCAGGAAGAAGCCAAATCCCTGAATAGACCAATGACAAGTTCTGAAATTGAGGCTGTAATTAATAGCCTACCAACCAAAAAATAAAGCCCAGGACCAGATGGATTCATAGCTGAATTCTACCAGAGCTACAAAGAGGCACTGGAACCATTCCTTCCAAAACTATTCCAAACAACTGAAAAGGAGGGACTCCTCCCTAACTCATTTGATGAGGCTAACATCATTCTGATACCAAAACCTGGCAGAGACACAACAAAAAAAGAAAACTTCAGGCCAATATTTCTGATGAACATCAACACGAAAATCCTCAATAAAATACTAGCAATCCAAATCCAGCAGCACATCAAAAAATTTACTCATGATAATTAAGTAGGCTTCATCCCTGGGATGCAAGGCTGGTTCAACCTATGCAAATAAATAAATGTAATCCATCCCATAAACTGAACCAATGACAAAAACCACATGATTATCTCAATAGATGCAGAAAAGGCCTTTGATAAAATTCAACATCCCTTTATGTTAAAAACTCTCAATAAACTAGGTTTGATGGAACATATCTCAAAATAATAGGAGCTGTTTATGACAAATCCACAGCCAATATCATACTGAATTGGCAAAACCTGGAAGCATTCCCTCTGAAAACTGGCACAAGACAAGAATGCCCTCTCTCACCACTCCTGTTCAACATACTATTGGAAGTTCTGGCCAAGGCAATCAGGCAAGAGAAAAAAAAAAGAATTCAGATAGAAAAAAAGGAAGCCAAATTGTCTTTGTTTGCAGATGACATGATTCTATATTTAGAAAATTCCATCATCTCAGCCCAAAGACTTCATAAGCTGATAAGCAACTTCAGCAAAGTCTCAGGATACAAAATCAATGTGCAAAAATCACAGGCATTCTTCTACGCCAACAATAGACAAGCAGAGAGCCAAATCATGAATGGACTCTCATTCACAATTGTTGCAAAGAGAATGAAATATCTAGGAATACAGCTAAAAAGAGACATGAAGGACCTCTTCAAAGAGAACTACAAACCACTGCTCAAGAAAATAAGAGAGGACACAAACAAATGGAAAAACATTCCATGCTCACAGATAGGAAGAATCAATATCCTGAAAATGGCCATACTGCCCAAAGTAATTTATGGATTCAATGCTAATCCCATCAAACTACCATTGACATTCTTGAAATGTCACATAATTAGAAAAAACTACTTTAAATTTCCTATGGAACCAAAAAGAGCCCATGGAGCCAAGACAAGCCTAAGGAAAAAGAACAAAACTGGAGGCATCATGCTATCTGACTTCAAACTACACTGGAAGCCTACAGTAACCAAAACAGCATGGTACTGGTCCCAAAACAGACATATAGATCAATGGAACAGAACAGAAACCTCAGAAATAACACCACACATCTACAACCATCTGATCTTTGACAAACCTGACGAAAACAAGCAATAGGTAAAGGATTTCTTATTTAATGAATGGTGCTGGGAAAACTGGCTAGCCGTATGCAGAAAACTGAAACTGGACCCCTTCCTCACACCTTGTACAAAAATTAACTTAAGGTATATTAAAGACTTAAATGTAAAACCCAAAACCATAAATCCCTAGAAGAAAACTTAGGCAATATCACTCGGGACATAGGCATGGGCAAAGACTTCATGAGTAAAACACCAAAAACAATTGCAACAAAAGCCAAAATTGACAAATGGGATCTAATCAAACTAAAGCACTTCTGCACAGCAATAGAAACTATCATCAGAGTGAACAGGCAACCTACAGAGTCGGAGAAAATTTTTTTGCAATCTACCCATCTGACAAAGGTCTAACATCCAGAGTCTACAAGGGACTTAAGCAAATTTACAAGAAAAAAACAAATGGCCCCATCAAAAAGTGGGCAAAGGATATGAACAGACCCTTCTCAAAAGAAGACATTCATGTGGCCAAAACACATATGAAAAACAGCTCAACATCACTAGTCATTAGAGAAATGCAAATCAAAACCACAATGAGATACTATCTCATGCCAGTCAGAATGGCAATTATTAAAAAGTCAAGAAATAACAGATCCTAGCAAGGCTGTGGAGAAATAGGAACACTTACACTGTTGGTGGGAATGTAAATTAGTTCAACCATTGTGGAAGACAGTGTGGAGATTCCTTAAGGATCTAGACCAGAAACACCATTTGACCCAGCAATCCCACTACTGGGTATATACCTAAAGGATTATAAATCATTCTACTATAAAGACACATGCACTCATACGTTGATTGCAGCACTATTTACAATAGCAATGACTTGGAACTAACCCAAATGTCCATCAGTGATAGGCTGGAAAAAGAAAATGTTATACATGTACACCATGGAATACTATGCAGCCATAAAAAGGAATGAGGTCATGTCCTTTGCAGGTACATAGATGAAGCTGGAAGCCATCATCCTCAGCAAGCTAACAAAGGAACAGGAAAACCAAACACTGCATGTTCTCACTTGTAAGTAGGAGTTGTACAATGAGAACACATGGACACAGGGAGGGGAACAACACACTGAGGCCTGTTGTAAGATGGAGGGTGAGGGGAAGGAGAGCATCAGGACTAATAGCTAATGCATGCATGATTTAAAACCTAGATGATGGGCTGATAGGTGCAGCAAACCACCATGGCACACATTTACCATGTAACAAACCTGAATGTTTTGCACATCTATCCCGGAACTTAAAGTAAAATAAAAATAAAAATTAAAACATTTTTAAAAAAGAAAGAAGGACAACAGAAATTATCTAAACTGAAACACAAAGAGGAGTGGTGGGTGGGGAGAGAGAAAGAAAGAAACAGAATATTTCAAAGCTGTGGGATCATATAAAATACTCTAATACATTTGTAATGGGTATCCCAGAAAGAGACAAGAAAGAAAATGGAAGAAATATTTGACTATTTGAAGAAGTGATGGGCAAAAATATTTCCGAAATTAATGACAAGTACCAAACTACAGATCCAGAAACTCAGAGAACATGAAACAGGGTCAATACCAGCACACAGGGACACACACACACACACACACACACACACACACACACACACACACACACACACACTGCTATAAATATAACCAAACTGCTGAAAACGAAAGAAAGAAAATCTTGAAGGCAGTCATAGACAAAATTAGCATTGCTTACAGAGGAACGAAGATAAGAATTATGGTAAACTTCTCTTAAGAAATCATGTAAGTCAGGAAGCAGGAACCATTATTAAAGTGCTTTAAAACAAACCCCTACCAAACCAGAATTTTATACCTACTGAACATAAAATAAAGACTTTCTCAAGCAAACAAACAAACAAAAAAAAAACAAGGAAATTCATTATCATCAGACCTAATCTAAAAGAAGTATTAAATGTTTAGACAGAAGGAATGTATCACAGAGAGACTGAATCTACATAAAGAAATGATTAATGCAGTATATGAAATAAGTGAAAATAAAATAAAATTAGTTTATCTTAAATTGTTCCAAAGGATAACTATCTAAAGTAAAATAGTGATGCATTGCATGTTTATATCATATATAAAAGTAAAGGGTCTGATATCAGTATCACAAAGATGGGAGGGAAGGAATTAGAAATATACCAATATGAGATCATTACATCAGATGTGAAGCAGTATGACATGATTTGAAGGTAGACTGTGATCAACTAAAAATGTTTTAAGCAGCATAATGATCCGTCAAGGTGTCCATGTCCTAATCCCTGGAATTTTTGACTGTATTACCTTATACAAGAATGGGAACTTTGCAGATGTGATTAAATTAAGGATCTTGAAATTGTGAGATTACCCTGGATACTTGTATGAAGCCAATATAATCAAAGGAGTTGTTACAATAAAAACATGCAGGTGGCCTTTAGAAGCTGAAAAAGGCCAGGAAAGATTTTCTCCTCAGAGCCTCCAGAAGGACAAGCCTTGCCGACACCATGACTTTACCCTGCTGAAACTGATTTTGGATGTCTGACATATAAAACTGTAACATAACAAATTAGTATTGTTCTAAGCTATTAAGTTTGTGGTAATTTTTTTACAGCAGCAATAATAATAGGGTGTATGTTGTAAATCTTAGAGGGACCAGTAAAAATATTTTTGAATACCTAAATAAAAAATCAACGTAAGAGAGAAAAAGGAATCATTAAAAATTCTCAATTAATATAAAAGAAGGCAGAAGAATAAAAAAGAAACAAAGAACAGATGGAATAAATATAAAACAAAAAGATGGTAGATTTTTATTGCAACCATATAAATAGTAACATAAATAAAAATGATCTAAACACACCAGTTAAAGCGTAAAGATTGTCAGAGAGAAAAGCAAGACCAAATCATAATATGTCTATAAAAGACCCACCATAAATATAAAGACATAACAGATATATACATAGGTTAAGAGTAAAATAATGGAGATCTATGTGCCATGCAGACACCATCTGTTATGAACTGAATGTGTCCTAGTAAAACTAATTTGTTGAAACTCGAATCCTCAAAGTGGTGGTATTAGGAGGTGGGGCCTTTGGGAGGTAATTAGGTTTAGATGAGGTCATGAGTGAAATCTTCATGATGGGATTAGTCTTCTTGTAAGAAGAGGAGGAGGCACCTGAGCTTCCTGTTTCTGACATGTGAGCAAGAAGGTAGCCATTTGCAAGTCAGGAAGAGAGCCCTCACCAGAACCCAACCATGCTATCACTCTGAATTTGGACTTTCCAGGTATCAGAACTGTGAGAAATAACTGTCTGTGTTTAAGCCACTCAGTCTATGATATTTTGTTAGAGCACCCAAGCTAAGACACTATGAAATAGAAAACTGAGGTATATTAACATTGGACAAAGGATACCTCAGAACAAGGGTATTATTAGGGATAAAGAAGGTCATTACATGACGATAAAGAATACAATTCTCTAAGAGGACAAAACAGTTTTAATGTGTATATTCCTAACACCAGAGCTTCTAAATACATAGAACACAAATTGAAAAAGCTGAGAGGTGAAATAAACAAATCCACAATTATAGTTGGATACTTCACCATTCTTCTGTCAGTAATTGAACAAATAGAAAGTCAGTAAGGATAGAGAGGATGAGAGGATCTGAACAACACTATAAACCAAATATACCTAATGAATATTTAGAGAACTTTCCACCCAGAAAAGCAGCACATACTTTACTTTAAATTGTATATTGAATATACACTGAGATAAGCCATGTATTAAGCAAAAAAAAAAACTTTAATAAATTTGAAAGAATAGAAATCATACAAAGTATATTATTGGGCCATAACAGAATTAAAGTAGAATTAATAGCAGAAAGACATCTGGAAAATCCATAAATATTTGGAAATTAAGTATCATACTTCTAAAAAACCCATGTATCTAAGAGGAGCATCTAGGAAATGAAAATGTATTTTGAAACAAATGAATGTAAAAATACAACCTATCAAAATGTGTTTGTACCTAATAGCAGTTCTTAGAAAAAACAAGTATGGAATTAAGAGCTTTTTTTAGGAAAAATTTTCTAAAATCATATATCAGCTTCCATCAGAACAAACTAATAAAAAGAGCTGACTAAACTCAAAACAGGAGGAAATAATAAATATAAAATCGTATGTCAATGAAACTGAAAACAGAAAAATAAGAGGAAAAAAATCGATGAAACCAAAAGTTTGTTTCTTTGAAAATATTACTAATATTGATTAACCTCTACTTAGACTGTCTAAAAAAATAAGAGAGAACACATGAATTACCAATATCAGAAACAAAGGAGAAAATATCATTGCAGACATATTAATCTTAGAAATACCATATGTACGGAAGGCAAGCCCTAAAATGATCCCAAAGGAAAAATGCCTGGTGATATCCATGCCTGTACGTAATCTCCTCCCTCTGACTGTTAGCTGGAATTCTTGCCTTGCCTCTAATGAGTAAAATATTCCAGAAATCATGAGACTCCACTTCTGAAATTAGGTTCTGAAAGGACCGTGACTTCCACCTTGGGCATTCTTTCTTCCTTTTCCCTAGACTGCTTGCCCTAGGGAAATTCAGATATCATATTGTGAGATAGCTTTGTGAAAGCCCACATGGTAAGGGACTAAGGCCTGACAATAACCACTTGAGTCAGCTTGGAAGTGGATCACCTTCCTCAGTTGAGTACAGGTGAAGCCACTGTCCTGGCCAACAGCTCAATGGCTGCTTCATGAGAGATTATGAACCAGAGGTGTCCATGTAAGCCAGCCTCCTTATTTGACCCATGGGTTCCTGACTGTAACAAGTATTTGAGGTTTTAAGCCCCTGTCTCTAATTTTAGGTATAATTTGATATGCAGCAATAGATATCTAAGTTAATAAGGAGATACTACAAAGAATTCTATGCCCATAAATTTGATAACATAAATGTTAGCGAACCAACTTTTTGAAGACACTACCAAAATTCACTCAAGAAGGAACAGATAACCTGAGTAATTGTATATCTATTTATAAAATTGAATTGTTTAAAATGTTTCAAAAAAAGGCTTAGATGGCTTCATTCATGAATATTACCAAATATTTAAATAATACCAATGAAATAATATTTCTTCTAAGAAATAAAGAGGAAAGAATATTTCCCAACTCATCTTATGAGACCAGCACTGTCCTAATATTAAAACCATAAAAAGCTATTACAAGAAAATTACAAACCGGTGTCCCTCATGAACCCAGATACAAAAATCTTCCAAAAAATTTAGCAAATGAAATCCAGCAATCTATACAAAAAATAACATATCACGAGTAATTTGAGTTTGTCCCTGGAAGTCAAGGCTCATTTATTCCAAAATCTATCAATATCATGAATGATATAGTAGACTTAGTAGAAAATAAAATAAAAGTTCAATATATGTAGGAAAAAGCATTCGATGCCTTGTCACAAAGATGTCACTAAAGGCAAAGAAGCCCCTGCTCTTCCCAAAGCCAAAGCCAAACCAAAGGTTTTGAGAGCCAAGAAGGCAGTACTGAAAGGTGTCTATAGACACAGATCCATATGTCACCCATCTTCCAGTCACCCAAAATACTTTGGATTTGGAGGCAGCCCAAATATTTTTGGAAGTGTGTCCCCAGGAGAAAGAAGCTTGACTACTATGCCATCATCAATTTTCCTTGACCATAGAGTTGGCCATGAAGAAGAAGGACAACAACAACACACTTGTGTTTATTGTGGATGTCAAGGCCAACAAGTACCAGACCAAACAGGCTGTGGAAAAGTTCTATGACATTGACATGACCAGTGCCAACACCTTGATCAGGCCTGATGGAGAGAAGAAGACATTTGTTTGACTGGCTCCTGACTATGATGCTTTGGATATAGCCAACACAATTGGGATTATTAAAACTGAGTCCAGCTGGTTGATTCTAAATATACGGTTTTCACCAAGACAAAAAAAGCATTTAACAAAATTTAACATCCATTTATGATATCAACTTCTAGAAAACTAGGAATGGAAAGGGACTTATCCTAATACGGGTCATCTCCAAAAGCCTACATAAAACTTCATATGTAGTAGTAAAACACTAAACGTTTTCCCTCTAAGTTCTAGAACAAGGCATCAGTGTCATTTTCCACTACTCATATTTAATATTGTCCTATAAATCCAATATAATAAGTTAGGAAAGGTAATAAAAAGGATGTAGATCAGAAAAAAATTCAAACTATTTGCATATGACATGGTTGTCTGCATAGAAAGTCTCAAAAAAATGTACAAAAAAGTTTATAGCACTAAGAAAAGAGTTTATCCAGGTTGTAAGGTACAATGTCAAAACTAAAAAATCCTTTATATAATAAATTTGAAATATGCAATTATAAAAACAGTGCCATTTATGATACCATAATAAACATGTTGACATAAATCTAAAGAAAAACTATGTTGTATCTGTATGAAAACTGCAGAAGACTGATAAGAGAAATAATAATCATAACTTAAATTGAGAGATACACCATGTTCCTGGATTGGAAGGCTCAATAGAGTTAAAATGTCAGTTATCCTTAATTTGATTGAAAAAATTAATTCTAAGAAATCCCAATCAAAATTCTAGCTGGGTTTTTGTAGATATTAAAAAGCTGATTCTAAAATTTATCTTTCCTCAAATACCTGGTGATCTTTGGATACTTTTTAGAACTCAAGACTTAGGCTCTAAAAAGCCCACTGAAAGCTTTGTGTGTTTTGATGAGGCTTGTGCATTAGTGGGCTTCACTTGGAATGATAGAGCAGTGCCTCTGCGTTTTGTTGGAAGGCTCACACACCAGCATTTACTGGGCTTTTCTCTGGGGCTGCTTACTTTCTCTTGTGAGGGACCAGTATGTTTCTGATTTAGTGAGTGTTGAAACATGCCCAGTTGTCAATATTCTCTGTTTCTGACTTAGTGTGTGTTGAAATATGTCCAGCTGTCAACATTCTATTCAGGTGAGCTGGGGAATAGAATTGGAGTGGGGAATGGGGGCGGCATGTGGTTTCGTATTTAATGGGTAAAATTTTACTTAACCTCTTATGTTTATTGCAATTTATCATCCCCACTTTCTATTGACTGGTTTCTCTGAGTCTGGAAGTTCTGTGATTCCATTTTTCTAGGAAAAAAGCTTCTAGTCTTCCCACAGAAAGAAATAAACATATAGCTGTCAAGAAAGCAGAAGAGGCCAGGTGTGGTGGCTCACGCCTATAATCCCAGCACTTTGGGAGGCCAAGGCAGGTGGATCACGATGTCAAGAGATCGAGACCATCCTGGCTAACATGGTGAAACCCCGTCTCTACTAAAAATACAAAAATTAGCTGGGCATGGTGGTACACACCTGTAGTCCCAGCTACTCGGAAGGCTGAGGCAGGAGAATCACTTGAACCAGGGGGGCAGAGGTTGCAGTGAGCCGAGATCGTGCCACTGCACTCCAGCCTGGTGACAGAGCGAGACTCTGTCTCAAAAAAAAAAAAAGAAAGAAGGAAAGAAAGCAGAAGAAACCTGGATTTTAACACTCTCTCTCATGCTCACTTTAAATTGACCACCACACTTTCTATTTCATCCTTCATCTCCTTTGGAAGTAAATGTTGCCTCTATCCTGAGCATCATATGGGTTTTGCTTAACAAGTTAGTGTGCCTTGTATTGGCACCATCATGCTGGTATTGATGCTTGAACTATCTTTTCTTTTTTATGTCAATAACTGTGCCTTTGTTCTCTTTCTATCTTAAAATATTTATGGACATCGTTCATTGACTATTGCCTTGTTTTCTATTGACATCCATTTCCTGCCATTTTTGTGGAGTTGCATAAGACAGTAGAGATAAATGATTATTTTAACTCAAGCCATTTAATGTCTGAGGTTGATATGACTTTCACATGATTCTTGGTCATTCTCTTTTTCTTTTGTGAAATCTCAGTTTATAGCCTTTGCCCATTATTCTGTTGCTTTGTGTGTGTGTGTGTGTGTGTGTGTGTGCACGTGTGTTCATGCACACATACACTTTACTGTTTGTAGGCAATCATTACTTCCTGGGAGATAAAAGTAATTGGAACAGAAAAGAAAGTTGGGCCAGTAAGTCACACAAGCATGACTTCACTTTTGACTAAGAAAAACAAAGAGTATTTACTAAAATATTTTTAATTATTAAAAAATATGTATAAATTTCCCACCTTATATTATACACAATGCTAAGATGTGAAAACTGGAAAGCTGAGCTTTTATTTTTTATCACAGTATCAAATATAATTCCTGTGCCTCGCCATCTACCCAACCTGGCCTCAGTTGTTTGTGTTGCTTCTGACCTGAGGATCCCTATATACAATTTTGATTGAGGTTGTATTGAATCTATAAACCAGTTTTTAGGAAATGCATACATTTGCAAAGCTATATTTTTCAAACTAAAAACATTTACTACTTCACCCACTTTTCAGTGTACAGTTTAGTGGCACTAAGTATATTCCCAATGTTGGGTGATCATTAACCACCATTCATCTTCAGAATATTCTTCATCTTCTCAAAATGAAACTGCATAACCATTAAAGAATAACTCTCCATTTCCCTTTTCCCCTTAAAGATGGCAACCATGATTCTACTTTCTTTTTCTCTACTTTCTACTTTCTGTCTTTATGAATTTGATTAATCTAGGTACCTCAGATAAATGAAATCATATAGCATTTGTCTATTTGTCCTTCTGTGATTAGCTTATTTTTCTTAACGTTATGTCAAGTTTCATGGACATTGCTGCATGTGCCAAAATTTCTATCTTTTTTACGGTTGAATAATATTTTATTGTATGTATATACCACATTTTGTTTATTCAAACATCCATCGATGTATACTTGGCTTGCTTCTTCCTTTTGGCAGTTGTGAATAACACTGTTTAAAACATTGGTGTGCAAATATTTGTTCAAGACTGTGCTGTCAACTCTTTTGGAAGTAGAATTCCTGACTCATCTGTATTTTTAATTTTTTGAAGAATTGCCATACCATTTTGGCTTGCAGCTGTATCATTTTAAATTGCCACCAGTAGTACACAAGAATTCCTATTTCTTCACATTCTTGCCAACACTTGTTACCTGTTAGCCATCCAAACAAGTATGAAGTTATATCTCATTGTGGTTTGGTTTTAATTTTCACTTTCCTAATGATTAGTAATGTTGAGCATCTTTTCATGTACTTATTAGCCATTGATATATATTCTTTGGAGAAATACCTATTCAAGTCTTTTGTTTATTTTTTAAATCAAGTTTTGTTGTTGAATTTTAGGGATTCTTTATATATTTTGTATATTGAACTTGTTATCAGATTTGTGCCTTGAAAATACTCAATCTGATGTTTTACACTGACTTATCTTGTAGTTCACAATTCTCTTTTCTGTGTTCAATCTAATAGACCTATCTATTAAATATTTAATTTTGATTACTGTATTTTTCAGCTTTTATGATATAAGAGAATGAACCCTAGACTGACTGATAGATACTGGTAAATTCTACCAATCAGAAATACTGGCAGGAGATTAAAGGAGGGAAGGAGACTGAGGGCAGGCTATTTATTACGCTAATCTCCTCCCTCCATCCCTGGAGAGCATTCATATTTTTGCAGGATCAGGTTCTGCCAGGCACTCTCTAGCACACATTTCTCTCTCTGTGTCCAGTAATTGCTTTTTCCCTCACCTCTTCAGCATTAATGGGGATAATGTGCTGCTGCTATTACCAATTCTCAGATATTGGACTAATGCTAGTGTTTTCCTTATATACTACACTTAGCTTTGTAAATAATCCTTTCATTCGACACTCCTCAAATCACGCATACCATATTTTTGTACCTGGGACAGTGACTATAGTGGATTTGATATGTAGAAAATTTTAGTTTATCATTATTTACTAGCTTCTGGAGTTTGGCCTACTTTAAAAGGCTATTGCGATGCACATATTTTATAAATAAAATATCCCATGTTTACTTTTACTACTTTTATGGCTTCAAACTTTACATTTAAATCTATGATCCATCTGGATTTTCTTGTGATTTTAGAAGTGAAGTATAACTTATATTTTTCCTACACTTTTTTATGGCCATTTTTGTTTATTTATGTTCTGTTTGACTTTTGGAATCTGCTTATCAAATTTAAAAAAATACTTTTTTTGACAAATATATAATGTATAAATTCACTTACGGATAAATGGCATCTTTAGGAGACTACTTGGTCATGAAGGCCATACTGTTTTTCATTCAGTTATTTGTTTGTATTTCTCACTAGCTTTTCTGATTTTTCTTTGCAGAGATCTTTTACAGTTCCTGTTACCTCTGGTATTTTATCAAAGTTGTTATTGTAAATGTTGTTTTCTTTCATTATAACTTGTAAGAGGTTTTTATTTGCATATACAAAGCCTGGTGATTCTTGATATTGTTATTTTAATTTTGAACCCAGCCACTTTACTGAATTATCTTTTTGTTTCTAGCAGTTTAAAATTTTCTGATTTTCCCTTTAGCTAGCCTCTGATAACAGAACATAGAAGAGGCATTCAGACTATGTGGTCAGTAAAAGCTTCAAGTAGGAGTTGATCCCTCAGCTGAGTCCCCAGGTTCAAGTCTGTCTTAGTCCATTTTGTCCATAGGTATTTCTAAAAGGAATACCTAAGGCTGAGTAATTTATAAAGAGGTTTATTTGACTCATGGTTCTGCAAGCTGTACAAGAAGCGTGGTGCCAGTGTCTGCTTCTGGTGAGGGCTTCAGGTTGCTTCCACGCATGGAGGAGATGAAGGAGAGCTGATATTGGGGCTGGCCTGGGAGAGGTTCCAGGCTCTTTTTACAACCAGCTGTCATGGGAACTAACAGAATTCACTCATCCCTGCCCACTCACAGGGAGAGCATTAATCTCTTCATGAAGGATCTGTCCCTATGACCCAAACACCCCCAACTAGGTCCCACCTCCAACCATTGGAGATTAAATTTCAACAAGAGCTTTGGAAGCTCAAATATTCAAACTATAACAAATTTGGATCTTGATAATTTTAGGTAAAACTGAGAGGAATGTGAGAAGAATGTTCTAGCTTAAGGAAGGAAGATATGATAATGGTTAGAAGGAACAAAGCATGTGGTTGACTTGAGAACTTAAACATCGTTCAGTATCACATGGCAATAGGCTATGAAATGGAGAGCTGTGAGACATGAAGGATAAGAAAGGCTGAGTTCACTTAGGGCCTTTCAAAGAAAGAGATCAGGATTTATTCTAAAAACAATGGAAGCAACTGCAGGATATTAGAAGAGCAACTTGCTGACCCAGAGAATGTATCCTTGTGGTTAAGGTGTCTGGTATAAGATTGTTGTAATAATATGGGAGATGAACTTTGTTATATGAATAAAGAGGAATGCATGGGTTGAACACATACAAACAGGGTAAAATCTGCAAAATTTGGTGACTGACTGCCAGAAAAAAGAAAGGAAAGCAAGAGGTTAAAAATTCTTGCTGAGCAGTGGGTGAGGGAAGGGATTTGTGAGAGGAAGGAGATGAGTTCAATTACAGTGAGTTTGCATTTGAGAAGCCTATGGAATACATGCATAGTAATTTACTTAATATATCTATGTATTAGGTCAATGCAATTCATTTATTTATTCAACAAATATTGATTAAATATTCTCTCCATGTCAGATACATTCTTCATGGACATACATTAGGATCTGCTTCCTGCCCTGCTGTAGCAATTGACAAAGGAGGGTGAATGTATATAAGTACTTGATACATTTTGTATCTACAAAAAGCAAGGTGACTATTATAGGATGAATTGTATTCCCTTCAAATTCATATATTAAATTTCCAGTCCATAGTACCTCAGTGTATTTGGAGATAAAGTCTTTAAAGAGTGATTAAGCTAAATAAAGCCATCAGGATGGGGCCCTAATTCAATGTAACTGATGTCCTTATAAGAAAAGGAAGAGATACCGGGGATGTACATGCACAGAGGATGCACAGAAGAAAGAGTATGGGGAGAGGCAGCAAGAGGATGGTTATCTGTAAGACAAGGATAAAGGCCTTAGAGAAATCAACCTTTCTGGCACTTTGATCTTGGACTTCCCCTTTAGAACTGTGAGAAATAAACTTCTGTTATTGAAGCCAGTCTGTGGTATTTTATTATGGCAGGCTGCTGTGATTTGGGTATGGTCTGTTTGTCCCCACCAAATCTCATCTTGAAATTTAATTCCCAGTGTGGTGGTGCTAGGGGGTGGGGCCTAGCAAGAGGTGTTTTGGTCATGAGGGTGGATCTCTTATGAATAGATTGAGGCCCTTGCTAGGGGTTGAGTCTCACTCTGTTAGTTTCTCACTCTGTTAGTTTCTGAACAAGCGAGTTGTTAAAGCCTGGCAGCCCTCCTCTGTGCTCTCTTGCCATGTGATCCCTGCACACCTCGGCTTGCCTTTGATGTCTGCCACTAGTGGAAGCAGCCTGAGACCCTCACCAGAAGATAACCAGATGCCAGCATCATGCTTCTTGTACAGCTTGCAGAACCATGAGCCAAATAAAGCTATTTTCTTTATAAATTACTCAGCCTCAGGTATTCCTTTATAGCAACAGAAAATGGACTAAGACACAGCCCTAGAAAACGAATACAGTGCCCAATAATTAAAATGTGCATTCACATCCATACAGAGCAAACAGATTAACAATAAAGAGAGTTCGAGAACCAGCCAAGAAAGATGCATGCAAATTACTTTTCTTAAATATTTTTCAGAAAGTAATTAAATATGTAAGTTCAATACTAGATTGGACTGTATTCTTTCAGCAAAGGGTATAATTTATTAATATAACTTTTGCAAGTTTTAATCACTTTATTATCTTTGCCATTTTCTTTGCTGACAAATGAAATTTGTATTATTCTTTAGAGTCTCAAAATAATTCAAATTCAGGGATAAAGTATGGAAAATAAAATATTTCTTATTCTGTGACATGGAGTAATTAAGTGATATGCTTAAGCATGTTGACCTTTCATTTATACTCCATTATTTTGCCACTTTATTCATAATGTATTATACAGAGCCAATGTTCCCAGAAGGTAAATAACAAGGGTTTAGAACATTATAGATAGATAGATAGATAGATAGATAGATAGATAGATAGATAGATAGATAGATAATTTTTTTTTTTTTAGTAAATGCTAGTTCTTCAGCCTTTAACAAATTATTACTAGGAAATAAATTCATACTTAAATGTATTTGGAACATACAGTTTGTGATATCAATATGAAAACATAGCTCTGAAGAGAAAATAATTTTTTTGCAGCTATGATTTGATTGGATCTTTTGAGCTGAAAATACTGGATCAATCATGGCCAAGAAGTCAAGGGGCTGACCTCCGTAGGTCACTTAAATTCAACATATTTTTTCCCAGTCACTGCCTTTCTTCTAGAGTGTATGCAAATTGGATAACAGTGTCCACTTTAAAGTGTTTCCAGAGGCCAAGAGTTAAGAAATGTATTTTCCTACTGGTGAATTTACTTTTTAAGAATCATCAGATTATGTTTTAGTAGCAACTGATTTCCCCTTTAAACGCTTGAAAAATATAATAAGGGCTCAGTTGCAGATATGGGACAGTTTTTTTCTCATCCCAGGCCTCTGGTTTGTGTAATGTGTTAGTTTGGAAGCCAACTTGTACCCGCTTAAATAATAAAAAGAATTTGCTAGTGCACATGCTGAAATGTCCAGAGTGTTGGCAGACTATAGGCACTAATTAATTGGGTTTCTATTTCATCTTTCAGAGATTTTTTTGGTGTTTCCTCTTAAGCTTGTTGACCATATTCCCTCAAGGGCTCAAAAGTGCTACAGCAGGTCCTCATCTCACTGAGAGAATTTTGACCAAATAGGACCCAACCTTAGATCCTGGAGTGGGGAATGTTCCTAGTAGTAGCCCAAGGGGACGAGATACTGTAAAGGCTCTTCTATCTTTAGATGTGATTATGCACTAAGATCTTTTTAAATTTTAAATAAAATGAGCCAAGCTCATTTTGAAAAACTTGGCTAGTTCATGAAGTTGATTCTAATATTAGCCAAATAATGTTGCTTTTAAAATAACAAAAACCTAGCAATGTATATTCCATCTGGCTCATAATAACCAAGCAAGTCTATGACAGAGGTTTTTTAATTCTTAACCCTAGTACTACTGTGCTTATTTTAAAGAGGGTTGGAGACCATCTAAGTGACCCTACATTTTCTAAGAACCTGCCAGTTGATTTAATGTAGAGATTGGGCAATTAGAAATCAATACTTACAAGGCTCCTTTAGGGAAATTAATTTTATTAGGTTCTGATCTAACTGATTAGGCAGCAATCAGACTTCTTTGTCTTCAAAATAATGCAGTTAATGTGACAACAACGTTTCATTTACTCTGATTAGGATTCTCAATTAGGACATCAAGGATATGTAAGATAAATGATGACAGGTCTACGAAGAAGTTGGGACTGATTTAGAGCCAACTTTGTATTATTTAACTGTGTTTAATACCACAAAAGAACTGAATGAGATATTGTTTATAGTCATACTTTAATATTTATTGCATGGATATAATATTATTTCTGGGGCACAGAATCTTTTACATACACTCATTCAGTAATCATTTCCTGAATATCCATTATGCATATGAAACTTTTAAATGTAAAAAAGTAAGAAAGATACAGTTTTTATATGCAAATATCTTATGATCCAATGGGATAGATATATCCATAAAGAATATAAATCTAAGTACTGAAAAGGAAATATAAATAATATTCTGGTAGAAAAAGGAAAAAAGAACAATTGTCCTGGAAGATTGGAAAGTCTTTCTAGAGGAAGCAATATTTCAATTGGTACTTGAGAGATGAGAACAGTGGTAAGTGGAGGTGGAGCAGGACTCTCTCTCCCATGTAGAAAGAGTGATGCCACAAAGGAGCATACAGTTGACCTTCCATATCCATGGCCTCCACATACATAGATTCAACCAATCATTGATTGAAAATATTTGGGGAGAAAAATGGATGGTTGCACCTGTACTGAACATGTACAGACTATTTTTCCTGTCAAGTTTCTTCAAACAGTACACTCTAAGAACTATTTACATAGCATTTACATTGTGTTAGGTACTATAAGTAATCTAGAGATTATTTAAAATATATGAGGAGGCTGGGCATGGTGATGCATGCTTGTAGTCCCACTGTTCAGGAGGTTGAGGCAGAAGATTGCTTAAGCACAAGAATTTGAGACTACAGTGAGCTATGAATGCACAACTGCCCTCCATCCTGGGCAACACAGCAAGATCCTCTCTCTAAATAATAATAATAATAAAGTATATGGGAGGTTGTGCTAGGTTATATGCAAATACTACAGCATTTTATTATATGAGGGACTTGATACTGTGGATTTTGGTAAGGGGGTGGGGGGTCCTGGAAACAATAGCCTAGGGATAGCAAGGAACAACTGTATGTGAATGTACGTAGTATAGTGGAAAATGGTGTAAAAGTATATTATGACCAAATTTACAACTGAAGGTCTTGAATCTCATGCTAAGGAATTTAAACTCCATTTTATGGTTAATGGGGAATCATTGAAGAATGTGCAATATAAAAATGTATTTTTGTCATTTGTATTTTAAATTTTTATTTTATATATTGTATTTTAAGTTTTAAAATTTATGTCAGGCTTAATCCTGAATAATGCAGTGACATCAGGTTTCATATCTGAGAAATTATAGCATTTAGTCAATTTGGGGTTTTTTTGTGTGTTTCCTGTTTCATTTTGTTTTTTTGTTTTTGAGACAGAGTCTCATTCTGTCACCCAGGCTGGAGTGCAGTGGTGCAGTCACGGCTCACTGCAGCCTCATCACGGGCTCAAGTTATTCTCCCATTATATATCATTATTTTACCTCCCCAGTAGCTGAGACTTCAGGTGCACCACCAGGCCCAGCTAATATTTGTATTTTTTTGTAGAGACAGGGTGTCACCATGTTTCCCAGGCTGGTGTCAAACTCCTGGGCTCAAGCCATCGATCCTCCTCATCCTCCCGAAGTGCTGGGATTACAGGCATTAGCCACTACTCCCAGCCTGGGTTATGTTTTAATAAGAAACAACACCCAAATTTTGATAGTTGAAAGGAACAAAGCCTTTTTTTTCTCATTATTTCACATGGCTGTGCCTAATTTTAAGGGCTGGTAGAAGTGGCATCCTCTTGAGTGCCCAAATGGAGAAGAGAACCAGGAATATTGGCGAACATCATGAATATTTACCCCAGAATTCTTTTAAACGATGTCATTAACCAGACAGAGGGAGCAAGAAAGAAGGAAGAAGTAAATTTAATAATGGATATGTTGCCTGCAGATTTCAGGTACCTATATATGTAATATAGCTAGAAATAAGGGTCTGAAACTGAGTGACACTAGAGGTAAGGCTGATACTCATCTATATTCATATGGAATTTGAATCAATGGGCAAAGATGAGATCAGTAAGGTCAGATTGCAGAGAAAATATGTGTCCAAATCTTGGACAGAAAAGAAAAACAGATGAACTGGGACACACAAAAGCCCAGTTAACCTTAAAAATGTCTAAGAATATCTGAATTTTAGAA
This sequence comes from Homo sapiens, assembly GCF_000001405.40. Lineage (NCBI taxonomy): Eukaryota > Metazoa > Chordata > Mammalia > Primates > Hominidae > Homo > Homo sapiens. The sequence continues at coordinate 153,381,767 of NC_000002.12, forward strand.
ATTGACATTTGATTAAAGAGTCATCTAAACTTTGTAGGCACCCACTTGAAGCCAGTATTAAATATTGAACCAGCCAATCACCTGCATTCATATAGTCATCAGTGAGGCTGTCTTCCTGGCAGAAACAAAGCACTGTTACACAAAGGGCTTTCTAATCATTTTCACTGGAATCATTTCATTCCAGTGAGATTGTAGTGTGCAGGAAAATAATTCCATATAGCTAATGGCAAAAAAGTAAAAACTCAATGTGATACAGCAGTTAATCTAGAAACAGGCAATGCTGATAACCAAGACTGAACATCTTCTGAACATCTTGAGGTGATTCTCAGCATGATTAATGAAGAATTAGATCTGCTAAGGATGGTCTCTTGTGATAATCAATTTCCTCCCTAATCCAGAGCTTCTTTATGTTATCTATCTGCTTCAGGACCTTTTTTGTTTTTTTAATTTTAACTTTCATTTTAGATGCAGGGGGTACATGTGCAGGTTTGCTACATGGGTATATTGAACCCAAGTAGTAAGCATAGCACCCAATAGGTTTTCAACCAGTGGCCCCCTCCTTCCCTCAGCCCTCTAGTTGTCCTCAGGATTTATTGTTGCCATCTTTATGTTCATGAGTACCCAATGTTTGGCTCCCACTTATAAGTGACATGTGGTGTTGGGTTTTCTGTTCCTGTATTAATTTGCTTAGGATTATGACCTCCAGCTCCATCCATGTTGCTGCAAAAGACATGATTTCATTCTTTTTTATGGCTGTGTAGTATTCCATGGTGTATATGTACTACATTTTCTTTATTCAGTTCTACTATTAATGGGCACCTAGATTGATTCCATGAGGAGCAAATCATTTTTGCTTAGCAATAGAGTAATTTTTACTTGTTATTTGCTTCAAGTTTTTTATTTTTTACTGGTTGTGTAACTGAAGTATTATATTGAGGTCTGAATATGAAATACATAAATCAGGGATAAATCTGAAATGATAGACATAAAGGTATTTAAACTGTTATATAAATCTAAATTTAACTTTTTTCTTACTCTATGACAAAATCCTGCATAACATAATTATGTGACAAATTGAAAAGTCAATCAATGGTCAGTTAAAAATCTGAAGTATAATAGATTATTAATAAAGAGGAATAGTTACAATTCCAAGTGAATTTAGCTGAATTTTCTATTTAATCTTATAAAAAGTATTTTCTTTTTGAAAGCTCTAAACAATATCATTATATAAATATTGCAATTATAGGAATATTTAAATAATTCTTTTTTAAAAAATTCATTTCTTTATCCATCCATACTTTAATTAAGGAATGTGTTCAAATGTTCAGTTTCTTTTAGTAGTGAATTCACAAACTAGACACTGTGCCTTGCTCTACAGCAAATTTGAATTAAATAATTTTACCTTGTAAAAATAATCAGGCAGGTTTCTGGGGGAAAAATACAGCACATATTACAATAAGATAGAAGAAAATTTGAACATCTCCTAAGTGCTTAGTAACCCAGTAACCATTGCTAAGGAAACCAGTTTCTCGGCATCCACATAGCATGGAGTTAACAATTCAGAGGGCCTATCTGTTGAACTTACAGACACATGTAATGGATCACACACAGCCTCATTCTCTAAATGAAAAATAATATTTCATTGGTTTTGAGAATGTTTTGAAAATTAACCAAGGTTAATTATGTAAAGGTATAAGTATGAATCAGACTGAAAGTTGTTTTATGCCATGAGAGTTAAGTTCGTACCTGAAAGCAACCTAAACAGCATCTTGGTAGAGAAGCAGCTTATATTGGGGTTGAAGAAAGAAAAATAGGGTATATTTTCAGGCTTATCATTGGCTTTCTACTTTGCCTTCTTAAAGGTACTTAATTAGCTTGTTTTTAATTAATTCATCTAAATTGTCTTAACACATATACCCTAAAAATAAATTTGTTCATTGATTGATTGTTCAGTAGATTCTCCAATTTACAAGTAAGAGGCACCACGGTATCAGTGGGAAATGGGCATTATCAAGATACTTTGTCCAACCCTATTATGAGCCCAGGATGAGTGGCAGAAAAATCAAACTGTGACTACAAGCCTTCATAAGACACAAGGATGTTAAGACTCATGGGGAAAGAGCTACAGGATGTATTTTGATGGTCTATTTGAAGCATGGTGGATTAAAAGAGTAGAAGTGAGCTAACATGAAAAGTAAGATAAGATATTGACCTTGGGGCAGAAGTTTTGAATTCACATCAGAACTTTGAAAAGAAGTTGGTTATGAAAGACTTTAGATAGCAAAAACCCATTTTCTATTCTTCCATTTTTAAATTACCAAGCACATTTTTGTGAGAAGGGAAAAGTGTCAAATTCAATGACTTCTCTCTCCACTCCTCCCTGTGAAATAGGATTTTTTCCTTGCAATAATTCTCTGTTTACAAGATCTTAGTTGGTTATTGTGGAACTGATTGTTTCACCAAACAGGTGGGTGATTAATTACCATGACCTAGTTACCATGAGCAAATGAAATCTGAAGACTTACTATTTCTCTGTAAATCTTCATTCTTAAAGGCTCTATCTGACAAATATTGAAAGCAAATACCATTTTTAAAACTTCGTGTTCTTCAAGTGATGAAGAAAGGGACTACCCTTAGAAGCAGTGACTCTTCGATTAAGTCATATAAATGAGTAAAGCTAGCTGGGTGCTTTAATGGGACAGCAGGAGACTGTGGACTGTATAAAGTAGGAAATGTTGTCCCTATTCAAAGGAGATGCCTGCCACTCATTCCAACTGATTGTTGCCATTTGGAAATTAAGGTCCAGTCTTGCCAGATCTTCCAATTTTTAAAGGCAAGATGGAAATCTGAAATTTATGTGAAAATCTTGATTTTCAGAAGCAAGTCTTTCAAAAATTTAAAAAACAATGTCCCACTCAAAACTATGTGCATCCAGTCTAGTTAAGTGACAGGCTGCTAACTTACAGCCTCTGCTTTAATGGCATTTTTGCTTCAGATTTTTACATATATTGAGGAGAAATAAAAATCTCTTTTTTTCAAATTAATTCAAAAGCTAGTTATTAAATATACAATTTAGGCACAGCAATGTCCTAGGTACTGTGAGGTACACAAAAAAATAAATAAGGATGACTACAGAGTTTGAAGAACTATAGGGTAGAAAGAAGCCCCTACATATCAAACTAAAATCATGTGGATTGCCACTGTTCATATTGCCCATTTCACTACAGATTTTTTTTAACTTCAGTGAAAAAATAATCTATTTAAAATTGACTCTTTGATGAGGATGTAGAGAAAAAGGAACCCTCATACACTGTTGGTAGCAATGTAAATTAGTGCAACCACTATGGAGAATAGTTTGGAGGTTCCTCAAAAAGTTAAAAATTGAGCTACCATATGATCCAGCAATCCCATTGCTGGGTATATACCCAAAAGAGAGGAAATAAGTATATCAAACAGATATCTGCACACCCATGCTTGTTGCAGCACTGTTAACAATAACTAAATGTGGAAACAACCTAAGTGTCCATCAGCAGATGAATGGATAAAGAAAATGTGGTACATATATTCAATGGAGTACTAGTCAACCCTAAAAAGGAATGAGATCCAGTCATTTGTAACAACATGGATGGAACTGGAGATCCTTATGTTAACTGAAATAAACCAGGCACAGAAAGACAAACATCACATGTTCTCACTTATTTGTGGAATCTAAAAGTCAAAACAATTAAACTCATGGGGATAGAGAGTAGAAGGATGTCTACCAGGGGCTGGGAATGGTAGCGATAGTGGGGTGGGGAGGTGGAGATGGTTAATGGGTACGAAATAAGCTAGAAATAATTAACAAGAATTAATAAGACCTATTTGATAGAGTGATTATAGTCAAAACAGAGTGATTATAATCAATAATAATTTAATTGTACATTTAAAAATAACTAAAAGAGCATTACTGGATTGTTTGTAATACAAAGGATAAATGCTTGAGGAGATGGACACCCCATTCTCCATGATGCGATTATTACAAATTGCATGCCTGTATTAAAGTATCTCCTTTAACCCATAACTATATACACTACTATGTACCACTAAAAATAAAAATTAAAGATAAAATAAAATATCCTCTTGATGTGAGAAAATAAAGATAGAGTAGGTAAATTGTATCCTGTCATATGGAAATAAAGTCCTGAAAATCCACTTTTCTGGATTTTTTCAGTTTCTGTACCATGATAAAATTTCTTGCTTCTGGGAATTTTATTTTCTGAAGAATCAATGTCAAAATAACTGTCCTATTTTCCCTTAAGAGATTTGGGGGGGTTTTTTGTAGAAAGCTCTAAATTCAGTATTTCATGTTCCACATATGCAAGATTTTTAGGAGATTTGAATAACTACTGCTGAGTTGATGTGACAGGAAATCAGTGAACTTTTATCTTAAATAAGCAGAAGAAAATCAATCTTAAACTAATTGACTTAAACTAAGGGCAATTTTAATTGGATGGTTCATTTCTAAGGCTTTCTCTTTGCAGTTAAGTGGGGAACTACATTAAAAGGAATGAGCAATTTTGAGGGAATTAAATAATTGATACCGACTGTTATACAGAGTCTAGTAAAAGCATCATCTTGAGAGTCATCACATACAGTTGGGTAAAATGAGCTTTCAAAAAACAAAAAGACAACACAACAGAGAAAAATAACAGACACAAACAAGTTGGCAAAGTGCTAACTTCTGCTGACTTTGTGAGCTTTGGAAATGACCTGGCCATTGTGGCTTTGTGGTGGATGAGGGATCTGAGTTGGGCCAGAGAGCAACATTCCAGGTAGTAAAAGTCACCCAGGGAGAAGCAAGAAGGGGTATGTTCTATCCCATTTGCTCAGACTTTACTCTCCGCTTGGAAACTGTTAAATTAATCACTGCTGACAAGGCATGGGGGCCAGGTCAATAAGTTATGCACCCCTCTCCATGCCTACATAGTACAATTTCACTTATAATTGGATACAGCACTTTATCCCCAAAAGGATCACTGGCCAGGCCTCTGGGAGAAATAAATTTAGATCCAGTCCTCTGAACAACTGCTGACTTTGCCTATAACCACAAATATGTGAGGCGATGCCCTTCCTTTCCACCCAAGCCTTGAAAGCTTTAGTTAAAACATAATAATAATGTCAAGTAACTAGCTCAGCTTTGTAGTGCTACTAAACTTTTAAAAATAAACCATCCTTCTCTCCCCAAACATTTCATTGTTGACAATCTACTCACAGAAGTTATGATTTAGAAAAGGAAAATGATTTTATGGAGCATTACCTCATAGCATTTAGCTCTGGTATTTTATTCTAGAAGCGAAAAAGTAAAAACACATATTGGAAAGAGAAGAAATGAAAGATAATTCCTGAAAGGCAACCATATTTTTTTCTAAGACAATGAGAAAGCAAAGTGATGTGAAACTCTATGAAGATCTAGTTATAGTATTTGGTATCTGAGCAGATTTAAATAATATACAATGTTATGCTTGTTCCATCATGATCGACTTAAACAATAAGACAGACTAGGAGTTCGCAGCAGGTCTAATACCCACATACAAACACACAGAACTAGATTATACGTTTTCTAAAAATATCCACCAATGGGTACTTTTATTTAGAATGTTCCTCCACTCCCCCACTCAGGGTCCTGGCAGCTGGGCTTCTAGTGATTGCATTTGTGTTAGTTGCTTTGTTTTGACTAACTTTGTCGTAAAGGAGTTTCATTTTCACTGCTTAAGGCATCAAGGTATTTTTCTTTTCTTTAGAAGTGTAGGTATCAAATATTATTATTAAATTTCTACATTATTAGCAACCACTGAATTTGCTGCCCTGGAGACATTCAGAGCTGTTTAAGATGCAGACAAATGTTTATTTTTACTTATAGGAATAAAAAGTCACTCAACACAACTCTTAAACTGTAGCCCAAACTGTAATTTGTATGTGTTAAAGGCTTTAAATTTCAATTATTCCCTTTATCCATGTGTACCAAAGATGATTTTTTGGAAGTGAGATGGTGTAATTAAAAGCACCTCATAAAAAGCTCAGTTTTTTTAGTTTGCATATCATGTGTTGATAGCAGTGTCTAAGGAAAAGAGAAATAACACATGGTACAGTAGTATTCAAAAGAATCATCAGGTAGCCCATGGGAGGAAATGAATATTTATAGCATATAAAAATCCCTTCTAATAGGCATGTCATATCATATAGTAACTTTGGGAATTGTGGAATGAGTGGAAGGAAGGAGGGGGAGAAGGAAGAGAGGGGAGCGGAAGGGGAGGGGAGGGGAGGGAAGAGCAGGTGGAAGCAGGTAGGGGAAGGGAAAGGGAAAATATAGACCCTAGTCTTTGCTTTCTCACTTCTTAGTCAACCTTTCCCTGTTGTCATTTTCCACACCTGTAAAGTTGGAGCTTGAAATATGACCTCTAACTATACCTTAGCTTCACAGTCTCCAATTAACTCATTAATCCAGACAAATGGTAGCAGTGTTTTCACATTTGGCTCCTCAAAGATCTAGTGGTTATAAAAACCAGTTAATTATGAGAGGCTATGTGGTGTAGAAGAAATAAAGAGAGTAAACCTGCCTTAGAGTTAGACATTCCTCAGGCAGTGTCTCATGAGACGACTTCCCTCAGCTCTAAGGCAGAGAGGCATGCTGGCCTCACATGACTAGTGATGAGGAGTGGCTAAAGCATTTAGTTTGGTGCCAGGCATTTAGCTCATTGTCAGGATTTTAGGTCTATGGAACATTCTTATGCCTGGAAAAGCTTTTATTAGAACTTCTAGCAACCTACTAAAAAGGATTAACCATGAATTCATTAGCCAGAGCACAGATTAATTGGATTTTAGAGTTTGAAGGGACTTTTGCAATTTTTCAGTCCCTCCTCTCATTGTACAAAGGAAAGAATAGGAGGAACATCAAGTTAGGTGACTTGCTAGGCCATTGGGTGGGTTAGTTGCAAAGCCAGGAGTACAATTCCAGCCTCCTAACTTCTGGGCCAGGCTATCTTCCATGATACAATTAAAACCCAGAAACCCAGGAGGACTGACTGTCGATTTCTCTGTTTTGACATACTGCCACTTTTCTCTACCACTGTTATACACTGGGGTTGATTGATTTAAAAAAACTGAGATGGAGCCTGGGGTCTACTTGGAGAGAGTAGAAGTAGCTCCTCAGATAGGGCTAACAGCCATTTCCTCAGGGAAACAATGAGAAATCTTGGCTATAAGAAAATGAGTTAGATCTGCCGCAGAATTCTGTCCTAGGAAACAGCTCCTGTCAATACAGTTCATCATATGCTCTAAGGGACACTGGCTCTAATCACCGCCTACATGCATAGAGTTGTTAATTTGCTAATACTTGCATAAGAGTCTCCACATAAAACTGACTGAGGCTGTGTCTTCCCTGTTACTAATTTGTACAGCATTTATTTTCAGCACAGCCAATTTGAGAGCTACAGTCCCCTGCTGATATTTGAATTATATATTGGGAGGTATACGTTTTGAATTTGAATACGCTCATCAGTGTTGGTTTGTTCATGTTTCTCTTGCTCTGCCCAAGTGGAAATTTACATACAAGTAGCAGGAGTACCAGCAGGGAAGTGGAGCTGGGGAACGGAAAGCTTGTAAGAGGTAAAGGCTTCATGGACAGGCCCTCTGCCTCACATCACTGACTCCACACTGGGGGTTAATTTCAAACAAGCACAAGGTCTAGACTCAATCTCATGGTACACTGATCACATGGGACCCCATTACACACACTGATACTGAGATGCCATCAGTGTAAACTAAAAAAATTAACATTGGGAAATCTTTAAGAATGAAAGAATGCCCGGAGGTCCATTTGAAGTTTGTGAAACGTGGATGTGCAACAAAGAGTCCTACACACCTTGCCTTGGTGATGGTAGAAGTTTTATGAACTGGCTTGTATAAACAGAATGTTTTCTACAGTGGCACCTGGTGGAGGGTACATTGGAGAGAGCGCTGGGCTAGAGGCGAATACCTGGGCTTGTGTGATCCTAGGCAAGTTTCTTAAATTCTCTGAGACTCAATATCTGACTCCACAAAATGAAATAATAATTTTCATTATTCCTTTATTTATAAGGTTATTGCACAAGTCATTATAAAGTTATTGCACAAGTTAAGAATAATAGTGTTTATGACCCAGCAATCCCATTACTGCGTATATACCCAAAGGATTATAAATCATTCTACGATAAAGACACATGCACACGTATGTTTATTGTGACACTATTCACAATAGCAAAGACTTGGAACCAACCCAAATATCCATCAATGATAGACTGTATTAAGAAAATGTGGCACATATACACCGTGGAATACTATGCAGCCATAAAATAGGATGAGTTCATGTCTTTTGCAGGGACATGGATGAAGCTGGAAACCATCATTCTCAGCAAACTGTCACAAGATCAGAAAACCAAACACCACATGTTCTCACTCATAAGTGGGAGTTGAACAATGAGAACACGTGGACACAGGGAGGGGAACATCACACACCAGGGCCTGTCGGGAGGTGGGGGGCTAGGGGCAGGATAACAGTAGGAGAAATACCTAATGCAGGTGATGGGTTGATGGGTGCAGCAAACCACCAGGGCATGTGTATACCTATGTAACAAAACTGAATGTTCTGCACATGTAACCCAGAACTTAAAGTTAAAAACAAAAAAAAGAATAGTGTTTATAAAAACACATTGGAAATGATAAAGATCCATCCAAATATCATCTTTACATCACAATAAAAACAGTTATAGAAGACCTTTTACATTCTATAGCTAGTCAGTGGTTAGAGTTTCAATCAGAAAGCAATAATCAATATTAGTATTACATATCATTTACTAATATTAATTACATTATTATGGTTTTATTGAGATTTATTTCTCCCAATGACTCCCTGAATCTTTGCCCATTCAGTAGTTACTGCAGTCATTTTTCATCCAATCCATACATTTGAATGCTTGCTATGGACCACTTACGATTCCCGGCAGTTGTGATAACGTAAAAGGTGAACAGGCAGAGATTTCTGCCCTCATTGGTCCTACATCCTAGCAAGGGGTTGAAGATGGGGGGAAGATGATAAATACAGTAAATAAGAAAATTTTATAACATATTCAATGGTGAAAGCTGTTAGAAAAGAAAAAGTAGAACAGGGTAAGGAGAATTGGGAGGGCCAGGATTGGGGGCAATTTTAAACAGGGTGGTGAGATTTGGTTTAATTGAGAGTGTGAGCAAACAACTTAAGATGGTGAGGGAATTTGCCATTCTTTTATTGGGGGAAAAGCACTCCAGGCAGAAGGACTATAGAGGTTAGAGAGGGTGGGGTCATATAAAGACTTGTAGGTGGTTTTAAGAACGTGGGCTTTTACTCTGAGGGAAATGAGAGGTTGTTGGAAGGTTTTGAGCACAGGAGTGACATGATCTCTCTTGTGTTTAATAGTGTCACTCTGACTGCTCTCTTGAGAATTGGCCTTAGGGAGACAAGGGAGCAGAAACAGGAGTTAAGGAGCAACTGCAGGAATCTAGGAGCAAGAGGATGGTGGCTCATTCCACACTGTAGATGGGGGTACAGTCAGTCGAGCTATGCGGCTACTCAGATGACACGCTAGTAATGATTGTGTCTTCTATTTAGGGCTTGAGTATAGCTGTGACTAACCACTTGTAAAGACATTTAAAGGTATGTACCGAGATTGTAAGATATTTCTACTAGCAATATTATGAATAGGTCTTTTGTTAAAAAATGGAAGAATGTTTCTCTAATTTATCATTTTGGATTTGAAACATGAAAATTAAAAAGCTCTGTGATAGGGATTTTAAAACCAAGTCCTTTATCTAAACCCCATGATCTCCTTTAAGAATAAAATGAATTTTCAAAATTTATGATAGAGTATGAACTTGATGCTATGTGACTCCCACCAGTAAGAAATTCGAGAGGTGTTTTTTTTAGTGCAAAGTCTTGCTTCTGTGCCCTTTTACTCACAGATTTGGTTTAGAAGAATGATTATGTTGCTTTCAGTGCACTCATTTTAGTATAAAATATAATTATTTTAAAACTACTTTGCAAAGGAAAATCATAATTTTAAAGCCACATGCCGTCCAACTAAATGGAAAAAGCTATGATTGTGAAGCTTCCTTTACTCATTTGAAATATACTATCTATATTTTATAATATATTTAATAAAACATTAAACATAATTACATTAAATTCATCACATTAATTATATGTTTATATAATATATGTGATTTATATAATATATGTGATTTATATATTTATATAAAATGTGATTCATCACATTAAATATGTAACTTATGTATGTTTATAATATATAAATTAAATTAAATATATACTACATTTTATATTTTACCATAAAATAACATGGACAAACACAATTACAGTACTTTCTGTAAATTTCACAAATAACCTATTTAAATTTGTGTTATATGCATTTCTTCCTTAAGTTTTTTTAAAGTCTTGAGATTTTTGAAGTGCTTAAATTTACCGTCTTCAAACATTACACTAAGAAAAAAAATGAAATATTAAAAAAAAACCCCACAAAAAAACAAGTCATAGATGCCTTAAGACCCGGGTCATTATTTTCCTTCTATAAAGCAACAGTTCAAGAAGGTGTTTGTTTCCATCTCAAAGCAGAGTAATCTCCTTAGTTGAGGATCTTTATAATTTCTTAGGGAAAGATGTTAGCATTTACTGAGCTTGTTGACAGGGTTTTGTCAGTTAGGATAGATCTACGAAGGTAAGCTAGCAGGCTGGAGACCCAGAGAAGAGTTTCTGTTGCAGCTTGAGTCCAAGGGCAGTCTGCTGACAAAACTCCCTCTTCCTCTGGGGAGATCAGTCTTTTTTCTCCTGAAATCTCTGAGTGAAAAGAATTACATACTCTTCTGAATCCTAGTTAGTTTGCCCATTTTCTCCCCAGTTCAGTCACCTGCTTGACATCTTCAGACAAATCTTGTGCTGAGTATTGATGTCCCCCCAAAGTTTATATGTTAAAACTTAATCTCCAATGCAATCATATTAAAAGGTAGAGCTTCAGGAGGTAATTAGGTCAAGAAGGCAGAGCCCCCCTAAATGGGATTAGTGCCCTTATAAAAGAGGTCCAAGGGAGATTGTTAGCCATTTCCACCATATTTGCCACACAAGAAGGCAACATCTGTAAAAAAAGAGAGTAAGCCCTCAGAAGACACTGAATCTGCTGGCACCTTGATCTTGGACTTCCTCACTTCCAGAAGTATAAGAAATAAATTTCTGTTTATAAACTACCCAGTCTAAGGGATATTGTTATAACTGCCCAAATGAACAAAGACATCTGGGTAATCATAAAGTTCACAGCTGCATCTGTCCTTGTGGCTGGATATATATATACATAGTATGCCAAAAACCTCCCCAGCTTCTCATTAGACCAATCGACTAATCTTAATTTATTTTGTAGTCTCAATAACAGACTCAGAAGTCTCCATTTTTTTTTTTTGTCTTGCTCAGGGAAATAGATGCCATGGCAAAACAGCTCTCTCTAGTTTCTTTGTCTTGTTTCATTTTGCTTTTGTACTATTCACCAAATATTTCTGGCTCTCTGCCTACCAAATCTATGGTAACGTCATTTTACTTGCTTCCTAAGAACTTAGGTTATACCCATTTCCAACCATTAGGAAAAGTTTAAAGAATTCTTTTTTTTCCCAAATAATAAGGTATATTAATGTTCCGTTGCTGTATAAATACTACCACACATTTGGAAGCTTAGACAAAACAAATTTATTACATCAAAGGTTAATTTTATGTCATGCTTGGCTAGGTCGTGGTACCTGGACAGTTGGTGGAACATCATTTTAGGTGTTTCTGTGAACGTATTTTCCAGATGAATTAACATTTAAGTCACTAGATTTTGAGTAAGATAGGCAACCCTCCATAATGTGGGTGGGCCTTATCTAATCAGTTGATGGCCTTAGGAGGAAAAAGATTGATCTCCCCAGAGGAAGAGGGGATTTTGTCAGCAGACTGCTCTTGTACTCAAGATGCGACATAGGCTCTTCCCTGGGTCTCCATCCTGCTAGCCAAGCTTGCAGATTTTGAATTTACCACCCTCTATAATCATGAGCCAATTCCCTCAAATAATCAATTTCTTTCTCTGTCTCTCTGTCTACACACACACACACACACACACACACACACACACACACACACACCCCCTATTGGTTTTGTTCTTCTGGGGAACCTTGACTAATATAGGCCACGTGACTTGTGTTAGCCAATGAAACGTGAACAGAAGTGACGTGTGTTGGTTCCAAGTGGAAGCTTCAAGAGCCAGTGTATGACTTGCCACATTCACTTTTCCTGCCTCAGAAAATGTAAAGGCAGAGAAATGTAGCCTGTAGAGCAGAACTCCAGCAACACTATGATGGACATAGAGTTTGGTGAGAATTAAATCTTAATTTTTGTAAACCTCTATGATGTGAAGATTGTTGCTACAATATAACCTATATTTTCTGGATACAACTACTTCTAAATTTACCTTTTAAGGTCAGAATTCTTTTCCTCCTAGGTTTTACAATTGTGCTTAATACCATTTTAAACCTTGGCATTCTAAGAATTTAAATTGGGCCCACACAAACATCTAAACCACTTGCTTAATTGTCCAGTTGACTCTGAAGAAAACTTGAACAAAGGAATGTTGGCAGAATCAATAATCTAGGCTATACAAATGCTAATTCATCCTCACTTCCCAATCTCAGAAAAACAGTTGAAGGCTCTACAGTTATAAAACTTAGCATGAACTCCCTTTCTTGGAATATTCTCATCATAAAGGATCTGATACTTGACAGCCTGAGGACTGTTCAGAAGATGTTCCAATCACAGTGATAAAGATAGGTACTGCCATGTTAAATACATAATGTCTTTCCAACCATAAGGAAAAGTTTAAAGAATTCTTTTTTTTCCCAAATAATAGTGTATATTAATGTTCTGTTGCTGTGTAAATACTACCATACATTTGGAAGCTTAGAGAAAACAAATTAATTACATCACACATTCCATGGGTCAGGATTCTGGCACGTTTTCGTTGTGTAGTCTGCTCAGGATCTCACAAGTCTGGGAAATGAATATGTTGGCCATATGTGTCCTCCTCCAGAGGCTGAAGTAGGGAAAGATCCGATCCCAAGCTTTCTCACTTTGTTGGCACAATTAACTTCCTTGCAGTTGCATTACCGAGGTCCCTGTTGTTTGCTGGCTGTCAGCTAGAGACCACTCTTAGATCCTAGACACCCTCAGGTCCTTGCCGTGGGGCCTCCTTTGGAGCTCTCATACTTCTCATTTCTTTCTAGTCCACTATGAAGAGATCATATACAATTGAAGGTAATCACAAAGTGATTATCCCTTCACCATTTTCCATGCAACATAAATTGGTCAAGAGAGCAACTATTCCATCATATCCACAGGTTAAATTGGCAATCAAAGGCAAAGAATTATACCAGGTGTGGATAACAGAGAATGAGTATTTTGAGGGTCAGTTTAGAATTCTGGCTACCACATGGAGTCACGGTTGTACAGAATAGATAGGGGAAGTTGAGGTAACAGATCACATGACGTTTCTAATCTAGCTGTTGTGATCCTTTCAAACGAATGCTGAAGACCTTGATACCTGGACCTCCAGGGATATCCAGGGGTATTCCATTTGGACACCCTTCCCACTCTGTTTCTTGCTTCTTATTTCCAGAAACTCACTCTTGTAGCATTTTCCTTTTTATTATTTTAATGCTTTTCTCTTCTTGGCAGTACCAGTTTAAGAGTTTCTATATAGAAAAAATGTGTAATTATGATGTGGTTGTAGATGAATGTTTCTGGGCATATGAGACAAGTAGGCTTGAATCTTCATTGGGAAATGTTTGTCTTAGTTGAAAATTTGCGAAACCTCTGTTTCGCATTTCAGAAAAGGATCAGGTGATGAATATTTCAGGGAAGAAGTCAAGGGATTAACAAGATCATATTTGCCTTGAGAATTTCTCTGGGCCTAGTGAAGAATGGACTAGGGTGGGAGTGTGTGTAAGAAGGCAGATAGTATTACTGGGTTAAGGGAGATTACTCACAAACTATTGCAATTGACCAGGGGTCAGCAAACATTTTCTATAAAGAATAGATGGTAAATATTTTAGGCTTTGTGGTCCAGATGGTCTTTGTCACAACTATTCAATTCTGATGTTATATTGTGAAAATTGCAATAGATGGTATGTAAATAAATGGGTGTGGCTCTGTTTCAATATAGCTTTGCTTACAAAATCAGGCAGCAGGCTAAATTTGGACCACTGTTTGTAGTTTGGCAACCCCTATGATAGACCATTACTGTACTAAAGCAATGACAGTGGGACTGGACAGGAGATAAAATTGATTGGCTTAATTACACATGTTTTGACTTATATTGTACCAGGTGCTCTGCTAGGCACAGGGAATATGTAGTGAATAAAAGAGACAAAAATTTTTGCCCAAACGGAGTTTTCATTCCAGGAAAATTTAAAATACAAAATCCTACCATGTAGTTTACCTATTAAATGGGAAAGGGAGACAAATACTTTGGGATGGGAAGGGGGATAGAAAATATGTATTTTCACAAAAATTCTTTGTGGGAAAGTGCTGGTCAAGGATTGTGATAAAACATGAGATTAATTAGAGAGCACTTCCTCAATTACACATTGACTCACTTTTTTTTTTGGTCTATAAACATATGTTACAGTGTGTTTTCTGCGCAATGTAATGTGTATAAAATAATCAGCATACATAAGCACACATAATAGTTCTATGTGAGTAGTCTGGAGCCCCAGCCAGAGACATAATTTTGTACAGGATGAATAATGTGACCATACAGTGACTTGTACAAGAGTCACATATCAAAGGATAATAAAATGATGCTCCTATCATAGATATTAAACATGCAACTCTTCCTCTGGGTCAAGTTGCAATTTTCACAGAAAGTCTGGATGATGTTTTTGTCCTTTTATGGAAAATGTGAGGAGAATTTCAGTTTATTAGGAACATTTGATTCCCTCTTTCTTGTTGACCTTTGCCAGCCATTTGTGTTTGTCTGGCTTCACATTCAGGCAGCCAGGAGAGGCTTCTCCCAGCAAGTGATGCAAAGAAAGTTTGTTTCCAACAAGGACATGTGTGGGGTCTGAGTACCACAAAAAATGATGATGTGAAATGATGGCAAGCTATGATGGAACAGTGAATTGGGAGTTTGTTTTGCCACCATTTTCATCCTCTAAAATACGTTTAGAAAGCAATCACAGGCTTAATGATTGCTTCTTCTATAAGTATATAGTTAGTTATATTTACAACATCTAACCAATGGCACTGTAACCAGCATCTGCTGTAATGACAAATGCCTTTTAAATTGTTAGTATCAGAAAGTAAAAGGATGTTTCTTATTTCTGGTTGTGGGAACTTTATTCTTCCTGTGTCTCCAGGGTGTATGTTCAAATCTATGCATTTTACATAGCATACATGTTCAACCTAAGGAGAGTTCACATATTTTATTTTTATTTTACTGATGATAATGTGCTATGTTCTATGCCTTAATGCAGACCATGGGAAGAACCACTATGAATCAGTAAGAGCCTCCATGGCAGGATTGTATTCACTGGTGCACTGACTTTTCATGAAAACCAATGAGACCACAACGTACGATCTGATATTTTCAGAGTGTGGGGAAAGTCTAGAGAAAGATTTATCTCACTCACTGATTTTTAGGCTCCAATATTTTAACTAGATGTTACCAGTCTTGCATCCGTATTTGGAATTAGGTATGAGAGATTCATGCTTTGTTGTCGGGAGGGAAGGAATGTCTATGAAGGCAAAAAAAAAAAAAGTATCACCAAGGGGGAGGGTTCAAAGTGGAGAACTAAGAAAAGCAGACAACATCTGCTGCTCTAGTTGTTAACTGCTGGTTGGTATCCAGTGTCTATTCGGTCTTCCATCCTAGCAGAACTCCAATTTACTGACGTTTCCACACTTCTCTATATGACTCAGAGAATTTCAGTTTTGGATTTTGATTCATCTATAGGTTTTTGAAATTTCCACTGACTTACCTGAAAACTTGCTGAATACATAGGTGAACAGATTTTTTTTAATTTATTTTTTATTATTATACTTTAAGTTTCAGGGTACATGTGCACATTGTGCAGGTTAGTTACATATGTATACATGTGCCATGCTGGTGTGCTGCACCCACTAATTCGTCATCTAGCATTAGGTATATCTCGCAATGCTATCCCTCCCCCCTCCCCCTACCCCACAACAGTCCCCAGAGTGTGATATTCCCCTTCCTGTGTCCATGAGATCTCATTGTTCAATTCCCACCTATGAGTGAGAATATACGGTGTCTGGTTTTTTGTTCTTGCGATAGTTTACTGAGAATGATGATTTCCAGTTTCACCCATGTCCCTACAAAGGACATAAACTCATCATTTTTTGTGGCTGCATAGTATTCCATGGTGTATATGTGCCACATTTTCTTAATCCAGTCTATCATTGTTGGACATTTGGGTTGGTTCCAAGTCTTTGTTATGGTGAATAATGCCGCAATAAACATACGTGTGCATGTGTCTTTATAGCAGCATGATTTATAGTCCTTTGGGTACATACCCAGTAATGGGATGGCTGGGTCAAATGGTATTTCCTGTTCTAGATCCCTGAGGAATCGCCACACTGACTTCCACAATGGTTGAACTAGTTTACAGTTCCACCAACAGTGTAAAAGTGTTCCTATTTCTCCACATCCTCTCCAGCACCTGTTGTTTCCTGACTTTTTAATGATTGCCATTCTAACTGGTGTGAGATGGTGTCTCATTGTAGTTTTGATTTGCATTTCTCTGAAGGCCAGTGATGATGAGCATTTTTTCATGTGTTTTTTGGCTGCATAAATGTCTTCTTTTGAGAAGTGTCTGTTCATGTCCTTCGCCCACTTTTTGATGGGGTTGTTTGTTTTTTTCTTGTAAATTTGTTGGAGTTCATTGTAGATTCTGGATATTAGCCCTTTGTCAGATGAGTAGGTTGTGAAAATTTTCTCCCATGTTGTAGGTTGCCTGTTCACTCTGATGGTAGTTTCTTTTGCTGTGCAGAAGCTCTTTAGTTTAATTAGATCCCATTTGTCAATTTTGGCTTTTGTTGCCATTGCTTTTGGTGTTTTGGACATGAAGTCCTTGCCCATGCCTATGTCCTGAATGGTAATGCCTAGGTTTTCTTCTAGGGTTTTTATGGTTTTAGGTCTAACGTTTAAGTCTTTAATCCATCTTGAATTGATTTTTGTATAAGGTGTAAGGAAGGGATCCAGTTTCAGCTTTCTACATATGGCTAGCCAGTTTTCCCAGCACCATTTATTAAATAGGGAATCCTTTCCCCATTGCTTGTTTTTCTCAGGTTTGTCAAAGATCAGATAGTTGTAGATATGCGGCGTTATTTCTGAGGGCTCTGTTCTGTTCCATTGATCTATATCTCTGTTTTGGTGGCAGTACCACGCTGTTTTGGTTACTGTAGCCTTGTAGTATAGTTTGAAGTCAGGTAGTGTGATACCTCCAGCTTTGTTCTTTTCGCTTAGGATTGACTTGGTGATGTGGGCTCTTTTTTAGTTCCATATGAACTTTAAAGTAGTTTTTTCCAATTCTGTGAAGAAAGGCATTGGTAGCTTGATGGGGATGGCATTGAATCTGTAAATTACCTTGGGCAGTATGGCCATTTTCACAATATTGATTCTTCCTACCCATGAGCATGGGATGTTCTTCCATTTGTTTGTATCCTCTTTTATTTCCTTGAGCAGTGGTTTGTAGTTCTCCTTGAAGAGGTCCTTCACATCCCTTGTAAGTTGGATTCCTAGGTATTTTATTCTCTTTGAAGCAATTGTGAATGGGAGTTCACTCATGATTTGGCTCTCTGTTTGTCTGTGGTTGGTGTATAAGAATGCTTGTGATTTTTGTACATTGATTTTGTATCCTGGGACTTTGCTGAAGTTGCTTATCAGCTTAAGGAGATTTTGGGCTGAGACAATGGGGTTTTCTAGATATACAATCATGTCGTCTGCAAACAGGGACAATTTGACTTCCTCTTTTCCTAATTGAATACCCTTTATTTCCTTCTGCTGCCTAATTGCCCTGGCCAGAACTTCCAACACTATGTTGAATAGGAGTGGTGAGAGAGGGCATCCCTGTCTTGTGCCAGTTTTCAAAGGGAATGCTTCCAGTTTTTGCCCATTCAGTATGATACTGGCTGTGGGTTTGTCATAGATAGCTCTTATTATTTTGAAATACGTCCCATCAATACCTAATTTATTGAGAGTTTTTAGCATGAATGGTTGTTGAATTTTGTCAAAGGCTTTTTCTGCATCTATTGAGATAATCATGTGGTTTTTGTCTTTGGCTCTGTTTATATGCTGGATTACATTTATTGATTTGCGTATATTGAACCAGCCTTGCATCCCAGGGATGAAGCCCACTTCATCATGGTGGATAAGCTTTTTGATGTGCTGCTGGATTCGTTTTGCCAGTATTTTATTGAGGATTTGTGCATCGATGTTCTTCAAGGATATTGGTCTAAAATTCTCTTTTTTTGTTGTGCCTTTGCCTGGCTTTGGTATCAGAATGATGCTAGCCTCATAAAATGAGTTAGGGAGGATTCCCTCTTTTTCTGTTGATTGGAAGAGTTTCAGAAGGAATGGTACTAGTTCCTCCTTGTACCTCTGGTAGAATTCGGCTGTGAATCCATCTGGTCCTGGACTCTTTTTGGTTGGTAAGCTATTGATTATTGCCACAATTTCAGCTCCTGTTATTGGTCTATTCAGAGATTCAACTTCTTCCTGGTTTAGTCTTGGGAGAGTGTATTTGTCGAGGAATTTATCCATTTCTTCTAGATTTTGTAGTTTATTTGCGTAGAGGTATTTGTAGTATTCTCTGATGGTAGTTTGTATTTCTGTGGGATCGGTGGTGATATCCCCTTTATCATTTTTTATTGTGTCTATTTGATTCTTCTCTCTTTTTTTCTTTATTAGTCTGGCTAACGGTCTATCAATTTTGTTGATCCTTTCAAAAAACCAGCTCCTGGATTCATTAATTTTTTGAAGGGTTTTTTGTGTCTCTATTTCCTTCAGTTCTGCTCTGATTTTAGTTATTTCTTGCCTTCTGCTAGCTTTTGCATGTGTTTGCTCTTGGTTTTCTAGTTCTTTTAATTGTGATGTTAGGGTGTCAATTTTGGATCTTTCCTGCTTTCTCTTGTGGGCATTTAGTGCTATAAATTTCCCTCTACACACTGCTTTGAATGTGTCCCAGAGATTCTGGTATGTTGTGTCTTTGTTCTCATTGGTTTCAAAGAATATCTTTATTTCTGCCTTTATTTCGTTATGTACCCAGTAGTCATTCAGGAGCAGGTTGTTCAGTTTCCATGTAGTTGAGCGCTTTTGAATGAGATTCTTAATCCTGAGTTCTAGTTTGATTGCACTGTGGTCTGAGAGATAGTTTGTTATAATTTCTGTTCTTTTACATTTGCTGAGGAGAGCTTTACTTCCAAGTAAGTGGTCAATTTTGGAATAGGTGTGGTGTGGTGCTGAAAAAAATGTATATTCTGTTGATTTGGGGTGGAGAGCTCTGTAGATGTCTATTAGGTCTGCTTGGTGCAGAGCTGAGTTCAATTCCTGGGTATCCTTGTTGACTTTCTGTCTCGTTGATCTGTCTAATGTTGACAGTGGGGTGTTAAAGTCTCCCATTATTAATGTGTGGGAGTCTAAGTCTCTTTGTAGGTCACTCAGGACTTGCTTTATGAATCTGGGTGCCCCTGTATTGGGTGCATATATATTTAGGATAGTTAGCTCTTCTTGTTGAATTGATCCCTTTACCATTATGTAATGGCCTTCTTTGTCTCTTTTGATCTTTGTTGGTTTAAAGTCTGTTTTATCAGAGACTAGGATTGCAACCCCTGCCTTTTTTTGTTTTCCATTTGCTTGGTAGATCTTTCTCCATCCTTTTATTTTGAGCCTATGTGTGTCTCTGCACGTGAGATGGGTTTCCTGAATACAGCACACTGATGGGTCTTGACTTTTTAATCCAATTTGCCAGTCTGTGTCTTTTAATTGGAGCATTTAGTCCATTTACATTTAAAGTTAATATTGTTATGTGTGAATTTGATCCTGTCATTATGATGTTAGCTGGTGATTTTGCTCGTTAGTTGATGCAGTTTCTTCCTAGTCTCGATGGTCTTTACATTTTGGCATGATTTTGCAGCGGCTGGTACCGGTTGTTCCTTTCCATATTTAGCGCTTCCTTCAGGAGCTCTTTTAGGGCAGGCGTGGTGGTGACAAAATCTCTCAGCAATTGCTTGTCTGTAAAGTATTTTATTTGTCCTTCACTTATGAAGCTTAGTTTGGCTGGATATGAAATTCTGGGTTGAAAATTCTTTTCTTTAAGAGTGTTGAATATTGGCCCCCACTCTCTTCTGGCTTGTAGGGTCTCTGCCGAGAGATCTGCTGTTAGTCTGATGGGCTTCCCTTTGAGGGTAACCCGACCTTTCTCTCTGGCTGCCCTTAACATTTTTTCCTTCATTTCAACTTTGGTGAATCTGACAATTATGTGTCTTGGAGTTGCTCTTCTCAAGGAGTATCTTTGTGGCGTTCTCTGTATTTCCTGAATCTGAATGTTGGCCTGCCTTGCTAGATTGGGGAAGTTCTCCTGGATAATATCCTGCAGCGTGTTTTCCAACTTGGTTCCATTCTCCCCATCACTTTCAGGTACACCAATCAGACGTAGATTTGGTCTTTTCACATAGTCCCATATTTCTTGGAGGCTTTTCTCATTTCTTTTTATTCTTTTTTCTCTAAACTTCCCTTCTCGCTTCATTTCATTCATTTCATCTTCCATTGCTGATACCCTTTCTTCCTGTTGATCGCATTGGCTCCTGAGGCTTCTGCATTCTTCACGTAGTTCTCAAGCCTTGGTTTTCAGCTCCATCAGCTCCTTTAAGCACTTCTCTGTATTGGTTATTCTAGTTATACATTCTTCTAAATTGTTTTCAAAGTTTTCAACTTCTTTGCCTTTGGTTTGAATGTCCTCCCGTCGCTCACAGTAATTTGATTGTCTGAAGCCTTCTACTCTCAGCTCGTCAAAGTCATTCTCCATCCAGCTTTGTTCCGTTGCTGGTGAGGAACTGCGTTCCTTTGGAGGAGGAGAGGCACTCTGCTTTTTAGAGTTTCCAGTTTTTCTGTTCTGTTTTTTCCCCATCTTTGTGGTTTTATCTACTTTTGGTCTTTGATGATGGTGATGTACAGATGGGTTTTTGGTGTGGATGTCCTTTATGTTTGTTAGTTTTCCTTCTAACAGAGAGGACCCTCAGCTGCAGGTCTGTTGGAGTACCCTGCCGTGTGAGGTGTCGGTATGCCCCTGCTGGGGGGTGCCTCCCGGTTAGGCTGCTCGGGGGTCAGGGGTCAGGGACCCACTTGAGGAGGCAGTCTGCCCGTTCTCAGATCTCCAGCTGCGTGCTGGGAGAACCACTGCTCTCTTCAAAGCTGTCAGACAGGGACATTTAAGTCTGCAGAAGTTACTGCTGTCTTTTTGTTTGTCTGTGCCCTGCCCCCAGAGGTGGAGCCTACAGAGGCAGGCAGGCCTCCTTGAGCTGTGGTGGGCTCCACCCAGTTCGAGCTTCCTGGCTGCTTTGTTTACCTAATCAAGCCTGGGCAAAGGCGGGCGCCCCTCCCCCAGCCTCCCTGCCACCTTGCAGTTTGATCTCAGACTGCTGTGCTAGCAATCAGCGAGACTCCCTGGGCGTAGGACCCTCCGAGCCAGGTGCAGGATATAATCTTGTGATGCGCCGTTTTTCAAGCCGGTCGGAAAAGCACAGTATTCGGGTGGGAGTGACCTGATTTTCCAGGTGCTGTCCGTCACCCCTTTTTTTGACTCGGAAAGGGAACTCCCTGACCCCTTGCGCTTCCCAAGTGAGGCAATGCCTTGCCCTGCTTCGGCTCGTGCACGGTGTGCTCACCCACTGACCTGCGCCCACTGTCTGGCACTCCCTAGTGAGATGAACCCGGTACCTCAGATGGAAATGCAGAAATCACCCGTCTTCTGCGTCGCTCACACTGGTAGCTGTAGACCGGAGCTGTTCCTATTCGGCCATCTTGGCTCCTCCAGGTGAACAGATTTTTATTTTGAAATTCTAATCCACAAATTAGGTCCAAGTTTGGGTCTCAGAAATCTGTGTTTCTACCAAACACTGCAAATCTCCCCTTTCATTAGGGAAGTTGTAATAAATACTGATGTAGGCTCATTGGTGTGTGGCAAACCATAGTGGCTTGTATCAGTCCAGGAGTGGGTTAGTGACTTAAATTAGTCCGAGGTGATAGATGGCAAGGTCTTATAGTTCAGGGTTTTTGAGAGAGGATTTTCTTCCTACTGTTTTTCCTGAACAAAGACACGTACAGCCCCAGTTATTGGTGTCAGCCATTTTATGAAAGTGAGGAGAATTAGCCTTAGGATGAAGAAAGTGTGTGTTTGTGAGAGCAGAAACAGAAAATGAATCAGAAATCTTAATAACAAAATGAGCCATCAATCAACTAAATCCAATGCCTGCACTGGCCCTGGACTTTTATTATGTGACAAGTGGTTTTCTTATTTGTTAAGCAAGTTGTATTTCCTGTTCTTTGCTGTTAGAAGCTTTCTAATTTCACCTAATTGTGATTTTTTTCAAAAGATTTTTTTTTTACTTTAGAAAAAAAATCTAGGAAAAGTATTTCCCAATTTTCTGCTATTATTAAGTAAAATTAAGGTATTAGTCTACATCATTTCTCTCTGATAATAAATTTGGAATCCAGGAAGGAACAATCAATTTTTTGCAATTATGTGACGGATACCACTTCAGGATCAATATCTTCAACTCTTATGTCTTTGGTATTAATCACTAGGAAAAAATAAATTATTGGTTAATAAATGTATAGAAGTATGCATATTTGAAAGTAAATTCAGTAAACGAGACTGGCTAAATGCTAGGGTATTCAACATTCTAGTCTATAGTTGTAAAGTTGAGAATTAATTTTCCCATGGAAAAATGAAATGAAATATTTTATTAAAATATTCACACATATATGTGATGCTCATTTTAGCTGTGGGATAGGCTTCCGGGCAAAGCCTCTGTTGGCTCTGGGTGGGACAGGTGTCACATTTCCTGCAGATATCCAATTGAATTTGGGTGCTTACATACTACTGCTAGCCAGAGCTTGTGGTGTCCTTCCTTTTAAATGCTGTTTTGTATCCAGTAGGTTACACATAAGACTGGTAAGTTTCTCCAGAAGTAAAAAGGGACTAGAAACTCAACCTTCCTCCCCATAAGTTTTATATATAAATATACATTTGCTGGATGAGAGTGGCAGCTGTTAACATATTGCAAGAAAGACAATAGAGTTTCTAAATAAGGAGTCTGAACCTATGTGAAGATTTGGAGGCAAAGCCTAAGGTTTGGAAAGGAATTGTGGTTCCCTATTCCATGTAAAACTGGCACCAGGACTTAATTTAGTCAGCCTGACTGCAAGAATGCACCTTAGGGGAAATGCATGCACAGGCATGCACAAGTGTGTGTGCCTGTGTATCTTCATGCCTTTGCATCCATAGGTAACCTATAACACTTTGGGGCCTGTGCAGCTTAGTGAAGGACACTCTGAGCATAGCAGAAGAAAGGCTCCACAGGTATCCTCAGTTGTTAGCTAAAGCTGAACTATTTTCCACGCAATTATCATTGAGACAATTGTTTTGGAGCCCAACCTCAGGGAGTTTAAATTCCTACTCTATCAATGAGTACTAAGGGTGACCAGAAATGATTTATAGGTTGGAGTCTTAGGAACAGTAACAAATTGAAACTGTAAGAACATATTAGAATTTCTGCTAGTCAAACAGGATGAGAGAAACATAAGATTTTGAAGGACTAATATAAATATCTTATTGCTATTATAAGCTGATAAAACCCAGGACATGCTAATTATGCTTACAGGACAAGGTGGCATATATGAACTGCCCTGCCTAGAACTTTCCCCCAACTCAGTCCTTAAAACTTACCCCAGGAGCTAATAGAATGTTAGATGCAGACTGGCAAGCAAAGATTCACTCACCAGAGTTAGAGAGCGCTTCGTAGGGTTTCAGGTGTGAGGAAAGTAGGATTGGCAGGTGAGCTAAACAAGCAAAAGTAGTACTTCCCTCCCTGATCCCTGAACTAGAGAAAAGAGAAAGTTGCTAAAGACAAACTGTTACAAGAAGCATATGAACCAGGCGTCCTTGAATAACTTCTTTCCTAACCCCACCAATAGCACTGGAATACAGAGGAACACAAAAAAATTTTCCCTGTGATTTGGGGAATTTCAGTGGAACTTTGACATTTTTGAGGGTGGCTTTTGTGTACAGAAAATATAACTTGGAGGCTTCTTTATCTTTTAAAATTATTACTTATTTCATTGATATTTCAGATTAAGTCCTAGTTCTTCCTTAAACTTTGAAGTTCAAATTTAAAATCTTATTTTATTTATTTATATGTTTATTAATAGCTCAAATTTTAACATCACTCTTAAGAGAGATTTTACAATTTGTTTAAATTCTCTATTTTTTTTTCTTTTGTGGGGGGCACTGAGTCTCACTCTGTTGCCCAAGCTGGAGTGCAGTGGTCCGATCCTGGCTCACTGCAACCTTGGCCTCCTGGGTTCAAGCGATTCTCGTGCCTCAGTCACCTGAGTAGCTGGGATTATAGGAATGCACCAGCACATCAGGCTAATTTTTGTACTTTTGATAGAAAGGGGGTTTTGCCATGTTGGCCAGACTGGTCTTGAACTCCTGGCCTCAAGTGTTCTGCCTGCCTCAGCCTCCCAAAGCCCTGGGATTACAGGAATGAGCCACCATGCTGGGCCATAAATTCTCTTAAGCATTTTAAACAGCATTTACAAATTTAGTATATTTAATTTTCTCTTTAAGTAGTTCGTCCAACAAGTGAATTTTCTCAAAGTACCAAAATATATCTGGTAAATCTAATGAATTGAACTTAGTAATTAATTATAATAATGTTTAAATCTCTTAAACATTCTAAACTGTTTTCACATGTGGTTGAACATTATCATTTTCAGCTTAAAACTGTAAGTCTAAATCAATAATTCAGATATATAAATTGAAACATAAGTCTGATCTTTTAAGTGTTCTAATATTCTAAATTATCTTAAATATTAAGAACAATTAAAACAATAAATATATAAAGATTATTCCAAAAGCTAACATAAAATATTTCTATTATCAGTGTTATTTTCATTTCCATTTCTAGTTTTTATTTCTCAAAACCTGGTCTCATAACTTGCAGTATCAACATCACCTGGGAAATTGTTAGAAATACAAATTCTCAGGCCCTACCCCAGCCCTCCAGAAACAGAAACTCAGGATGGGGCCCAGCAATTTGTGTTTTAATAAGAGTTACAGATGATTCTGATGATGCTTAAGTCTAATAACTATTGCATGTTTAATTCTAAAGCACTTCAAGGGTAAGGCATTAGTGACATAAAAATAAATGATCCTACAATTTGAGGTTGCCTTCTCAAATAGCTTTGGGGTTAAATGCTCAACTGGCTGAAGTTGCATATTAATGTGAGATTTTTGGCCAGGCAGGAAATTTGGGGCATTAGACATCTCAGGTGATCTTTCTTGTGATAATATTTAGGGACCTCATGTAAAATACTCTATGATTCCCAAACATAGTTATTGCATAGCTCACATCTGCTAGACCCAAATCATATATAACTTATTAACCAAATCTAAGTCTGCAGCTCTCACCCGAGCTGCATCACTGCTTGATTAGATTTAGATAAGTTGTTTCTTGCCTGATCCTAGTCTGATTCTTTTTATGTACTTTCTTCCCTGGTGGAGCTACAATTTCTATAGGTTCGTAAGTGATGTCAACTTTAATTTTAATGTAATATCCACTTTGATTCTGTCTATCTCTAAAGATGTGTCTTTCTGGACTCAGCATAAACATCATGCTAATAGCAGGAAGATTAAACATTAAGGGGTAGGGGTAGGCTTGTGTGCCACTTTTATCTAAAATTTAAAGTGGGGTCTTGCTGTAGTTACTCATACCACAAGAATGGAAGGGGCACTAGCAGTAGAGCTGGTGTCATAGCATCGAAATGCGTGATTTACAGTAAAAAATAATGAGAATGGTAACCCCCCAGAGTAGTGCAACAAAGCAGCTCTACATCTGAGCGGGAGTGGATAGGAGACTTCAAATTTCCCTTCGCTCCTAATGAGCCCCCAGTGGGTGTTAGAATTAGCTGAGAGAGCAACTATAGAATATAGGTTACCAGAAGAAGGTGACAATGTTACAGAAGCAGAGGAGTGGACCATGAACTGTGGGTTAGAAAGAGACTATGGCTCATCTCAGGGTTCCAGGCCAGGGAGCTGACTTCTGGTTGCCAATAGAGGAAGAGTGGAGGGGTTGCTTTCATACTGAGTAACACCTGTGCAGAAGAGCTGACAAGATGAGATACATCTGCAGAAAATGACCGGCATATGATCAAGCTACACCACCACCAAGTTGAAGGAAATAAAACAAGAAAAAATAAGCAAAACCCACGAAGAAGTATAGAAGGAAGGAAGAGAGTAAGGGAGGGAAGAAGGAATGAAGGAGAAAATAAATAGCAAAAATAGTCCTATAACTTTCAATAAAGACTTTCTTACTTTGGCAATCAAAAGGGACCCTGGCTCACTGGCTTGCTCCCACCACTAAAACTGAAATGATTCTACACGATTGTGCCGATTTACTCGCAGAGCTCAGAGCCCACAGTTGGTGTTTTTTGTTGTTGTTGTTTTTTGTTTTTGTTTTTGTTTTTTTTTTGCTAAGGATGGGCCTTTTGCAAAAAAGATGAAGACAAATGCTAGGGAAACTCATACTGATTTGCTAAACTAATTAGCCTATTGTGATGGTTAATATTGAGTGTTAACTTTATTGGGTTGAAGGATGCAAAGTACTGTTCCTGGGTGTGTCTGTGAGGGTGTTGCCAAAGGAGCTTAACATTTGAGTCAGTGGACTCAGTGAGTCAGAGGCAGATGCAACCTTAATCTGGGTGGACACCATCCCCTTGGCTGCCAGTGCAGCTAGAAACAGCAGGCAGAAGAAGGTGGAGTGAGCAGACTTGCTGAGTCTTCTGGCCTTTATCTTTCTCCTGTGCTGGATGTTTCCTGCCCTCAAACACCAGACTCCAAGTTCTTCGGCTTTTAGGCTCTTGGACTTACACTAGTGGTTTACTAGGGGCCCTTGGGCTTTTGGCCACAGATTGAAGGCTGCATTGTCCATTGCCTGCTTCCCTACTTTTGAGGTGTTGGGACTCGGACTGAACCACTGCTGGCTTCCTTGCTTCTCAGCTTTCAGACAGCCTATCATGGGACGTCACCTTGTGATCATGTGAGTCAATTCTCCTTAATAAACTCCCTTTCATATATATATATATGAATATGTATGTATATATATATATGAATATGTATATATTCATATGTATATGTATATATTCATATGTATATGTATATATTCATATGTGTGTATATATATATATATCTCCTAGTAGTTCTGTCCCTCTAGAGAGCCCTGACTAATACAGATTTTGGTAGCCTGTATCGTAAAATATCTGGAAAAAGCTAACAGTCTGAAAGAAAAAGACTAATAAAGCAACCACAACAGAAGCAAAGAAAACACGAAAAGTAAAAGAGAATTTTTAAAAATTAGTAAATTTAGAGAAATTCAGGAAGACACTGTGTTCATAATCCCAAGAATCAGTGCCATGAAAATTAGGTAATCAGACAGCAAGAAGAATACAGAAAGCTACACACATAATTACTGAAATAAAATGTGAGAAAGGCTAAACTAAGAAATAAAAAGAACTGCGTAGTATTAATGATCAGAAAGAAAAAGTTAAGGAAATTTCCCAGGATATTGATGTAAAAAGAACAAAAATGCTAAAGTATAATTAAGAATAAAAATGGAAAAAGCAAATAATAAACATTTTCTTGAACTGAACACACACACACATTCAGATGTGAAGGTCATACAATGTGCCAAGAAAAATGCTCCAGACCTGGTTATATCTTGGTAAAAGTTGTGAACTTGAAGGAGAAAGAAAAAATATCTTAAGAGTTTCTAGGACAGAGTGAAAGATTATTTACAAAATTCAGAATCAAACCAGTGTCAGCCTTATATACAGATTAGAATACTAGGAAACAAAGTAGGGCAAAGTCTTCAAAGTCCTAAATGAAAATGCTTTGTTGTTGTTGAGACAGGGTGTCACTCTGTCACCTAGGCTGGGGTGCAGTGGCAATATCACAACTCACTGTAGTCTCTACCTCCTGGGCTCAAGTGATCCTCCCACCTCATCCCCCACCTAGTGGCTGGGACTACAGGCACTCACCACACTCAGCTATTTTTTTAGGGGGGGTGGGGTAGGGGGAGAGAAAGGAGTCTCACTATGTTGCCCAGACTTATCTAGAACTCCTGGGCTCAAGTGATCCTCCTGCCTGTGCTTCCCAAAATGCTGAGATTACAGGCATGAGCCACCACACCCAGCTGGAAATGCTTTTGAACCTAGAATTCTATACCATGTAATATTCAAAGTAAGAGTACAAGAGAGAGCTTTCAACAAGCAATGAGCTTTGAAAAATTTTGTTTTCCAAGCCCAAATCACTCATTTAATCATTTCAAACAATCAACAGACAATCATCAGAGAAGGGAGGAAAGAGAAAGACATAGGAAACAAAATATCTAAAGCCTGTAGTTCAATAACTAGATTAACTCATTTTTAGTGTGAAGGTAATTCTCTTGTTAAAAAAGTTTTTCTAAAGATGTAGAGATATAATGTAAAAAATGTAATAATAATCTCAATTAAAATTCTAGATAGCTTGAATAAAAAGAGTGGAGCAGGGAAATAGAGATAAAAATAAGCCATATATAGTGTATTGATTATATAGTGTTAGCACTAGAGATAGTCTGAATTCTAGAGTTTGAAAAATATTTACACACACACACACAAATATATAAATATATATTTAGAGAGAGAGAGAGAGAGAAAGGAGAGAGAGAGGAGAGAGAGTCCAGGCTGGAGTGCAATGTCATGATCACTGCAAACTCTGTCTAATCATCTCAAACCATCCTCTCACCTCCCTGAGTAGTTGGGACTGCAGGCACTCACCAACAGGCCCAGCTAATTTTTGTAGAGATGAAGTTTCGCCATGTTGCCCAGGCTGGTCTCAAACTCCTGAGCTCAAGCCATTTGCCCACTTCAGCCTCCCAAAGTGCTGGTATTACAAGCGTGAGCCACTGTACATGGCATATATGTATATATATATATATATATTTTTTTTTTTTCCTAAACTGAAGAGTAATACATTCAGTCATATAGTAAATTCATTCATTAATTCATCAAGTACTTATTGAATACCTGTTCCATGCCCAGCACTGGATTCAGTATAGGGGATCCGATAGGGAGATGTGGCCCTGCCCACAAAGAGTTTGGAATACATTTCAGTGAATTAGGAATCTGACATGGGAAGCTCAGGGTACTGTGGGACCACACAGGAATGGTACCTGACCCAGGCTTGATGAGAGATAGAAGAGGCAACTAATTTCTTTAGGAAATGACTCAGATAAAATCGGGAGTAGGCGGTGGGGGAAGATGTATGCATGAGAATGTATGCATGACACTGAAAGAGACCATGTGCTTTGAAAGAACTGAAACACTTCAGGTGGGTTGGAGTATAAAGTTCACTGGGGTAGTAGCATGAGATGAAACTGGAGGGGCAAGCAGGTGCTGGATCATGCTGGGCCGTCTGACTGATGCTGGAGCAATAGTAGTAGCCCTTGAAAGCTTCTTATGAAGGAAAGAAGGGTGGTGTGATACGTTTGCATATTAGAACATTAACTCAGGTTCTGCATAAGCATGGTAGAAATGCTTTTGCCTCTCCAAAACCAATAAAATTTTGCTATAAAGAATTCATCCAATTGTGATGGTTAATACTGAGTGTCAACTTGATTGGATTGAAAGATGCAAAGTATTGATCCTTGATGTGTCTGTGAGGGTGTTGCCAAAGGAGATTAACATTTGAGTCAGTGGGCTAGGAAAGGCAGACCTACCCTTAATCTGCTCGGCACCATCTAATCAGCTGCCAGAAAATATAAAGCAGGCAGGAAAAATTGAAAAGGTGAGGCTGGCCTAGCCTCCCAGCCTACATCTTTCTCGTGTGCTGGATGGTTTCTGCCCTGGAACATCCAACGGTCTCCAAGTTCTTCAGTTTTGAGACTCAGACTGGCTCTTCTTGCTCCTCAAGCTTGCAGACAGCCTATTGTGAGACCTATATCTATCTATATTTATCCTATTATTTCTGTCCCTCTAGGGAACCCTGTTTAATACACCAGTGTAGCCTGGGTTTGAAAAAAAAGCTTGGGTTTTTTAATTTGGGGTTCAAATCTCACCTCCGTCACTTACTAGCTGTGTGATTCAAATATGTCAGTTAGCCTCTTTGAGGCTCAGTTTCTGTCTTGTTAAAAGAAAAACATGAAAACACTTTTATCTTCTCTTCAGGGCTTTTGTGGCATCATAAGTGAGAATTTCATATGCTGACTGTATGTGGACTGTTTTGTTCCAAGAAGCAGCAGCTCATCTCAAAATAGATGAAGTCAAAGAGAGGGAATTGTAAGAGTGCACTGGCATGTCTCTCAGAAGCCAGTGGCAAGACCGAAGCTTGGTCTCAGGAACAACTGAATCAGGAATTTGAAAACTGTCAAGATCCTGTTTCTCTCCTCTACACATTGGCTTTCTTCTTATTCCCTAAGGACTGAGTGTTTGTTTTTTGGCCATCCAAAAGCTTGGGGCTGTCATTTCTTTTGTTCAAAGAACACCCAGGCTGAATTGTAATTTCTTGGTTTCATTTCCAAATTTCTAGGGAGAGACTCTTCTTTGCTCTCTGGTGTTTGTTCTGCACCCAATTAACTGTGGCAGTGGGTGAGTGTTTGCACTCAGATGGGTTGGAGATATTTCTCAGGAGAGCAATACTTTCTCAAAAGGAGACATAACAGTCAGGGCCTAAGCAGAAATCACATGGCCCACACAAATTAGGATAATTTAAGAATGATTCTATAGAAAATGACTAATTATAAAAATGTAGGTAAATTATAGGAAGACCATGAGGTATTATACACAAACCTAGGGCTAGCAGCATCTATAGACAGTTAAGGATGAGGTGAGGGAGAATTTACCAGAGCCCAAAAGGGGAGAGTTGGAAAGATCAGGCTGTCTTGAGAGGAGTAGTGACCTTCTGTTTAAGGACACAGGCAGCCCAAGGGAGGGATCTGGGAAATATACATCCTGACCCTATACTTTGCTTCCCGTATCCTATCTGACCTCTCCATTGGCCAAAACTCCCCAAGGGCACAGGATTGTATCGATACTATCTATACAGGTCAGCTTCCTTGGGTAGACTGTGGAGTGGAGATGGTGGAGAGTGCACTGGGGTATAAGCAAAGGTAAGTGGACACTTACTACTGGGTCTGTCCTGCAGCTCCCTGAGCAAAACACCCTTGCCTTGTACCCCAGTGCACTCATACAACTCTCCACCATGGAGAAGCTGTATGTTTGTCCTTAAGCGGCATACAACTACATCCATATCCATATCCATATTTCCTATTTAGCATTGACTAATTTCATCCATTGATTTCCAGACAATAAATTCCTTTTTTGTTGTTTTTAGGAATGACTGATGTAGGTTTCAGTTATATAACTGCCGTTGTTCTATTGAGTCCATGTAAAATAGATCCTAATTCTTTCAGATCCCTAGTATTCAAAATATCAATGGATAGACTTGTTGAAAAATTGGGTAAGCAAGATTTGTCTTTAAAGACAAGTACATTAAGACAAATGTTTGTAGAAAAAGGTCATTTTTCTGGGCAATTTTATTATATTTGGCTAACATAACTTATATGTAAGTGCTTAGTATTGTATTCAGAGTCTCAGTATAGACATTTTTTAGAATCCCAATCTCTCATAGTTTAGCATCTAAGCGTTACCCACAATTGATTCAGAATGTATAAAAGTATAAACTTTATTATATATGTGGAAAATCTCTGTACATCCTATGACTATTCTAAAAGTAATGAATTTGTAAGGGAGAATGGAAGAAAAAATGCCAGAAAACTTTAAAGTGATTTATCTTTCGGAATAAGCTTTATGAGAAATTTTAAACAACCTTATTTCTTTGTTTTATTTAAAAATGATGGCCGGGCTCAGTGGCTCACACTTATAATCCCAGCACTTTGGGAGTCTGAGGCGGGCAGATCACGAGGTCAGGAGTTCAAGACCAGCCTGACCAACATGGTGAAACCCCGTCTCTACTAAAAAATACAAAAACTAGCTGGAAGTAGTGGCGTGCATCTGTAATCCCAGCTATTCAGGAGGCTGAGGCAGGAGAATTGCTTGAAGCTGGGAGGTGGAGGTTGCGGTGAGCCAAGATCATGCCATTGCACTCCAGCCTGGGTGACAGAGGGAGACTCTGTCACAAAAATAAAAATAAAAAAAAAATAAAATAAAAAGTTACAGTGTCCTTTTAAATTAGATTTGATGAAATGGTGAGCATCTGCGTTAGAAACACAGGATAAAAAGATTTTTTTTTTTTTTTTTGGTAATTGATCTATACCACTGCCACAAAACTGAAAGGTGAAGTCATGACAAGAACCACTAAATGAAATGCATACACGTCATTCAAAATGAAAACTATCATTAGCTAATGGTCCTAGGACCTGATCTGTATACAAAGGAATGGAATCATATATGCAAAGGTACTAAAATGAGACTTTAACAAGTAAGAGATTAAAATCTTACAATCTAATCACTAGGTTTTACAGCTTAAAAAAATACTCTTATCAGTTTTTCCACTTTACCCTAGGAGTCCTTCTTAACTCTGAAAATATACTCCTATTCTCAAATTTTGTCTCTGTTTGTACCATTGAAAGGTTACAATGTGGTGTTTTCCTCAGACCAACTGTTTATATTTACAAATAAAAGTCTATTTTAAAAATGTTTCAGACCAGTCAGGGAGCAGAACTCTGGTAAGAAGAGTATTCTACTTGGGAACAAGGAGGGAGTTTTAAGGACATCATCTACTATAATTGCTTTGCTCTCCCAGGTAGTAGGAATTACAGAATTTTATAAAAATCACTGGCATGGTATTACTTATTATTTAGTCTTGGTTTCTTAATATGTCAATTTGGCCTTCCCATAAGAGTAGCTACATGTTAAAAAAAAGGAAAAGACTAAGATCCAGAAGACGTCAGAAAGACTGCTGGCTTTTTAATATCTTCCAGGTGCTACAAAAGCCACATATAGTCTTGTATGTTGACATGGGCCCTGCAAGGCCAGGGCAGAAGAGTATGACTCCACCATGTAAAGGATGCCAATTGGTGGAGCCATGGTAGCTGGATTTGGGAGGCTGACTAGTTCACAACCTCTGATAAACTGTCATCCAAGCCTGAACCACGGTCACATAGGAGAGCCAGGAGTAAATGCATTTTAGGTGGCATAACTCCTTGTGTTGCAGCAAAGAAAGCAATTATGAAAATGGTCCTGCATTCATTGGAATGAAACCTTTGATTCTGAAGGTTACTCATGGACTACTGTGTTAAATCTTACTTGATACCATTTAAGTCTGTATAAAAGTATGAGTACATGGTCAGTTTTATCATGTAAACCAAATATAATGCATTTATAAAATTAAAACTGAATTTGCAAATTTTTGAACAACACACAATGATATGAAACAATGTTCACCATATGAAATTGAATTACAAAAGCAAGAAGTGAAATAATATAGAGTGTAAGATCTCAGTTTTGCTAAAATGGACTTTAAAATTTACTGTAAACTAAATACACAAAAATAGAAACCTTTCTGTGCTGATAACTGTTTCTGCTGTGAGAATAGGGAAAACTTTCTCTATTTTTCTTATGTTTCTCTGTCTATTGTCAATCTAAGCTAGTTTTAAAATGAACAGAAGTTATTTCTATAATCAGAAAAGAATTAAGTAAATGTTGTTTACAAGATGAAGTGAAAAGAAAAAAGTTCTGCCATAGCAGCAGACACAACCCATTTAAAAGTGTTTAATCATTCTAGGTAATTGTTTAAAGAAAGTTGCCTATAAATAAACAAGCCTACCACTAAATCTACTGAAATTAGGCCCTGTGTTAGAGTAAGCATATGAATGTTGTTGGTAATTACAGTGGCACAAAAGCAGTCCTCTGGTTTTGTGGTTTATGATTCATAATCATTTATTTTTTTATTCAATATTAAGAAATACTCTGAAAGTTACTATTGTCTTAAGAAAAAGAAAATGTACTTGTGTAGTCTTTGAAAAAGGCAATGTCCAAAGCCATGTGACTGCTTCTGTTTTATGAGAGAAACCCACAGTGTCTCATAGGTCTCTTCCAGACACACTGGAATGGTGCCAATGTAAGAATATTAACAAAGAACAAGCACTGAGCCAAATAATTTAATTATCATTTGTTGACTTCGTCCATCTAAACTACATGAATCTTTATCCCAATGACACAAAGGCATCATTTCACTAAAGCTGATGAATAACTGCTTACATATTTTCCCACTGAATACTTAAATTTTGTCTTGTTCATTTGCATGGTTTTTATAGTTTTGGTTTGTTCTTGCTGTTTTGTATGTTAAAGGCATTCAACTTTTGTCTATCAAAGTTGTGGCAAATATTTTCCTAGACTGCTGATTACCATTCTGTTTATGGTATTTTTTGTAAAATACAGAAGTTAGTTTTTTAGAGGGTTATATCTATTGGTGTTTTTCTTTGTGAATTCTGCTGATTGTATTAGTTGATTCAACAAATATTTATTACATACTATGTGCCAGATACTCCTCTATGTGATATGATACAACAGTGATCCAAAACACCGAATACTCTTGCCCTCATGGAGCTTGCACTCTTACAGAAGGAGACAGACAATTAACAATTAAAATACATCCAACTTTTGTAGCACCTGAATCCTGAATCAGTTGTGGGCTGTCTTTAAGAAAAAGAATACAGGACCTTAGAAAGGGACCATGGAAGTGAAGGGCTTCTGAGCATATCGCATGGGAATGAGTGATATGGAGACAAATAAAGTGGAGGAGAAAGATAGGAAGTGCTAGGTCAGAAGTAGGGATCACAAATTTTTCAGAGAAGCCTCACTGAGAATGTCAAATTTGAACAAAGACCAAGAGGAGGGACAGAAGCACACAAAGAGGATATCTGGGGAAAAGCATGGTAGGAGAAGAAAAGAGACAGTGCTAAATCCCTACAGGGAGAGAATGCCAATAATGTTCCAGGAATGAAAAGGAGGTGGGTAGGGCTGAAACAGAGAAAGCCAGAGAAAAATAATAGAAGATGAGTCATAGAGGTACCAAATGAAATTATGGGAGACGGGGAGCAGATGATGTAGGGCCTTGCAGGCCCAGTCAATTTTCTTGGTTTTCTCTCTCTCAGAGTGAGAGGAGGTCACTAGAGGTGAAATGATTTAACTTATGCTTTCACTTAGATTGATAGGTTAAGAATAAACAGTAGGGAGAAAGAATGCAAATAGAGAGATGGATAAGGAGGATATTGCCATAATCCAGGCGAGAGATCATGGTGGCTTGGATGAGTCTGCCTGGGGAATGTGAGGAAATATAATTTGTTTTTGAATATGTCTTGAAGATGGAACTATCAGGATTTTCTGGTAAAATGGATGTAGATTGTAAAAAAGGAGAGTCTATGGGTGTTGTTCTAAGTAAATATGGAACTTTAAGTTTATTGAAATGAGAAATTCTTTTAGAGAATAAGCTTTTCGGATACAAGACAAATGAGAAGTTCCACTTGGAGTATATTAAATTTGAGATGTCCATTGGATATACGAAGTAAGATTGTCACACATGCAGTTGGAGCTCAGTAGAAAAGTCCAGGATGAATATATACCTTTAAACATCATCAGCATATACTTGGAACTTAAAAGCCATAATATCAGATATGAGTCATATAAATCACTGTAACAGTTAACACGAGGAATAAGCATAGAAATGGGAAGAAACAATCAGAAGATTGAGTCCTTGAAGGATGCCAATGTTTAGGTTAGAAAGATGTGGGAGAACCAGCAAGAGAGAATGTGGTAGGCAGCAAAATGGCCTTCCAAAGATGCTCACATCCCAGCCTTTCAAAACCTGTTAATATATTTTGGAGAGATTGTCCTGGAGTATCCAGGTGGACCCAATGTAATCAGAATACTGCTCATAAGAGGGAGGCAGGAGGATCAGAACCAAAGACAGAGATGTGATGACAGAAGCAGAGGTCAGTGAGGTAATATGATTGCTAGAAGGGAGGCACAAGCCAAGGAATTCAAGTAGCCTCTAGAAGCTGCAAAAGACAAGGAAACAAATTCCCCCCTAGCACCTCCAGAAGGTTTGCCACCGTGATATTAGCTCAGTGAAACTCCTTTTGCAGTTTTGACCTCCAGAACTGTAAGATAAATTTGTGTTGCTTTAAACCACTAAGTTTGTTGTAATTTGCCAAGAGAGGGATAGGAAGTAAATGCAGAGACTGAGAAAGGAGTAGTTAGTGAAGTAAACAGATAGATAAGAGAGTGTCATGTCACAGGGGCCAAATGAGGAAGTGTTTCAAGAAGGAAGTAGAATAATGGTCATTTGATAAACTATGTCAAATGCTGCTTATAGGTCAAGTAAGATAAAGCCTGAGAAATGAACATTGTTTTTAGCAACATGGAGGTCACGGATGACCTTGACAGGAGAAGATTTGGTAGATGGACTATAGAGAAAGCCAAATCAGAATTGGCTTCGAGAGAGTGGAGGGTAGCCGGGCATGGTGGTGCATGCCTGTAGTCCCAGCTACTCAGGGGGCTGAGGTGGGAGGATGGCTTGACCCCGGGAGGCAGAGGTTACAGTGTGCCAAGATCACACCACTGCACTTCAGCCTGGGCGATAGAGCCAGACCTTGTCTGAAAAGGTAAATAAATAAATAAGGTAAAATAAGGGAGAGTGGAAGGAAGGAACTGGAGAAAGAATTGCTGTGGAGTAGTGACTGCTATGTGCTTCCTGTTTTTCCCGTTTTTGAATGAGAGTCTCTTATCTCCATACCATAGATTAAAAAGAAACAACTATTAATTCATACAATGACTTGGATGGTGTATTAGTCCATTCTTACATTGCTATGAAGAAATACCCGAGACTGGGTAATTTTTGAAGGAAAGAGGTTTAATTGACTCACAGTTCCTCAGGGCTGGGGAGGCCTCAGGAAACTTACAATCATGGTGGAAGAGAAAGCAAACATATCCTTCTTCACATGGTGGCAGCAACAAGTGCCGAGCAAAAGGGGCTTATAAAACCATTAGATCTTGTGAGAACTCAATCAGTATCATGAGAACAGATGAGGGAAACTGTCCATGATTCAATTATCTCCACCTGGTCTGTCCCATGACACGTGGGGATTATGGGAACTTCAAAATGAGATTTGGGTGAGGACACAGCCAGGCCATATCAGATGTTCTCAAAGGATTTATACTGACTGAAAAAGGCCAGTCTCAAAAATCATATATCCTCCGTGATTCCACTTATTTAACATTCAAAAAATGGCAAAATGATAGAGACAAACAAGAGGTGAATGTTTTTTAGGGATTAGGGAGGGAAGTAGACAAGGAAAGGGTGTGAACAATGAAAGGAGTCCTTGTGATGGAACTGTTTTGTATTGACTATTGTTATAGTTACACAAATTTACATGTGATAAAGCTTCATGGACCTAAATACATGCACACACACATACACACACTACATGAATGCATGTAAAACTAGTGTAAATGGAATTAAGGTCAACAGTTTATATCATTGTCAATTTCTGGTTGTAATATTTACTTTAGTTATGCTATCACTGGGGGAAACTAAGTGAAAATTAGTTTCACGTGAATATACAATTATCTCAAAAAGTTAAAAAGAATGGTAGAAATACACCTAAAGTAAATTGACTAAATTTGCAAGTTAAATGGCAAGACTTCTCAAAGTGGATTTTAAAAAAGTAGTCCATCTATATATAGTTTACAACAGACCTACCTAAAACATAAAGACACAAAATTATGAATGTGAAGAAATGGAAAATTATATTTGAGGTAAATATAAGCAAAGAAAGATGATGTTACTTCTTATAATAATGTTTAAGAAATATATTTTGAAGCCAAAGCATTATTGGGAAAAAAGGTTACAGAAAAATAATAAAAGGAGCAATTCACCAGTCTGCATATACATTTAGTACATATAAGGACTGTAAAGAACAGGTATACAGGACATTATGAACGTTTTTAATGCCACTGGACCTTATGCTTAAAAATGGTTAAGATGGTAATTTTATGTTATATGTATTTTTACCACAATAAAAAGAGAAATTGTAAGGTTGATAGATTAGAAATCTGTACTCAAGAATTAAAGCATTTTCATTTTTTAAACATGTATGACACTATTAAGAAATAACATATTTTGGCATAAAATGAGTCATACAGATCATGCTTCTGCTGATAATTCAAAAAAATTTAAAAGGAAAAAATATAGCAAATATGATCTCCATGTATATGGAAATTTTATTTTATTTTATTTACTTCAAGCCTTTAATTTGAGACATGATGGAAAAATCTTGTAGGCACACTTGGAAAAGTCATGATTACCGCTGAGTGAAAACAATCTAACTGGAAAGATTTAATGCCTGTCAGCTAATGTCAAAGCTGAAATTCTGGAAGTATGACATGCTGCAGGGCTGAAAGGAATGGAAAATTAGTGTTCCCCTTCTTTTTCTTCAACAGAATCCACACCAACCTCCTCATAATCTTTTTCAAGGGCAGCCATGTCCTCACAGGCCTCAGAAAATGCTTCTTCTCCCATCTCCTCACCCATTTCCCAGTGAACAAAGGAACAGTTGGCATAACTCAAGTCAGACTTGTGGCCCAGGCAAACCCAGGCCTCAGCAATGGCTATGGTGTTGCTCAGCATGCACGCAGCTCTCTTTATGTTGGCCAGATTTCCAGCAGGTACCACAGTGGGAAGCTGGCAATTAATGCCAACTTTGAGGCTAGTGAAACACCAATCCACAAACTGGATGGTGCATTTGGTCTTGTTAGTGGAATAGCAGTAAGTATTGACATATTTGGGAACCACATTACCACGGTGTAATAGGCAGTAAGCCATGTATTTACCATAGTGAGAGTCACATTTCACCATCTGGTTGCCTGGCTCAAAGTGAGCACTGGTGACCTCTGCTATGCATGGTAGTCTTACCCAGCAGAGATGACAGGGCATATGTGACCAAAGAGAAGAGGATGCAGGAAGAGGGTACCAGGTCGGTCTGGAATTCTGTCAGACTCCATGAAATCTGAGAGAAGCAGTGATGGAGAACACAATCTGGCTAAGAAAGCAGTTAAAGATTAGGGTAGTTTGGGTGCTCAGTATTGGGGTTTCTACAACAGATGCCATAGATGGCCTCATTGTCTACTATGAAGGCACAATCAAAGTGCTGCAAGGTGGTACTGGTGGTGGAATGGAGTTGTAGAGCTCAACCGCAGCTGTGGAAACCTGCAGGGCTAGGTAAATGGAGAACTTCAGTTTAGACTTTGTGGCATAATCAACAGAGAAGTGAACCCAGAACCAGTTTCTCCACCAAAGCTGTGGAAAACCGAGAAGCCCTGAAGACCTGTGCACTGGTGAACCAGCTTGCGAATTTGGTCCAAAGGCCAATGATCTTGCCAATGTCGTGATGCCCCCAGGCATAGTTATGGGCAGCGTCTTCCTTGTCTGTGATGAGCTGCTCAGGGTGGAAGAGCTGGTGGTAGGTGCCAGTGCAAACTTCATCAGTGACTATGGGTTCCAGGTTTATAAACACTGCCCTGGACACAAACTTGCCTGCTCACTGAAGAGGCGTAGAATCAATTATCTCCTTACCCAGTGGTCTTGTCACTTGGCATTGGGCTATCGTGCTGGATGCTTTGTTCCAGGTAGTAGAGCTCCCGGCAGCATTGCCAATCCAGACATCAGCCTCGCCAAGGTGGATGAAGATGCACTCACACGTAGTGGCTACAGGTTAGAAAAGCAAAAGTCAGAAGATACTGGGTCTCTGTTACCATCCCTGACATGTTAAGAGTCAAATAGGCAACACATTGTATTTGGAAATTGTTTTTTAAAAAAAAAGGCATAAATAGCTCATGAAACACTTTAAGAAGAAATGATAATGGAAATTCGAAAATATTTCTATCTGAATGATAATGCAAATGCTGTAAATCAAAATGTGTGGGATTTGGCTAAAACCACAATTAAAAGGCAAAAGCCTTAATTGCGTATATTAGGAAAGAAGAAAAACTAAAAATCAGCACAACTTCCAGTTTACACAGGCAGAAAAAGAATAATGAAGTCATCCAAA
Organism: Homo sapiens; assembly: GCF_000001405.40. Taxonomy (NCBI): domain Eukaryota; kingdom Metazoa; phylum Chordata; class Mammalia; order Primates; family Hominidae; genus Homo; species Homo sapiens. Next base: position 153,422,307 of record NC_000002.12, read on the forward strand.
GAAAGTAGAAAGAAGGAAAAACGTAAAGATGAGAATAGAAGATTTTTAAATGGAAAATAACCAATAGCTATCCCATCAGGGGCTGGAGGGAAGAGGAAATGGAGACATCAGTTCAAGGGGTACATGGTTTATTTACAAAAGATGAGTAACTTCTAGAGGACTGCTGTACAATTGTACTTAACAATACTGCATTGTCCACTTAAAAATTTGTCATGAGAGTAAATCTTAGGCTAAGTGCTCTTATCACAATAAAAAAATACAGAAACAGTAGAGTAAAAAGTGCTCAAAGTTAATTCTTTTAAATAAACTAATACAATAGACAAATCACTGGCAGATTAATAAGAGAGAGAGGCTTTAATGAAAACTAGACCACACAATCATAAAATAACATTTTGCCAATTATTTTGAAAATATATTTTTTAAGAAAAAAATACACTTTACAGAATAGATTCAAGAATAAATAAAAGTCTGAGTAATCCTATTAAAATAAATGAAATTAAATCAGTAGTCAACAATTTAAGCATTGGTGGAAAACACAACGACAAAAACGACAATAACAGCAAAACCAACAATGACTGAAACAAGAAAAAAACATGTATTTTAAATATATTTACAAGATAATTTCAATAAACAAGGGTTTGATAGTATCTATTTTATTCACACTGTTCTAAAGTAAAAGAAAAAGTAAGACAGCTCCTCAACAATTTTATATTTTGGTAAACTATACTTTGATAAAATCTGTCAGGGATGTTAGTGAAAAAATTTCAGATCATTATCTTTTATAAAAATTGATATAAAAATAATAGCTTAAATATTACCAAATATAACAAAGAAAAACATGCACATTTAAATCATGACAAAGAATGATGAATTTTTTTCTTAAGAATGCAAGCATAACAATGTTAAAACGTGATAAATTAACATGTAATTTATCACTAAGAAATTAACAATTTTTAAAACATATGATTATTTCAATACATGCAGGAAAATCATTCAATAAACTCAGGACTCCTTTATAATATAAACTCTTAACAAATAGGAGTAAGGGACCCTATTTAATATGAAAAAAAGTTAGCTACCAAATATTACTTTAACCAAGATACTTTGTAATAAAATGTTAAAAACATGCCTTTAAATCGAGAACAAGGCCTCAATGCCTTCTTCTATTCATCATTGTGTGGAGTTCCTGCTAAATGGAGAAGGTATGCAAAATAAATTTGCAAGGATTAGAAAAATATAAAACTGTCATCATTTGCAAAGATTATGATTATGTATATGAAAGTCCAAGAGAAGTTACAGAGAATGGTTATTTAAAAATTAAATTCATATATACAAACAGCAAACAAAAATATAATTTCAAAATATAGCAATTACAGAAGCAACGAGAGTACTAGAAATAGAAGTAACTTCACAGAGGCAAGACTTTAATGAGAAAGTCATAAACCTTTATTGAAAGTTATAAAAGACCTAATTAAATGTAGAGATACATTACTTACACATAAGACTTACTATAACAAATATATGAGTTCTTCCTCCTATTTATCTATACTTTCAAAAAAAACCCCAAGATTTTATCATTTTTATGAAGCATGATAAACTCATCTTAAAACTTATGTTAGACTATAAAGTGCCTAAAACAGTTGAGACTTCTCAAAAAACAAAAATGATAATGGTCTAGTCATTCAAAATATATTATGAAACTATAGTAAATAAAAATTTAACTGAAAAAAAGTAATAGATAGAAAAATCCATTTACTGAACAGATCGAGCCATGTATATGTGGGTCCTACCCATGTATATGTGGGTTCTACCCACATATACATGGCTTGATCTGTTCAGTAAATGATTCTGGGTCAATTGGCTAAACATACAGAAATAACTAAGATCAAATATATCCTTACTTTATATAAAACACACATTTTTCTAATTGCATTAGAGGCATGAAATGAAAAGCAAAACTAGATGTTTAGGAGAAAAAAAGATAATATTTAAAAAATTTTGCTGTGCCTATATTTCTTAAGCAAATTACCCTGAAAAGGATGAAAAATCAATCTGGATATATAGAAGATATTTGCAGTTCAGAAAACCAAAACTCATTAGTGTATGGAATATGCAAATAATTTCTTCCAAACAAGAAAAAGAGAAGCTAGTTATTGAAAATGTTTAGCAAAAGATAATTGATAGAAGAAAGCATAAGCTGCAAATTAACATTAGAAAGAATGTTATATTCCATTAAGGATATACAAACTAAAACTGCAATAAAGTAACATTTTATATCCATCAGATTGGCAAAAATAATGTCTGATAAATCCAAGTGTTGGGAAACCAGGTCTCCTATTATCTGTGGTAGCATAAGTTGGTAGAGATATTTGAACAGAAATTTGGTAGAGTAGTTTGGAAGAACTTGTCATACATAATAAAACTAGTAGCTGCATTTCCAGAAGTCTTTCATAAACTCCTGCATATGTGCACAAGAAAACATAGAAAGGTGTGCTAATTTCAGCACTGTTTGTAAAAGCAAACACATGGAAATAGCCTAAGAGTTGAAAACAACCTAGGTAAGGGAATGGATAACAAACCATTGTTTATTCACTAGAAAAAATATCAGACAAAAGTGAAAAATAAAAGTGAATGAATCATGTCTACCTACATCACCAGGTATAATTCTCAAAAACATACAATGTTGACTAAAGCAAAATGACACTAGAATACTTAACATTTGATACCATTTATGTAAAATTTTATACATGAAAATAATATTATATATTGCAGTGGATATATTTATGTTTACTAAGAGTACAAAAACAACATAGGTGAATGGAAACACAAACTAAAGAATAGTATTTATAAGGTGTGAGTGGGAAAGAAGAGGTAGGAGCAGGAAGGGCTTTTGTCTTAGTTGTAGACTTTTTGAAAAAATAGAGAAAATTGAGCCAAATATAGAAAAATATTAATATCTCCTGGGCATCAATGGGGCCTATAGTTTTCAGTTATTCCTTTGTTTGCAATATTTTATTATTAAAAATTAAAACAAGAATACATGAAATATTGTGACTGCTTTAACATTCAGGTTCTATAGGATCACTGAAAACTACATATGAAAACCAAATTATTTGGTTTCAGTGAATGTGTGAAATGCATTTGGATTTGGTGTCATTGATATACTGCATTTAGGAAGAAATAAATTCAATACACAGGAAACTGATAAATGTATGATTTTATAGAAATAAATATTAAAATGTTTACTTATGAAATCTTGTTCTCCTATTTCCTTCCCTGCTACTCAAATAGAAAAACATGTATCTGAAATCACATATTAAGTCTATGAGAAAATGATATGAAGCACAGATACCATCTCTGTGTAAGTTTTCAGTAATGCTATACATGTAAAAAGTAAATAGTTATTCTTGAAAATAAAGTCAATTTAATATGCCTGATCAATACTGCCCTATGCCATGGTCTAAAAATTTTTATTATTTAAAATGTTACAAAGGCATGATGAACAATTATAATCAATATTTCTCATATTACATTCCATTTGAGTTTAGTAATATGAGATTAGCTTTTTCTTCTTGAGTCATTCTGCTTTACTATCTCATTTTCCTTCAGCAGTAATTATTCCAATTTGTCATGGTGTTACAGCAAAAATCCAAAAAACATAAAAAACTTCTTAGCTCATCTTGGTGCCCTAAATTTTCTTGGATTTCACCAATTTTGTTTATTAGGTCATACACTGTCTAATTATATATTAGCTGAGTTTATGATTTAATATTGATAGTGAGAGTGAAAATAATTTGGCCATTACATTACTCTATTAAAATGGAAAGCTCTATAAACACAGCCAGCTCTTTTTAGCTCCATCTAGTCTTTGTTGCCATTAATCAGCATTGGAGATTGAGAGTTTTAGATCATTATTCTCAAAATTGATACTTGCTCAATTTCATAGCTTACTTTATGTGTCTTGAAAACACATAAAGTAGAGATATCTAAAGAACAAGACCATAGGGTACAGGATTTCCATCAAGCAGAGGGCACTAATTTGCACATATTTTTATTTTGCTAAATGATTACTACCAAGTGCAGATTCACGCTTTGTACTAAGGTAATGTGGAGAGCTTTCAGGAAGGGCTATCCTGGGTCCAGAAGCTTAATGTGTAGGAAATCCAGTATTACAGATTAAACTAGTCTTGTAAGTCTTTGTTCATCTTTACGGTCTCAAGAAGAGAACTATGATCAAAAGAAACTGAAGTGGTAGTCATTTTATTTACATCACGTTCATGTGCATATACTCTGTGCTACAATCTTCAAAATTATGTTTATTGCTCAAATTCTTCCAGAAAACCCAAATCTGGTGTACATTTTATTTCCTTCTTAGATGTTTTACCTGTTTTGTTGGCATGCACAACTTGAGGTAAGCCTGTTTCATCTTATGAGATTGAAACAAAACTCTTTTTGAGCATAAGTATAGAATTGGACAATTCAGAGCAATTAGTGCTCTTATTGTCTCAGTGGGCTCCTTTGAAATGTTTATAGTAGGCTACATTGTGAAGATATTGTGAAAGTATTTTTATGTTTCAAGATAGCAAACACTTTGAATAAATCAGTAAAAATAAATTTTATTGGAAATTTTTGTTTTCACACACATTTTTGCCTTTTCTGTTGATAACCAAACATTAGAGTATTGCTCATTTTTGCAGAATTTAAAGGTGTCTCAAGCAGCAGACTACAAGGATAAATAAAAATTAAAATGTATTTTCCTAGAACACCAGGAAAACATTTTAAATTTGAATTCATTTGGAAATGTATTTGTGTTAAATGTTTTTTGAGTACCTATTCAAAGAATGACTAATTAGGTCCCATTTATTAAACAATAAATGACTCTCGTGTTGCTATCATGGAAGCTACAGTGTAATCAGGTTGACCAGGAACATACATAGGAAAAGTTGAAAAATAAGGCTAAATGACAGCAAGAGTAATGAAGATTACCCTCCACTAAGAATATTAATGCCAGAAGATAAGAGGCCACACAATGGGTTGGAGTGGTGAGAAAATCTATCAGAGTTTGAGCTGTAGAAGTTTAGGATGTAAGAGAAATTTTAAGATGAAACTTTTAGAAAAGCACATTAAATGGGCTAGGGAAACTGAGAATAGAAGGAAGGGGAAAAATTAATAAAGATTTAGCTAAGAAGACAAGGTCAAAGAAAGATGGGGGAGAAAAGAAATTAGGAGGTTGAGTTAGACATTAGCCTTGGGAAAAAAGATGGGCATGTATTCACAGAGAAATATAGAAAGGAAAAGACAAGTTAAAGTTTGAAATGTTTGGAACTTAAACATTTTTTAAAAGACTCTATTTGACATATTGTTTGCATCATATGAAGTTAAAGGTATTAGACTATTTTTTAATTTATACACCAGCACATTCATATGGTTTACAATACTCAATCAGCACTTCCTACTTCTAGCTTTCATATCTTGCTTTCCTTTTCTCTAATATGTGAGGTTTTTATCATAGCCTCACATATTATATAGTTTTTTATTTCCTTTCCCAGCTAGAAAATTATTTTAGGAAGACAGGAATTTTTCTGATGTTATTGTTATTGAAAAACCATTGCAACTAGAACTAGTACTTAATATTGTTAAGTGAATAAATAAGTTTGTTTATACTTTTTGTTTTTGCTCTTCATTATTTTTCCTTGCTTTCTAATTAAAGATGATTTTTGGAATTATCAAAAAGTAAGACATGCATTCAATACAGAGTCAAGGATGATCAAAAGCAGTGTTGCTTCCAAACAGGGCCCAACTGAAACCAGGTAGCATGAATGTGCAGTGGGCAAGGTTGCTGTATTTCTAGGATGAATGCTATGTTAGTCCATTTGCATTTCTTTTTGTAAAGGAATAGCTGAGGTTTATTTGGCTCACAGTTCTGCAGGCTATACTAGCATGGCACCAGCATCTGCTTGGCTTCCTGGTGAGGCCTAGGAAGGTTTTACTCATCACAGAAGGCAAAGGGGGAGCAAGTGTGTCACATGACAAGAGAGAGCAAGCAAGGAGTTGGACAGGGGAGCACCACATGCTTTTAAAGAACCAGATGTCTTGGGAACTCATCCCACTCATTACTGCAGGGATGGCACCAAGCCATTCATGAGGGATCTGCTACCATGCCACAGATGCTTTCTTCCCATCAGGCCCCACCTTCAACACTGGGGATCACATTTTAACATGAGATTTGGAGGGAACAAACATCCAAGCTATATCATATGCTCTTTTAAAAATACTATATTATAAAGTGCTCCTTATAAAGTTCCAGTGGTGGACAAAAAATTGAACTGGACATAATTACTAGAGAAAGGAATTGTTTCGTGTAAGAAACAGGCAGGGCCCAGGTGAGGTTTTCCAGCATAGCCATGAGGCTAATGAAGATAGTAGCCATCAGTTGACAGCTGATCCTAGTAAGGAAAAAAACTTCAGTGGGTCTGGGGAAGTGTGAAATTATGTTTGTAAAGGGGAAGTATGAAGTTTAAGATAGAGGGGATGGTGATCAAATGGAGTTTGTGGGTTCAATCTTCTTCATATCCAGAGAAATAGTATGCATCTCCTTTACTCTGAAAGAACACTGCCTGGCCCTATCAAAGTAGGCAACATTCTTGTCCAGTCACCAAATACCCTCTTCTTCCTACCCTGGTTTATGTGCAATTCTTTTTAAATTCTAGTAACCCCTTTCTTACTCCATTAAGTGTCCATATATATTATCTCTTTCTCTTTCTCTCTCTCTTTCATGCAATACTTCCTGGCATCCATGTTATCACCAATTAAAAGGGTAAAAGGAAAGTTTGCTTTTTTATATTATAAGGATTTCAATCTGACAAAAGGTTTAACTCATTACTCCATAGTTTTCCTTGTGGAAACATATTGAAGAAGACTCAGTCAAAATATTTGTTGGCATAATGTTCATTTTAGGAAATCAGAGCATATCTACTTCCTTTAAATGTCCTGAATCTCCCATCTTATTTGTTGGTATGTCATACAAACAGTTTCTGTGATTTACTGTGAACTTAGTGAATTGAATACCTTTTAATATGATTTTTGTCTATTATTAAACATGTGTAATTAACTTTAAAGAATTTTAATGTTTTATGAGTTGGGAGTTCATTTGACAAAAAAATGACTGGCATGTGTGAAACATTGTGCTAAATAATCAGAAAAGTAACTTTTCATAGAGCATGGTTAATTTTACCTTAACTTAGTAGAGATAGTTATATCATCTTGGCAGTGTTATTCACAATCTCAAACATCTTCCGAGAGAAAGCAGCAGCATTAATTAAAAATTCCAGAGCAAAATTAATGTCAGACTTCAAATAAAAATAATTAATTTTCAAAATTTACCCTCTGCTGGTATTTCGAAGTACAAAATTTATTTACCTTATATTATTAAAATAATGAGATCTAGCATTTATAAAATATTATACATTTGCCTTCTTCATCCAAATGTTTTTACATATACTCCTTAATTTTGCCCTCACCATCACCTATTTTTGACAAACTATTTGACTAAGATTTTAAATATAAAAAGGGCAGTAAGCACTTAATATTTATATCATTTTTTAATTCATCAAAAATGTAAATTGTATCCTCACCAGGAGAGTGAGTCACTAATAGACATAAGAATATGTTGTATTTATAATAAATCTTACAGGGATTGCTTTGTATGCATTTAGACTGCAAATGGGAACTACAATCATGGGAACTGTGTGAATCATTATGTTTCACAGTATGAGATGCCTTGCCTCAACCGTTAAGTGATGAGAGTTTTAGATTGGACTTATTAAATGTGTAATTATATACAGAGATAGCAACATGGACTATTGAGGTTTGAGAAGATTTGTACATACTTTGAACCCTAGAGCACATGACTTCTAAGAAACAAATGGAGGCATAATTTTCAAAATAAATAGCCAATTTTAATTTTTTTTTTTCTGTGGGGGAAACAAAAATTAGTGAAAGTTTGCTAAACTGTTATAGGTTGTGAGTTTTTATGATACCATCTGCTGTTGTAGCATAATTAGATATTTTAAAAATAACATTTAATTTTGTAACAAGTAACCCTTTACATATGTGACTTATAAAGTTACACGTGGTGTATTCTTTTAAGATTTTCATTAATACTAATGGCTTCCTGTCCCCTAAAATGCAAATGATAGGTATTAATAGATAGGTAGGTAGGGAGAGAGAGAGAGAGAGAGAGAGAGAGACTAAGTCTAGCTTATAATTTCAGGGGGATCACAGATCTCTTGAGTCTTTAAGTATCCATTGATCTCGGATGCTCTGCCATGACAGTTGCTTCATATATTTGAATATGTCAATAAACTGCTTATATCCTGGGTATAGAGAACTCACCTGAGGATAGTTATGTTATTTTGATATAAGACCCCTGCTTGAGCTACTCATTTAAAATTTTATAAAGGAAATAAATTGCTTAAATTGAAATCCTCACCAGCTCTTATATTTCTATATAGGGTTTAAACTATTTAGGATTATAAGAGGAATGATATTTAAAAGTTGACGTAGCCAGGCATGGTGGCTCACGCCTGTAATTCCAGCACTTTGGGAGGCTGAGGTGGGCGGATCACAAGGTCAGGAGTTCGAGACCAGCCTGGCCAACATGGTGAAACCCCGTCTCTACTAATAATACAAAAATTAGCTGGGCATGGTGGCACATGCCTGTAATCTCAGCTACTCTAGAGGCTGAGGCAGGAGAATCACTTGAACCTGGGAGGCGGAGGTTGCAGTGAGCCGAGATTGTGCCACTGCACTCTAGCCTAGGCAACAGAGAGAGACTCTGTCAAAAAAAAAAAAAAACAAAAAAAGTTGACATAATTAGGTATACTGTATTTTACTAGGACAATTTTTACTGATGTTATAGTTGCCTAGTTTAAGTTAATAACCTAATTTTGCCCTTTCTTTTTTGTCTTAGGCCTTGAGCATCTTTCCAGATTTTTTCTGCTGAGCTCACCATTATTTTGGCTTTGAAACTCAGTGTGATAGAGGTGATCGTGAGGCATGCCATGTGTAGATGTCTTTCAGCTAATAAATGACCATCCTAAAATTGAGCTTGTCAATAGTGGCTTTTCAGATGAGAGCAGGGACAGAACCTCACCTAGGTATACACTTGGCTTGATTTAAATTACAATTGCACAAAAACAGCAAAGAAGTTAGCAGTAGTTTTGCCCCTTGGTTCTCGAGACCATGTTCATCTGATTACAAAAGACACAGCAAGTGCTGCTCAACCTCCTGCTCCCTTTCTAGGCTTCTAGCCCCTCATTTTGCCTCACAGGAGAGCTCTACTGGACAGACAATTAGCATGGGATTGGAGGCCATTCTCCAGCTTTCTGCATCTGTCAAATGATGGAGAGGGTTTGCCTTTTTCAGATCTTTGTGAAAGGGATCACCCATTTCTTTTAAACATCTAATATATTTCACACAGAATGGCTATAAAAAGTAATCAGTTACATGTATAACACCATTGCTTTCTCAACAATCAGTGAAGACAGTTGAATTTACAGCCAGAAGACAATCACATTATATTGGACCACATATTCATACTTCATTTATTTCTCCCTCAAGTATTGCAGCTGTAATAGCTCCTAGGAAGCTTTAAAAAATATGCAAGAACATTTTAAACTTCCAGGAACACTCAGACTTCAAACTACTTTTTCTTCTTGTATAACATCTTTAAATAATTAATTTTTTTGTTTCTTTTTTAGTGTTCTGGTTTGGGAAATATTAAGATAACTGGAAATGGGAAAAAAAAGGAGAAGGAATTTGTGATTTTTCAATTTCCATGAAATCAACAACCTTGCTTCCTAGAGTGGATTCTTACAGAGGTCAATAGTACACTTGTGTGTTGTTGAAAATTGTTAACACTCCTATCTAAAAGCCACAGGATAGTATTCCAAAGACTGTGAACAACAACTCCAGGGCTCCCAGGGATCCTCAGTTGCTGTTACCACCAGTGGATTTTTTTCAAAAGCATTTTTAAGAAATGGTCATAAGCAGGAATCAAATGGTTTGGAATGAATCTGTTTTGTTGGAAGAAGGGGTTTAATTAACTTTCGAGCTGCACAAATTAATCTGGACTTTAGTGAGGGCCTGAAAATTGATTAAAATGTGAGCACCTTTTCAGAAAGTATTTGACCAGGAAATAAATTCATTTCTTCAAGGTCAGTGACCCTACAAGTTGACAAGTGATTCAGATTAATACACACTTGGGTTTCAAGTTTCACCTATTGCTTGGCAGAAGCTTCTGCCCCATCCCCCACCCCCAGTGCTGCTTGTCATCCACCTGATCTAGTTGTCACCTTTTCTTCTGGACTGTTTTTCTGACAGAAACCCTTTGCAGAGTTTTTGGCTGGGGGGTGGGGAGGTGGTTGGGGGGCATTGCAATCAGTGCAACGTTTCATTTTAGTTGTTTTATTGAAGATTTAATCAACATTATGATTTAAAAATAAGGCAGAAAATAACTTCACCTAGATTAAACTTACCTCTTAAAGATAATAAATGTCCATCAAACAGAATGATTTGTAAAATAGTTTCATAAAATCCTACTTGATTTAATGACCTACCTAATTTTTGCAGTGTCTTTTATTTTTTCTTCTTGGGGGCTAAACACACATAACACGCACTCATGCACGTGCACACACACACAGGCATATACATAGACACTCCAAGCATTTGGAGACTCTCCTCTATATTATCTAGTAATACAAGCTCAGAGGTCAAGCCTTACTGTAAGAGAATATGGAAATAATTAGAGAAATTTTGTGTGAGAGTAAATGAAGAGACTATTTATTCTAAGAAGAGAGGAAATTGTAAAAATAAAAAGTCTCATCATTGATTTCAAAGGAGAACTTGAAACAGGATTCAATCTTGCTACCCTCATTTAAAAAATAAGAAATTGTGGTCTTAGAAGGTTCTGATCTACCACATTCTTTCATAGTTCACATGAAGTGGCAATGGGATGATTTAAGGTGTTTTTATTTCCCCTTGATTTAATGTCAAGTATAATTTAGTGGACAATTATATGTAACACCTTTGATAATTAATTTTCCACTCCAAATTAGGCTTTGGCAATCCTCTTATCCTGGTGTCATTATTCTTATAGAATACTGTACACGTTAACTTTGTTTTCTTTTCTCATTCCCTATTAATGCTTGTTTTTTCAAATAAATATTAACTATTCCACATAACTTCTAAGTAAAGTTTCAGACTTTAATAATACATTTTTTTAATTACAGAGTCAGCATATTCTTTGCAAAAAAAATCCTTAGCAAATACCTAGAGAAGGTAGAGTTTAGCGGAGCAGGAATTTTCTTCATCTTTTAAATTAAAAAATTGAACCAACTCTCCATGTACTTCAACAACTTTTTACCCTCAAAAGAGAAGAGTTTTAACATCATTAAATCCGAACATATATTTGAAAAAATTAGAAATAATGGCCTTATCAGATAGTTACTTATACTTTTTTTTAATTTTATTATTATTATACTTTAAGTTTTAGGGTACATGTGCACCACGTACAGGTTTGTTACATATGTATACATGTGCCATGTTGGTGTGCTGCACCCATTAACTCGTCGTTTAGCATTAGGTATATCTCCTAATGCTATCCCTCCCTGCTCCCCCCACCCCACAACAGTCCCCGGTGTGTGATGTTCCCCTTGTTGTGTTCATGTGTTCTCATTGTTCAATTCCCACCTATGAGTGAGAACATGCGGTGTTTGGTTTTTTGTCCTGGCAATAGTTTGCTGAGAATGATGGTTTCCAGCTTCATCCATGTCCCTACAAAGGACATAAACTCATCATTTTTTATGGCTGCATAGTATTCCATGGTGTATATGTGCCACATTTTCTTAATCCAGTCTATCATTGTTGGACATTTGGGTTGGTTCCAAGTCTTTGCTATTGTGAATAGTGCTGCAATAAACATACATGTGCATGTGTCTTTATAGCAGCATGATTTATAATCCTTTGGGTATATACCCAGTAATGGGATGGCTGGGTCAAATGGTCTTTCTAGTTGTAGATCCCTGAGGAATCGCCACACCGACTTCCACAATGGTTGAACTAGTTTACAGTCCCACCAACCATGTGAAAGTGTTCCTGTTTCTCCACATCCTCTCCAGCACCTGTTGTTTCCTGACTTTTTAATGATCACCATTCTAACTGGTGTGAGATGGTATCTCATTGTGGTTTTGATTTGCATTTCTCTGATGGCCAGTGATGATGAGTTTTTTCATGTGTTTTTTGGCTGCATAAATGTCTTCTTTTGAGAAGTGTCTGTTCGTATACTTTGCCCACTTTTTGATGGGGTTGTTTGGTTTTTTTCTTGTAAATTTGTTTGAGTTCATTGTAGATTCTGGATATTAGCCCTTTGTCAGATAAGTAGGTTGCAAAAATTGTCTCCCATTTTGTAGGTTGCCTGTTCACTCTGATGGTAGTTTCTTTTGCTGTGCAGAAGCTCTTTAGTTTAATTAGATCCCATTTGTCAATTTTGTCTTTTGTTGCCATTGCTTTTGGTGTTTTAGACATGAAGTCCTTGCCCATGCCTATGTCCTGAATGGTATTGCCTAGATTTTCTTCTAGGGTTTTTATGGTTTTAGGTCTAACCTGTAAGTCTTTAATCCATCTTGAATTAATTTTTGTATACTGTGTAAGGAAGGGATCCAGTTTCAGCTTTCTACATATGGCTAGCCAGTTTTCTCAGCACCATTTATTAAATAGGGGATCCTTTCCCCATTTCTTGTTTTTGTCAGGTTTGTCAAAGATCTTATAGTTGTAGATATGCGGCATTATTTCTGAGGGCTCTGTTCTGTTACATTGGTCTGTATCTGCTTTGGTACCAGTACCATGCTGTTTTGGTTACTGTAGCCTTGTAATATAGTTTGAAGTCAGGTAGCGTGATGCCTCCAGCTTTGTTCTTTTGGCTTAGGATTGACTTGGCGATGCAGGCTCTTTTTTGGTTCCATATGAACTTTAAAGTAGTTTTTTTCCAATTCTGTGAAGAAAGTCATTGGTAGCTTGATGGGGATGGCATTGAATCTATAAATTACCTTGGGCAGTATGGCCATTTTCACAATATTGATTCTTCCTACCCATGAGCATGGAATGTTCTTCCATTTGTTTGTATCCTCTTTTATTTCCTTGAGCAGTGGTTTGTAGTTCTCCTTGAAGAGGTCCTTCACGTCCCTTGTAAGTTGGATTCCTAGGTATTTTATTCTCTTTGAAGCAATTGTGAATGGGATTTCACTCATGATTTGGCTCTCTGTTTGTCTGTTATTGGTGTATAAGAATGCTTGTGATTTTTGCACATTGATTTTGTATCCTGAGACTGCTGAAGTTGCTTATCAGCTTAAGGAGATTTTGGGCTGAGATGATGGGGTTTTCTAGATACACAGTCATGTCGTCTGCAAACAGGGACAATTTGACTTCCTCTTTTCCTAATTGAATACCCTTTATTTCCTTCTCCTGCCTGATTGCCCTGGCCAGAACTTCCAACACTATGTTGAATAGGAGTGGTGAGAGAGGGCATCCCTGTCTTGTGCCAGTTTTCAAAGGGAATGCTTCCAGTTTTTGCCCATTCAGTATGATATTGGCTGTGGGTTTGTCATTGATAGCTCTTATTATTTTGAGATACGTGCCATCAATACCTAATTTGTTGAGAGTTTTTAGCATGAAGTGCTGTTGAATTTTGTCAAAGGCCTTTTCTGCATCTATTGAGATAATCATGTGGTTTTTGTGTTTGGTTCTGTTTATATGCTGGATTATGTTTATTGATATTCGTTTGTTGAACCAGCCTTGCATCCCAGGGATGAAGCCCACGTGATCATGGTAGATAAGCTTTTTGATGTGCTGCTGGATTCGTTTTGCCAGTATTTTATTGAGGATTTTTGCATCGATGTTCATCAAGGATATTGGTCTAAAATTCTCTTTTTTTGTTGTGTTTCTGCCAGACTTTGGTATCAGGATGATGCTGGCCTCATAAAATGAGTTAGGGAGGATTCCCTCTTTTTCTATTGATTGGAAGAGTTTCAGGAGGAATGGTACCAGTTCCTCCTTGTACCTCTGGTAGAATTCGGCTGTGAATCCATCTGGTCCTGGACTTTTTTTGGTTGGTAAGCTATTAATTATTGCCTCAACTTCAGAGCTTGTTATTTGTCTATTCAGAGATTCACCTTCTTCCTGGTTTAGTCTTGGGAGGGTGTATGTGTACAGGAATTTATCCATTTCTTCTAGATTTTCTAGTTTATTTGCATAGAGGTGTTTGTAGTATTCTCTGATGGTAGTTTGTATTTCTGTGGGATCGGTGGTGATATCCTCTTTATCATTTTTTATTGCGTCTATTTGATTCTTCTCTCTTTTCTTTATTAGTCTTGCTAACAGTCTATCAATTTTGTTGATCTTTTCAAAAAACCAGCTCCTGGATTCACTGATTTTTTGAACGGTTTTTCATGTCTCTATTTCCTTCAGTTCTGCTCTGATCTTAGTTACTTCTTGCCTTCTGCTAGGTTTTGAATGTGTTTGCTCTTGCTTCTGTAGTTCTTTTAATTGTGATGTTAGGGTGTCAATTTTGGATCTTTCCTGCTTTCTCTTGTGGGCATTTAGTGCTATAAATTTCCCTCTACATACTGCTTTGAATGTGTCCCAGAGATTCTGGTATGTTGTGTCTTTGTTCTCGTTGGTTTCAAAGAACATCTTTATTTTAGCCTTCATTTCGTTATGTACCCAGTAGTCATTCAGGAGCAGGTTGTTCAGTTTCCATGTAGTTGAGTGGTTTTGAGTGAGTTTCTTAATCCTGAGTTCTAGTTTGATTGCACTATGGTCTGACAGACAGTTTGTTATAATTTCTGTTCTTTTGCATTTGCTGAGGAGTGCTTTACTTCCAACTATGTGGTCAATTTTGGAATAGGTGTGGTGTGGTGCTGAAAAAAATGTATATTCTGTTGATTTTGGGTGGAGAGTTCTGTAGATGTCTATTGGGTCCACTTGGTGCAGAGCTGAGTTCAATTCCTGGATATCCTCGTTGACTTTCTGTCTCATTGATCTGTCTAATGTTGACAGTGGGGTGTTAAAGTCTCCCACTATTATTGTGTGGGAGTCTAAGTCTCTTTGTAGGTCACTCAGGACTTGCTTTATGAATCTGGGTGCTCCTGTATTGGGTGCATATATATTTAGGATAGTTAGCTCTTCTTGTTGAATTGATCCCTTTACCATTATGTAATGGCCTTCTTTGTCTCTTTTGATCTTTGCTGGTTTAAAGTCTGTTTTATCAGAGACTAGGATTGCAACCCCTGCTTTTTTTTGTTTTCCATTTGCTTGGTAGATCTTCCTCCATCCCTTTATTTTGAGCCTATGTGTGTCTCTGCATGTGAGATGGGTTTCCTGAATACGGCACACTGATGGATCTTGACTCTTTATCCAATTTACCAGTCTGTGTCTTTTAATTGGAGCATTTAGCCCATTTACATTTAAGGTTAATATTGTTATGTGTGAATTTGATCCTGTCATTATGATGTTAGCTAGTTATTTTGCTCATTAGTTGATGCAGTTTCTTCCTAGCCTCGATGGTCTTTACAATTGGCATGTTTTTGCAGTGGCTGGTAGCGGTTGTTCCTTTCCATGTTTAGTGCTTCCTTCAGGAGCTCTTTTAGGGCAGGCCTGGTGGTGACAAAATCTCTCAGCATTTGCTTGTCTGTAAAGTATTTTATTTGTCCTTCACTTATGAAGCTTAGTTTGGCTGGATATGAAATTCTGGGTTGAAAATTCTTTTCTTTAAGAATGTTGAATATTGGCCCCCACTCTCTTCTGGCTGGTAGAGTTTCTGCTGAGAGATCAGCTGTTAGTCTGATGGACTTCCCTTTGTGGGTAACCTGACCTTTCTCTCTGGCTGTCCTTAACATTTTTTCCTTCATTTCAACTTTGGTGAATCTGATAATTATGTGTCTTGGAGTTGCTCTTCTCGAGGATTATCTTTGTGGCATTTTCTGTATTTCCTGAACTTGAGTGTTGGCCTGCTTTGCTCGATTGGGGAAGTGCTCCTGGATAATATCCTGCAGAGTGTTTTCCAACTTGATTCCATTCTCCCCATCACTTTCAGGTACACCAATCAGATGTAGATTTGGTCTTTTCACATAGTCCCATATTTCTTGGAGGCTTTGTTCATTTCTTTTTATTCTTTTTTCTCTAAACTTCTCTTCTTGCTTCATTTCATTCATTTCTTCTTCCATCGCTGATATACTTTCTTCCAGTTGATCGCATTGGCTACTGAGGCTTGTGCATTCATCACGTAGTTCTCGTGCCATGGTTTTCAGCTCCATCAGGTCCTTTAAGGACTTCTCTGCATTGGTTATTCTAGTTACCATTCATCTAATTTTTTTTCAAGGTTTTTAACTTCTTTGCCATTGGTTCAGACTTCCTCCTTTAGCTCAGAGTAGTTTGATCTTCTGAAGCCTTCTTCTCTCATCAAAGTCTTTCTCCATCCAGCTTTGTTCTGTTGCTGGTGAGGAGCTGTGTTCCTTTGGAGGGGGAGAGGCGCTCTGATTTTTTGAGTTTCCAGTTTTTCTGCTCTGTTTTTTCCCCATCTTTGTGGTTTTATCTACCTTTGGTCTTTGATGATGGTGACGTACAGATGCGTTTTTGGTGTGGATGTCCTTTCTGTTTGTTAGTTTTCCTTCTAACAGTCAGGACCCTCAGTTGCAGGTCTGTTGGAGTTTGCTGGAGGTCCACTCCAGACCCTGTTTGCCTGGGTATCAGCAGCAGTGGCTCCAGAACAGCAGATATTGGTGAACCGCAAATGCTGCTGCCTGATCGTTCCTCTGGAAGTTTTGTCTCAGAAGAATACCTGGTGGTGTGAGGTGTCAGCCGCCCCTACTTGGGGGTGGCTCCCAGTTAGGCTCCTCAGGTGTCAGGGACCCACTTGAGGAGGCAGTCTGCCTGTTCTCAGATCTCCAGCTGCGTGCTGGGAGAACCACTACTCTCTTCAAAGCTGTCAGACAGGGACATTTTCGTCTGCAGAGGTTACTGCTGCCTTTTGTTTGTCTGTGCCCTGCCCCCAGAGGTGGAGTCTACAGAGGCAGGCAGGCCTCCTTGAGCTGTGGTGGGCTCCACCCAGTTCGAGCTTCCTGGCTGCTTTGTTTACCTACTCAAGCCTGGGCAATAGCAGGTGCCCCTCCCCCAGCATTGCTCCCACCTTGCAGTTTGATCTCAGACTGCTGTGCTAGCAATGAGGAAGGCTCCGTGGGCATAGGACAATCTCAGCCATGTGTGGGATATAATCTCCTGGTGTGCCGTTTGTTAAGCCTGTTGGAAAAGCATAGTATTAGGGTGGGAGTGACCCAATTTTCCAGGTGCCATCAGTCACCCCTTTCTTTGACTAGGAAAGTGAATTCCCTGACTTGTTGCGCTTCCTGGGTGAGGCGATGCCTTTCCCTGCTTCGGCTCACACATGGTGCACTGCACCCACTGTCCTGCATCCACTGTCCGGCACTCCCCAGTGAGATGAACCCGGTACCTCAGTTGGAAATGCAGAAATCACCCGTTTTCTGTGTCGCTCACGCTGGGAGCTGCAGACTGGAGCTGTTCCTATTCGGCCGTCTTGGCCTACTTATACTTTTTAAAACATACTTTTAGTTCTGTGCAGGATGTGCAGGTTTGTTACATAGTATACACTTGCCATGGTGGTTTGCTGCACCCATCAACCCGTCATCTACATAGGTATTTCTCCTAATGCTATCCCTCCCCTAGCCCCCCACCCCCAACAGGCCACAGTGGGTAATGTTCCCCTCCCTGTGTCCATGTGTTCTCATTGTTCAGCTCCCACTTATGAGTGAGAACATGCATTGTTTTGTTTTCTGTTCCTGTGTTAGTTTGCTGAGAATGATGATTTCCAGCTTCATCCATGTCCCTGCAAAGGACATGAACTCATCCTTTTTCATGGCTGCATAGTATTCCGTCGTGTATATGTGCCACATTTTCTTTATCCAGTCTATCATTGGTGGGCATTTGGGTTGGTTTGAAGTCTTTGCTGTTGTGAACAGTGTTGCAATAAACATATGTGTGCATGTGTCTTTATAGTTGAATGATTTATAATCCTTTGAGTATATACCCAGTAATGGGATTGCTGGGTCAAATGGTATTTCTGGTTCTAGATCCTTGAGGAATCACCACACTGTTTTCCACAATGGTTGAACTAATCCACACTCCCACCAACAGTGTAGAAGTGTTCCTATTTCTCCACATCCTCTCCAGCATCTGTTTTTTCCTAACTTTTTAATGATCGCCATTCTATCTGGCATGAGATGGTATCTCATTGTGGTTTTGATTTGCAGTTATCTAATGACCAGTGATGATATGCTTTTTTTCATATGTCTGTTGGCCTCATAAATGTCTTCTTTTGACAAGTGTCTGTTCATATCCTTTGCCCACTTTTTGTTGGTATTGTTTGTTTTTTTTCTTTTGAATTTAAGTTTTTTGTATCTTCTGGATACTAGCCCTTTGTCAGATGTATAGAATGCAAAAAATTTTCCGATTCTGTAGGTTACCTCTTCACTCTGATGATAGTTTCTTTTGCTGTGCAGAAGCTCTTTAGTTTAATTAGATCCCATTTGTCAATATTGGCTTTTGTTGCCATTGCTTTTGGTGTTTTAGTCATGAAGTCTTTGTCCATGGCCATGTCTGGAATGGTATTGCCTAGGTTCTTTTCTAGGGTTTTTATGGTTTTAGGTTTTGCATTGAAGTCTTTAATCTATCTTAAGTTAATTTTTGTATGAGGTGTAAGGAAGGGGTCCGGTTTCAGATTTCTGCATATGGCTGGCCAGTTTTCCCAATGACATTTATTAAATAGGAAATCCTCTCCTCATTGCTTGTTTGTATCAGGTTTGTCAAAAAACAGATGGTTGTATATGTGTGGCATTATTACTGAGACCTCTATTATGTTCCATTGGTCTATATATCTGTTTTGGTACCAGTACCATGCTGTGTTGGTTACTGTAGCCTTGTAGTATAGTTTGAAGTCAGGTAGCCTGATGCCTCCAGCTTTGTTCTTTTTACTTACTATTGTCTTGGCTATACACACTGTTATTTGGCTCCATATGAAATTTAAAGTAGTGTTTTCTAATTCAGTGAGGAAAGTCAATTGTAGCTTGATGGGGATAGCATTGAATCCATAAATTACTTTGGGCAGTATGGCCATTTTCACCATAATGATTCTTCCTATTCATGAGCATGGAATATTTTTCCATTTGTTTGTGTCCTCTCTTATTTCCTTGAGCAATGGTTTGCAGTTCTCCTTGAAGAGGTCCTTCACATCCCTTTAAGTAGTATTCCTAGGTATTTTATTCTCTTTGTAGCAATTGTGAATGGGAGTTCACTCATGACTTGACTCTCTGCTTGTCTATTATTGGTATATAGGAATGCTTGTGATTTTTGCACATTGATTTTGTATCCTGAGACTTTGCTGAAGTTGCTTATCAGCTTAAGTAGATTTGGAGCTGAGACAATGGGGTTTCCTAAATATGCAATCTTGTCATCTGCAGATGGAGACAATTTGACTTCCTCTCTTCCCATTTGAATACCCTTTATTTCTTTCTCTTTCCTGGTTGCCCTGGTCAGAACCTCCAATACTATGTTGAATAGAAGTGGTGAGAGAAGGCATCTTGTCTTGTGCCAGTTTTCAAAGGGAATGCTTCCAGCTTTTGCCCAATCAGTATGATATTGGCTGTGGGTTTGTCATAAATAGCTCTTATTATTTTGAGATACAGTCCATCAATACCTAGTTTATTGAGAGTTCTTAGCATGATGGGGATTTGAATTTTATTGAAGGCCTTTTCTGCATCTATTGAGATAATCATGTGGTTTTTGTCATTGGTTCTGTTTATGTAATGGATTATGTTTATTGATTTGTGTATATTGAGCCAGGCTTGCATCCCAAGGATGAAGCCGACTTGATCATGGTGGATAAGTTTTTGATGTGCTGCTAGATTTGGTTTGCCAGTGTTTTATTGAGGATTTTTGCATCGATGTACATCAGGGATATTTGCCTGAAATTTTCTTTTTTTGTTGTGTCTCTGCCAGTTTTTGGTATCAGGATGATGCTGGCCTCATAAAATGAGTTAGAGAGGAGTCCCTCTTTTTCTATTGTTTAGAATAGTTTCAGAAGGAATGGTACCAGCTTCTTTTTGTACCTCTGGTAGAATTCGGCTGTGAATCTATCTGGTCCTGGGCTTTTCTTGGTTGATAAATTACTGCCTTAATTTCAAACATTCAAGTCTGCTGAAGCTGTGCCTACAGCTGCCCCTTCCCCCAGGTGCTCTGTCCCAGGGAGATGGGAGTTTTACCTATAAGCCCCTGACTGGGGCTACTGTCTTTCTTTCAGAGATGCCCTGCCCAGAGAGGAGGAATCTAGAGCAGCAATCTGACTACAGCGGTTTTGCTGAGCTGCAGAGGGCTCCTCCCAGTTTGAACTTCCCGAGTGGCTTTGTTTGCACTGTGAGGGGAAAACCGCCTACTCAAGCCTCAGTAATGGTGGACAGCCCTCCCCTTACCAAGCTCGAGTGTCCCTGGTTGACTTCAGACTGCTGTGCTTGCAGCAAGAATTTCAAGCCAGTGGATCTTAGCTTGCTGGGCTCTTTGCGGGGTGGGATCCACTGAGTTAGACCACTTGGCTCCCTGGCTTCAGCCCCCTTTCCAAGGGAGTGAACGGTTTTGTCTCGCTGGAGTTCCAGGCACCACTGGTGTCTGAAAAAAAACTCTTGCATCTAGCTCGGTATCTGTCCAAATGGCTGCCCAGTTTTGTGCTTGAAACCTAGGGCCCTGGTAGCATAGGCACCCAAGGGGATCTCCTGTTTTGCGGATTGCAAACACTGTGGGAAAAGTGGAGTATCTGGGCCGGATTACACAATTTCTCAAGGGACAGTCCCTCACAGCTTCCGTTGGCTAAAGGAGGGAGTTCCCAGATCCCTTGTGCTTCCTGGGTGTGTTGACACTCCACCCTGCTTCAGCTTGCCCTCTGTGGGCTGCACCCAGTGTCTAGCCAGTCCTAATGAGAAGAACCAGGTACCTCAGTTGGAAATGCAGAAATCACTCACCTTTTTCCCATTTTCCCTCACTTTTCTCTATGCTTTGCTCTCCAGCCATCTTGGACTTTCTCTAATTTCATAAATATGTCACTATCCATTCATCTTTAAGACTTGAGTACTATTTTTTATGTGCGGAGCACTCTTCACTGTGTTTTCTATTATTTATCTTCTATCCTTAGGATCTCTGCTTGAAAGTCAATTTCCCAGGCCAGGTGCGGTGGCTCACACCTGTAATCCCAGCACTTTGGGAGGCCAAGGCAGACGGATTGCCTTAGGTCAGGAGTTCCAGACCAGCCTAGCCAACATGGTGAAACCCCATCTCTACTAAAAATATGAAAATTAGCCGGGCGTGATGGTGGGCTCCTGTAATTCCAGCTACTCAGGAGGCTGAGACAGGAGAATTGCTTGAGCCCGAGTGGCAGAGTTTGCAGTGAGCTGAGATCATGCCATTGCACTCCAGCCTGGGTGACAAGAAACTCCATTTCAAAAAAAAAAGGTCAGTTTCTCATAAGGGCCTTCCCATTCTCCCAAGATTATGTTAGATTTCTTGTGCTCTATAATAATCTCTCCTATAATTCTATAATTTATCTTGACAGTGCTTAACTACAGTTAGTAATTTTATCTATCATTTACCTACCTATATGTTTGTCCATCTGTCCATTCATCCATCCATCTACATATCTGTCATCTATCTATCCATTTATTCATCTATCTACCTATCTATCATCTATCATTTATCCATCCATCCACTCACCCACCCGCTGACCTACCTACCTACCTACTTGCCTACCTGCTTACACAACTACCTAGGGTGATAGTTAATGTTTATCTCCCTCTTAGATCATAAACGCCATGGAGTTCTTGTACTTTGTTAGTCACAGAACAAAACATATAGTATGTACTCAAGAAATATTTTTTGAGTGAGTGAATGAATGAATAAATGAATATAATCTGATAAAAATCTCAATCTGTTCAATTGTATTTTGACTATCATGATTGAGGAATGTGTTATTCAAAGATTTACAAAGTGCACTAGCAGAAAAGCATTATCTTTGCTATCCATTTGATGGTATGACTAGGGTGTAAAGAGTATAGGAATAATACTATTTTATATGCATAATGACTGATAATTTTCAAATCAGAGAAAAATGCCCTCCATTTCCAATGATGTACACTGATAGATAAGAAAATATAAATCTTTGAAGTAGAATATTAGATAATTTCGCCCTTTTTGGCATATCATATAAATGAAATCATTCAATATGTAGCATTTGTTTTCTGCCTCCTTTAACAAAATGCATTTAAGATTTATTTATGTTGCTATGTATCAGTGTTTTTTTCTATTAATTGCTAAGTGTCATTCCATTATAGGTATGTAAGTTCTTTTGAGTCATTCACCTGGTGAAGGACATGTTAGTTGTTCCCAGCTTGTGGTGTTTCACATACAAGTCTTGTGTCAATATAGATTTACAATTTATAATACTTGAATAAATACCAAGAATTTAGATTGAGTGTGTATATTTAATGTTATTAAAAACTACCAAATTATTTTCCAAAATTATTGCATTTTTACATTTCCACCAGAAGTGAGTTCCTATTACTCAACATTTTCCATAGCAATTGACAGTGTCAATCATTGAACTTTTAGCCATGGTAACACATAAGTACTGATTTCTCATTGTGGTTATAATTTAGATATTCCAAATGTCTAATCAAGCTGAATATCTTTTCAAATACTTATATGAAAACATGTCTGTTAAAAAATTTGTCCATTAAAATAACTTTTTCAGCTATAAACAAGTAGAATATTAGAATATCCATAATTATGCTTCCCCATATGAGAAGTCTAACAAGCAGAACCATAAGTTGCCCCATGAGATGCAGAAAAGACATATGATAAAATTTATTCTTTATTATTTATTTTAAAAATAACAAAATAGGAAAATATAATGAGTTTTTTTGAGACATAGTCTCACTCTGTCACCCAGGCTGGAGTGCAGTGGTATGATCATGGTTCAATGCAGCCTTGACCTTCCGGGCTCAGGTGATCCTCCTGCCTCAGCCTCCAGGGTAGCTGGGACTAGAGGTGCATGCACAATGCCTGGGTAATTTTTTGTGTTTTTAGTAGAGACAGGGTTTTGCTGTGTTGCTCAGGCTGGTCTCAAACTCCTGGGCTCAAACAATCTGCCTGCCTTGGCGTCCCAAAGTGCTGGGACTACAGGTGTGAGCCACCATGCCTGTCCTATAGTGATTTTTTAATATACAAATTCATTTAAAAATAATCTCTGTTTTCTCATATATATCAATCATGGAGATTCAGGGGTATTTCTCCTTATATATTTCTTACCCCCAAATCAGCATTATACTTGATAGTGAATAATGAGCATATACATTATAGTCAGGAAAAATGTCAGGATGCCCATTCTCATCACTATCTTTTAACATTGTTTTGAAATTACTGTTAAGGAGTGGGATTAAAAAGATTAGGTGGTGGAAAGATGATGATTTTTGTTTCTAAGGTTTTTCTTTTTTGCTTTATTCCTTTATATGTTATTTATATTTATTACTTTCAAAAAATAAAAACATTATCACTACAAACAGCCATCTCTATATATAAAGTTTACGTTACATAGCATGGTCTATATTAAAAAAGAATTAGAGTCTGACTCACTTCTCAAACTTGCTAAATTCTGTTACTTGGGACTATTGAGAGCAGAAGATTGTAGATTTAGGGGTAGGAGTTAGGCAAAAGTAGAAATAAACCAGGTTGGAGATTTTAGGGTGAGAGGCAGACATTAGTTTTGGTCAATACCATTGTGGAATTTGGAACCAGGTGAAATAAATCATTAAGATTCAGGTGTCAACATAGTCCACCAAGCTTTGAACTAAGGAAGTGTATAGTAAGTACTTCCTACATATCAGGCACAACTTATTTTGGCTGAGTTAATTCTATAAATTTTCTTAAAAAGTAGAACTAGCCATCTTTATTTTACACTGGGGAAATATAGAGAGAAACTAAGTAATCTAGGAAGGCTTGGACTTGAACCCATGTCGGTCTAACTGTAAAGACTACACTCTTAACTACTGAAGTATACTTCTACTTATTTGGAAGCAGCAGCTCTGAACTTCAGGCGAATCTATCAGATTAATTCTGTTGGTTTATCTTTCCCACATGGATACCGTCACTATTTTGAATACTACTTTCAAACTCAGATTTTCCCAGTAATTTACAGGGACTACATTGATTTTTTAAAGCATTTTTCAGAATTTTTTGCCTATAGGTGTATTTTTCAAACTCTGGATTCGAACCCAGTAATAGGTCATGGAATCAATCTAGTGGATTGTGATTAGCATATTTTTTCTTCTTTTATCTTTTCTTCACTCAGACCCAAAGCATCAACACTCATTAGGTAAGCTGCTGCTGACAAAAAATATTGTCATCCTAATAGTGTATTTTAAATGTAATAATGCAGAATAGGAATATGGGGATAAATAGAAAATATCAGAGTTTATTAAACATAGTGATGACGAATATTCCGTGAGACATTATTTCCAAATATACATAGACACACATATTCTTTACATTGAAAGGTTTAAAAGCTACTGGCCTATAGAATATCTTGGCTTCAGATTAAGTGCTCTTTTGTTTCCTGATTTTTATTTCAAGTAAATAAGTCTTGTCGCCCTAATAAAATAAACCTAACTGCAAGCGTAAACATAAAATGGCATACATCTCTAAGTTTATTATTGCACCTAAACTGATGCTTGGCACATAACAGGTTCTCAACAAATATTGTAATAATTGTAAATGTAGGTGAAGAGGCCAGGATAGCACTGGGGAACAGTGGGCAGCTGGCCAAATCCATAGCTAAGCTCTCATAGCTCTGGCCTCCAAAACTGCTAGACCAAGGCAGGACTGAGGGACACGAAACAACAAGATGCAAGGTGTCAGATAGGAGCACTGATTATTTCATGTGGCTTGTCTTTTTTCTGATGATCAATGTGGAAAATATGCACTACAAAGAAGGGGAAAAATACACGTATAATCCTAAAACTGAAAGGTAACCACGATTATTTATTACATTTACAGCCTATTAACATTTGCTACATCTTTCTCCTGTCTTTCCTGTAGTATTACTCTGGTAGTAGCCTATGCATATGCCTTACCATATAATAAATTCTCTTCATAATTATAGTTTTATTGGTTATATAATAGCAAATTCTAGCTCTGTTTCATAGCTTATTCAAGCATTCTCTTACTGTCAAAAAGTTAGATTGTTTCTAATTTGTAATATAAATTATGACCTAACTAGCAGCTTTATGTAAAACTTTTCCTGATTTTTTTATTTCCTTGGATTCTCAAAAATGAAATAAATTGATTTAAAAAATGGACTTTTAAAGGCTCTTGATATATATTATGAGGTCTTGGATCATTCATTGTGATCAAATTTTAAATGGCAAGGCAGTGTTCTAGGACATCCCACTTAAAGGGCCATTGTATTTCTCATATGGATTGATTTTTGATGATTTTAATTACTCATATGCATTTCCTCTTTTGCTACCTGAAAGTATCCATTGAGTTAAATCTAAAAAGTCTCAATTGACCTACAGAGCAATTACCATTTCCCTTACAAATGTTTGCAAAGCCAGAATTTTAACTGTAAATGAGGTTTGTGCATCTATGTTTGGATTGCATATGATGTCTCAGATTTAGGGTACTGATATGGATAAAAGACTTATCCTTTGTTCAAACAATAGTAATATACTGTCTTTATTTTTTCGTTGTATGTAGTGAAGCATGTTGCTTTTCTATATTTATCAACACTGCCCGCAATGTGAGTGGGTGGAATGGAGGATTAATAAGGAAACCTTGAAGCCAACTTATTTTTATGTGTTTCCTAGTTTATTAGAATAGAATCGTATTTTCTTTCTATTCCTCTAACAGTTTATTTTTTTTCCTCAAGCAGACAAATCTTTGTTGTCTAGGAACAAAATTTATATAATGCTCCAGTTATGATAAATCTTCTGATATAGGGGGAGATATTTCTGGTGATAAATTAGACATTTTCTGTAGCCTAGCATTTGATCACAACTATCAAATCTGCCAGCATATATTGAGTTGCCATGATGGTGATTAAGAAACACATATTTCACCAAGTTATATTAAGTTCACTCAATTCTTCTGTTCTTTTTTTTTCTCCAGGTTCCATTAAAAATCAGATTAAAAGAATACCATGAGAGAATGTGCAAGTTAACCTATTCTACCTCTCCCCCTTTTCTGCATCTCAGGACACTTTTCAGGACCCCTTACTATCTCAGGGACTCAGCCAAAGGCATCACAGTAGGTTCAGTCAAAGGCAGTGCCATGGAATGAATGTCTGTGTCCCCTTAAACTCATATGTTGAAGCCCTAACCCTAAATATAACTGTATTTGGAGATGGGACCTCCTAGGAAGTAATTAAGGTTAAACGAGGTCATAAGAGTGGGGCCTTGATCCAGTAGGATTAGTATCCTTATAAGAGACACCAGAGAGCGCGTGTGTGCACTTTCTGTCTTTCTGTCTCTCTCTCCCTGTTTTTCTCCCTGTCTCTCTTTATCTCTTTGTGTGTCTTTCTGTCTCTCTGTCTCTCTCTCTCCTGTGCATGTACCAAGGAAAGGCCATGTGAGGACATATGGAGAAGGTGGCTGTCTACAAGCCAGGAACAGAGCCCTCACCAAAAACTGAATTGGCCAGAAACTTGATCTTGGACTTCTAGCCCCTAGAACTGTAAGAAAATATTTCTGTGCTTTTTAAGTTACCCAGTCTATGGTATTTTTTTATGGAAGCCCAAACCGAATACCAGAAGGTGGGGGTCAACAGTTTGAGGACAGGAGGAGGGGGAGGTCTGCTTACTTCTCACCATTTCCTTCTGCATCCTGTGTTGTCTCTGCAAGTGCTTCTCTTTCATAACTCCAGTCCCTCAAAGAAGACATGCACCCTGAGATCCCACTTCTGACCAAGATGTTTTTTCCCCCATGCCTCTGGCTCCCACACAGTGGAAAGCGCTCCCTTCCATTGTCCCTCCTGCCCTAGAGATGGTAATGGCTTCTTGCTGTTGCCAATCTATCTTTGCACTACTCACCTCTACTTGTTTCTCAACAATTGCGTTATCTATTGTCTTAGTCTGTTTTGTGTTGCTATAACAAAAATACCTAAGACTGGGTAATTTATAAAGAAGATAAATTTATTTTCTCACAGTTCTGGAGGCTGGAAGTCCAAGATCAAGGTGGCAGCAGATTCAGTTGTCTTGTAAGGGCTGCTCTATGCTTTCAAATAGTGCCTTGTTGCTACATCCTCCAGAGGGGAGAAACAGTGTCCTCACATGACAGAAGGTGGAAGGGTAAGTGGGATACATGTTACTTGCATCTACTTTTATATAAGGGTCATAATTCCATTCATGAAGGGAAAAGCCTTTATGACCTAATCACCTCTTAAAGGCCATACCTCTTAATAACATCACATTGACCAAGTTTCAATGCCAGAATTTTGGAGGGAACCTATTCAAACAATATAATCTGGAAAACAGTTTTCTGTAGTAAATCTTTCTGGTTGAAAAACCCAGAGTATGGCTTGGATAGAGTTGACTGCTACAGAGGCATTTTACTTAACAAGGCTTCATCGTTCAGGGTTTAGAATGAATCTTTCAGGTAATAATTGTTGGAGAGTTCATGTAACCACTCTGACTTGTCAGATTAGTAATGTGAAGCCTATTCTACCATCATTTTCTACTAAAGTCTTCCTCTGTTATTCTCATAACTCATAATGCATTTAAACAGCAAAACTGCAAATTAAGTTTCTTCCAGCATATTATACGTTGCTGCATTCACTTTTTATTTTCACTCATATTTCTTTTTTCCTCCCCATCTTACTCAACAAGTTAGTTTTTGTTATAAATATTTTTCAGTTTGAATGAAAAAAAAATGATTGAAGCAAAATGATCCATGATCAAATTTAACACTAGGAGGCTCAGAGAAATCGTGAACTCAGACGCTGGTTTTGTCACTGACTGCTTCAGTAAAATCTTTAATTGTTCTTTAGATGATGTATTGGATGATAAGTTCTGATTCCCACAGATAATTGAGTCCTATACCCCTAGGTTTGAATTTTTTTTTTTTTTGGTCCACACTTTAAATTGTGCCCAGAAAATTCTCTGGATAGAATTTGATTGCAGATGTCTATTATATTCCGATGAACACATATCAGTCAGTCTTCCAAAGCATTTTACAATGAAGTGAAGCTGACCTTGTAATATGGTAGCACACTTATCAGGCCATTAAAATGTCCCTCTTATGTAATAGTAGCCAGTTGCAATTGACCAAAAGAAACTTTGATGGGCTTTCACTTGGAAACTTGTGCAAGTATGTTCTTTATTTTGATTTCTTTCCATAGGACCTTCAGTTTTCCATAGCATGTTTCAAAAGATGGATGAAAGTAAACATGATACAATATTTTAGTTAGGACCTATCTAATGTCTCACAGAGAAGTTTTTCTATGAAGTTCAACCATAAATACAAATAAAGCATGTTCTGTACACAATTCATTGTCATACTTTGATATTTATCAAACACCCCAGGGAGGCATGATGTGCTTTCTTCCCAATTGCTGTATATTTTCAGCCTCCATCAAAAAGTATTATAATTAAGTATTAATATACTAATAGTTTAATTGAAACTATAAAAATAATCTAATTTATAACCTCAGAAAATATATTTTGACCTAAAATCATCAGCATTCATTAGTAAATTGTGTGTTCCTTTATACATTTTAATCTAGTAAATAAGATTCTTTTCTCACCCAATACTGGAATTAGCTTTAGCCTGTTTTCAGTAACCTCTTCCAACCCATATGTAACATCATTTATTGTCACAAAAACCTTCTTAGCTTAAGTCTATTATAATTTGTAAATGTACATAATTTTTCTCTTCTCAAACTTGGTAAGAAATTCGCAAAGTATGAGTGCCTTCATCACCATTATCATTATCAAATAATACTGCTCTCCCCCAAGTGCATGAGGCTGCTGGAGACTACTAAATTACATTAAATTCTTTCTGCTCCATTTTAGCAAGAGAAATTTGCCCAAGTTTATGCAGTATAGAAAGAGAAAGTGAGAGTTAAATATCACATCCACATAATGCACTCCGATGTGCTCCACCAAAACTAGCGTTTTACAGTAATTCCAGTGTACTGTATGTTTTTGTTTTGAACTAAAACGGAACTTGGGAGGAAATTTCATTTTCGATACTGTAAATTTACTGTGAAAGAAATGGGAAATAGTGTCCCCAGGCAGTGTCAGAATGACTGCTGCTTTCCCTTCTCACTGCAATTAGAGTTCTAGCCCCAGGCGGCAGGTAGGTGCAGACACAGGTGACTTGCTTTTGATTGGCAGGCTCATGAAGCAGCTAGATGGGGGATTCCTGGGACTGAGTGGAGGATTCATTTACCTTCAAGGCTGGTTTTGGAAGCCTTGGCTTCCTGACTAAAAAATGTGGATTCTCTTTCATATAGGTTATAATCAAATGTTGCATTGGCAAGCATCTGAAGGACAACCTCCTAAACAGCCAGCATCGCTTGTACAGCTTCTGTAACTGACATTGGTTTGGTTTTGGTTAACAAGTTTTCATGAGAATTTTATAACTTAGTGTTTACACTTTCAGCACTTGATGCTCTTTTTGCCTGCTTAGAGAGCTTCCTTCCAACTGATGCTGTGGCCCAAACAACAAAACATACGGCATAAGAATATGCTTATTTTCCTGAAATTTGTATGTGATTTTCTGACCAAATCACAAATTGCAGAATTAAAAGTATCTTCTTAATTTAAAAATAAGAGAATATCCTGTCTGTACTAAAAATACAAAAATTAGCTGGTCGTGGTGGAGGGTGCCTGTAGTCCCAGCTACTTGGGAGGCTGAGGTGAAAGAATCGCTTGAACCCATGAGGTGGTTGCAGTGAGCTGAGATTGCACCACTGCACTCCAGCCTAGGAAACCGAGTGAGACTCTATCTCAAAAAAAAGAAAAAGAATATGAGTATCATATGAATTTAGTGTTAAGTGAAATAAAATATTTTACAGCATTTCAATACAAAAGTAGTTTCTTTCTATCTAGTATTATCATTTAAATCATAATAGAATGATAGTCTTAGAAATCATAGATGACACAAACAAATGGAAAAACATTCCATGCCCATGGATTGCAAGAATCAATACTGTTAAGATGTTCATACTGCCCCAAGAAATCTACAGATTCAAGCTATTCCTATTAAGCAACCAATATTGTTTTTCATAGAACCAGAGAAAAACTATTCTAAAATTTATATGAAACCAAAAAAGACCCAGAATAAGCAAAGCAATCCTAAGCAAAAACAACAAAGCTGGAGGCATTACATACCTGACCTCAAACTATACTATAAGGCTATAATAATCAAAATAGCATGGTACTGGCACAAAAATAGTCATACAGATAAATGGCACAGAATAGAGAACCCCGATACAAAGTTGCACAGCTGTAACCATCTGATCTAAGCCATCGAAGTTAATAAGTGGAAAAATGACACCCTATTCAATAAATGGTGCTGGAATAGCTGGCTAGCCATATGCAGAAGAATGAAACTAGACCACTACCTCTCACCATATTCAAATATTAACTCAAGATGGATTAAAGATTTAAATGTAAGACATCAAACTACAAGAATCCCAGAAAAAAGACCTAGGAAACACAATTCTGGATGTTGGCCTTGGGAAGGAATTTATGACTAAGTCCTCCAAAGCAATCGCTACAAAAACAAAAATTGACAAGTGGAATCTAATTAACTTAAAGAGCTTCTGCACACCGAAAGAAACTATCAACAGACTAAACAGACAGCCCACAGAATGGGAGAAAATATTTGCAAACTGTGCTTTCCATAGAGGCCAAATATCTGGAATCCATAAGGAACTTAAACAATTGAACAATAAACAATATATAACCCCATTAAAAATTGGCAAAAGATATGAACAGACATTTATCAAAAGAAGACATATGAGCAGCCAACAAACATTAAAAAATGCTCTACATCACTAATCTTCAGAGCAATGCAAATCAAAACCACAGTGAGTTACCATCTCACACCAGTCAGAATTGTTATTATTAAAAAGTCAAACAACAGCAGATGCTGGTAAGGCTACAGAGAAAAGAGAATAGTTTTACACTGTTGGAGGGAATGTAAATTAGTTCAGCCACTGTGGAAAGCAGTTTGGAGACTTCCCAAAGAACTTACAACAGGACTACTATTCAAACTAGCAATCCCATTACTAGGTGTATAGCCAAAATAAAATAAATTATTCTACCGAAAAGACACATGCACTCATATGTTCATCACAGGACTATTCACAATAACAAAGACGTAGAACCAGAGTAGGTGCCCATCAACAGTGGATTGGATGAAGAAAATGTAGTACATATACACCATAGAATACTATGCATCCATAAATAAGAATGAAATCACATCTTTTGCAGCAACATGAATGCAGCTGGAGACCATTATCCTAAGCAAGTTAATGCAGAAAAATAATAAAAAAATACCACATGTTCTCACTTATAAGCAGGAGCTAAACAATGGATAATCATGACCATAAAGCTGGCAACAACTGACACTATTAGAGGGGTCTAGTAGGGAAGGATGGAGAAGGGCAAGTCTTGAAACCCTAACTATTCAGTACTATGCTCAGTACTTGGGTGACAAGATCAATTGTACCCCGAACCTCAGCATCACAAAATATACCCAGGTAACTTGAGTCTAAAATGAAAGTTGAAATTATGTATATATATATATAGAACTGTCTTATAGTCTTAACTTTAGCTTCTTTACTAACTCATCCAGATCCTACTTTAAGTAATTTCTAGACCTGGCTAGTAAACTCTGAGACCGTCCATTTTCACAGCCTGCTGCAGAATAAACTTGGCAGCTGAGACCTGTTCTTTGAATTTCAGGCAGTTGTATCTAATTACTTACTAGAAAGCTCTTCTTGGATGCTCCTTGGACAACTGAAACAACCTATAAAAAACTGAAGTCATTATTTCCCCTATGAAAACCAGTTTCTACACCAGCATTCCTTAGCTCAGTGAATGGGATCCTACAATGCATTCACATTACGTTACATTACACATTACATTTGTCCAAGAAAGAAAGAAACCTGGGAATTGTCCTAGATTTCCTTGGTCCCCTGTATGTTCAATTTTATACACCTTCCATATCTCCTCTCCACTGCTACTTAGTTCAGGTTTTCAACATGTCTTGAATGAAAAGTATGTCAAGACCTATGAATGTATGTATGTGTGTGTATGTGCAGGCACACAGCGTACTCACACCAACATTCTTTGTAATATTGTAACAACAGAGGATTAGTTATATAAATCATTCATGGATAATATTCCATACAATATAATCCTGTGCAGACATTAAAAGATTGATATGTATATATTTTTATATGTAAAGTTCTGCAGAAGGAGGTGTGTAGTATGGTTGCATTTATAACTTATAATGTATATACATGTATATTTGAGTAAACCTGATTTTTTTGAGTGGGGGAAGAATATAACCTGAAAGTGAATAAGTGTTTACATTGGGGATAGGAAGGAAGGGTTGGGTAAGGAAGAAGGATTTTCTGTTTCTTTTCTTTGTTTTAGGTGATGCTTGCATTTTTTTCTCATTCAGTTCTTTAAAAATCTGTTCTTATAATTCCAGTGAACTTCTTCATATTATGATAACTTCTCAGACCTAAGAAACAAGGGATAAAATTTAAATTCAAGGAATACAAGTATAGGAGTAAAATCCTTTTATGGGATGAATAAAATAAGAAGGCAGCTGGGAAGTACTGAAGTAGAATATTTCCCTGACCCCTCTGTGGGACTTGCCCCAGGGGTGCCTCGTTTACTCAGCTCACGGATCTCAACTCCTCCGCTGAAGGGAGCACATGAGCGAATGAGTGCGGGAACGAGTGAATGAGTGCTGGAAGAGGCTGGCTGCTTGGGTGCCGGCAGGATCGAACTCCACTCACTCGGACCCACTGACTTCCACCCTTCATGGGAGGGAGCACATAGGTGAGCGGGTACAGGAACCAGACGGATGCTGAAGTGCCGGCTGGAGTGAACTCCGTGCAGGTCCGCAGCAGTATCCGGGCAGGGTACCCACGACTCCTGAAGCCCCAGAGGGCGCGTTATGGTGCTCGTTTAGCTCTGCTGTCCGCGGACAGCTTAAGTGTTAACAGTTCAGTGAACCCTTTGCCTTTTCACGTGGGGTAGCTGCCCTCAAGCAGCGAAGGCAAAGGGCCAGTGTGGCAGCCTTTTGTGTCTGCATTTGTGGCTCCCGAGCTCTTGCCTAGTGTCCAAAAATAAAAAATAAAAAAAATGAGGTAGCACAAGTGAATTGAATGATGGTAAATGCGGAGCATTTTATTGCCAATTAAAATGGCTCTTAGCAGGAAGGGGAGCTGAGAATGGGACTGATCAGAAAGGTACTAGCCCCCTGAAGTCCGGCCCTCTCCAGCCAAATTCTTCTCCGGTTACATCATCAAGCTGTCCCTCTGAGGCCAAGCCACTTCTCTGCGACGCCCAGCCATAGTTCCATCTACCAGCTGAGTCTGGAATTTTTATAGACACATGATGGGGCAGGGGGCGGGCCATTGGTGGTTTAGGAAAAGGCAACATTCAAGCAGGAAAACAGGGATATAAGTTCTCACTTTGGGCCACGATTTCAGGCTTTTTGGCTTGAGGGTGGAGTTTCTCCAGGGACCCGCCCTTTTCTGCCTAGAGTGTATCTGCTCCTGTTCCTATCAGTACTACCATCTCAGAGAAACTGAAATTGCATCAAAATGCTGGTCCCTTTCCTAGAGTCTTCCAAAATGGGCCCTTTCTAGGCTTTTATGGAACCTAGATTTGATCTATCCTCCAAAGAAAAAACATGAATTGGAAATGCTGAGGTCTGGGTGTGCTAATATGTGGCTGAGCATTGATAAAGCCTGGTTAAGGAAAGCTCAAGGGAGGGAGTGATGTTTACTTGAAGTGGCTTCCTGAGAACAGTTGGATCCCTAAGATATCCATTTGTGTGTACTGAAACCTTCAGAAGAACACCTAGTACCTATTTACTTCCTCAGTACCTAGCAATGAGCATCAATCTGTTGCTATGTTCTGTTCTATGGGCTTTATGTATGTTTTTAATCCTCATAACAACTTGTAAATTAAGTATTACTAATATTCCTATCGTGCAAATGAAAAATCTTAAGTTTAGAGAGGTTAGGTAACTTGTCATGGTTAGATAGTAAGTATCAGAACCAGGATTTGAACCTAGGCTATCTCGCCTCAGAGCCTGGGTTGTTAACTATGAGTGTTAGCAAAAGAAATGTCTGGATTACACATGCGGATGAATGCAGGGTCCAGGCGGATAATATAAGTGAATGCAAAGGATCAGTTGTAAGGCATCAAACAGGAAGTGGAGGGAACTATGTGAACCAGAGAGCTTAGAGCAGATCTGGTGCTGTCACAGTGCCTGATTTTCTGGAAGTCAAGATTCAGAATGGCTGTTTCTATATGTTCAGGCCTTCCTCTCCTACTTTGAGCAAGTGCTGACTTTCTTGAGTCCTTTGACACAGAGTAGTCGGGTGGCTGCCTGTTTCCTTGGCACCCATTGGTCTCAGCCTGAAGATTTCATGCCTTCTGAGCTCCATATATTTTGGTGTAACTGGATTGTTAGAATAAATAAGCAATTCACTTGTGTTTTATGTGGAGGTAATTTTGACAACTTTCATAAAGTAGGTAAATACTTTTAAAATCTGTCTCAAAATGTATAAGTTACTGTTGCATTAGGAAAATGTCTGCCTACCTGCCAGACTAGTACTTAGAGAACAGATATAGCTAATAAAAGTATTTAACTAGAGATATATCATCCGTTCTCTTTATTTTCTCAAATATCAGAAATGGAGACTATTATATGATCAATATATAAGGTTGCAGCTCAAATTGAAAATGGGACTTTGCTTCCATCTCCTCTTTTAAAAATAAAAATGTTATTAAGCACTTATTGAACTAGACACTTCATCCATATTATTTCATTTAACCCTCATAAAAACCCTATGAGTAGATACAATTTCACATCATTAAAATGAGAAAACCAAGACTCTGAAAGGTAATTATGTACTTAAAAAAAATCACTGAGTAAATAGAATCATGGGGATTTCAACCTAGTTGTGTGTGATTCTAACATCACTGCCTGAATTTCAATTCTCCTGTTTTTTTCTGTGTTCTCCTAATGCTTTTAATTTTCATCTTTATTGCATAACTCTCCATTAGGCATTTTCAGCTGTTTCTAAGTTGTTATCATTGCCATTCCTGCATATACACTCCATTGTCAATGACTCTGGTCATGTTCAGAACAAACCTCATGATCACCTCATGTTCCATACCCTCCCCATCCTGTTGGTGAGGCCAGAAACCCTGGAGTACCTCATCCCCCATACAATCTATCTTAAAGCCCTCCTGATTTTACCTCCTAAACATTGTTCAATTACAAACGGCTCTTTTTGTTTCAATGGTTACCATTCTAGACAGAACTACTATAAGTTCTAACCTTGCACTTCTGCTGTAGTTCTTATCCTCTATGGCCTCTCTTCATCTGTGACTTTATTCTCCATGGAGGGAAAGCCAGGAAGATCATTTCTATGCAAATATTGATCAAACCAAAAAGACAATCACCCTTATTCCACTCTCAAATCCTTGCTTTAAAAAAAAATCAGTAGTTTTTTTTTGTCATTTTTAATGCAGAGATCAAAATATTTAGCCAGATCTAAAATGCCTACCTCAGCCGACATCTGTGAACCTCTCATGACTTCTCATACCACAAAACCCATTTCTCTTTTCATTCGAGCTTCAAAGAGAGGCAGAACAATCCAAGTTCCCCCTGCCATTGGGTCTTTGCACACATCATTTTTTGTGTCTAATAAACTCCCTCCTACTTCTCTTTCATGGTCACTACCCACTCTTTCTTTTTCCCTCAGTTTAACATTTATACTTTGGGAAACCCTCTCCCAGCCTTCCTAGCCAGATTTTCCCCACTATTGATGATGCAACACTTCACTTCTTAGACCCAGAACTTAGTTTTACATCTACTTGGGTGATATAATCTGCGGACAGATTCTAGGCTTCATATTTGGGAGCCATTTTTGTACATTGTTGTATTCCCTAAGCCTATCTCAATTCTGGAAAAAGTAGTTATTTAATGTTTCTTGAAATGAATGAATGAGTGAATTATTTTTTTGTTTATGTTATTCCCCCTGTACAAATCAAAAATGGTCTTCTTTTCATTCAGTAACTATTTTAAAAAGATCTATGAAGTTTGCTCCAACAATTTCAGTGAGCAATATCTTCCTTCTTTGAATATCACAAAAATTATAAATTCCATACTATTGGCCTTTACTTGTTCTTTCTCTGTTTCTAGGAGATATGACTCTTAAAATCTAGGGTCAAACTGGGCACTTTTGCTGATTTACTTCCTCCACTGTCTCCCTCCCTCCAATGCTTGTTTCTTAGTGCCACAAATAAAATGCTACTAGTTTAGATTTGGTACTAAAAAAATACTAATTGATGTAAGGTTTCATGAAACTCATTAGGAAATTCATGGATAAAATGTGAGAGGAATAACTTCTCTAGATGTTTAAAAAATAGTATGACAAAACATAAAATATGTTGAAAAGAAAAACAGGGAACATAACATAACAGACAAATGCCAACAAAAAAATTAAGGATAGAAACATGAGAGTCATATGGCATGAAACCTAAGAGAAAACTGTATTAGAAAATAAAAGGAATCATTTATATTGATTACAAAAGAATCTGCCAGGCACAGTAGTGTGTGTCTGTAGTCCCAGCTACTCAAGAAGTTGAGAGGGAGGATCCACTGAGCCCAGGAGTTCAAACCCTGGGCAACATAGCAAAACCGCCTCTCAACAACAACAATACAAAAAAAACAAAACCAACCAACCAAACAAACAAAAGATAAACCCAGTACCTTTCACATTATAAACCCATATGCACTGAATTACATGGGGTCAATATTGACAGAGCAAAATCTGACAAAAATACAAAGCGAAACTGAAATAACAAAATCCTATGAAGCTTTAATCTAAAACTCTCAGATATAGTCATGAACACAAACAAACATATAGGAACACACTTAAATACACATAAGAACTTTCTCACACAACACTAAAGACAACAAGTAGAGATCTCACATTGTTTACTAATGCCCTCATGGTATTTATAGAAGTTTTGCATATGTTTGGGTCAAATTAAATTTCATTGACTTGCTAAAACTAGATACCACTAAAGCCACATTGTGTAGAAACAAAGCAAAATAAGGAGAGCATAATGAAAGGTTATCTAATCACTAGAAAACTATATACATTAATTTTTCCAATGAATCTTAAGTTAAAAATGAAATCACAAAACAGCTGTATGAAAGGTATCAGCAAATTATACTAAATGCA
Organism: Homo sapiens; assembly: GCF_000001405.40. Taxonomy (NCBI): domain Eukaryota; kingdom Metazoa; phylum Chordata; class Mammalia; order Primates; family Hominidae; genus Homo; species Homo sapiens. Next base: position 153,459,987 of record NC_000002.12, read on the forward strand.
ACCAAGTGGTACTCAAAAGAAAATTTATGGTATATGAGGATTTTTAAATTAAAATAAATGCATTTAGGTAAGATACATATAAGATAAAATATGCCTATATTTGGACTAATGTTGCTATTTTGTGATATTTCTTTGGATCTTTTTATGATAACTTATTTCAGATGAAGTTGAATTTCTTCTCACTTCTCTCTAAGGCTCAGCACCCTGTATCACAAATTGAATGTGTTCGAAGTACTTATTTCAATACTCTTAACAGTTATTTATAGCATGAAAAACCATATAGTATAATTTTATTTTTAGTCACCTGTATGTTATGTAACAACATTCAATTTGCTTTTTTCCTTGACATTATGTTTTCAGGATCAACTCATACTGATAAATGTATAGAGACCTCATTCACTCATTTTATCTGCTATATAATTCGTTCAGTTTATTCAGTCTATTTACCCACGATTAGACCTTTAGATAGTTTTCAGTTGTTTGTGATTACAGACAATACTGAAGAAGACCATCATTATTCCGATCTTCTTATTTACCTGTGAAAGAATTTCTCTAAACCTAAAATTGGATTTATACCTAAGAAGTAATATTATTAAGTTATGAGTTATATATACAAAGATATTCAGTGTGGGGTTAAAGAGCAACAAATTAGAAACCACTTGAGTATCCATATGATTAATAAGTTAAGATACACGCTGGGTTGATAGTAAAAATAGTAAGCAATAACAAAAATAAACAACAGTGCAGCCCTGGTGCTGACTAAATAGAATGCATTAATCAGAGTGGACATGGATTGTACATAATTGGCACAAGAATACCACTGTCTACTAGTTTGATTTCAGCCACAGATACATCATTTTAGGCAGCTGCTTTTAAATTGGGGACTTGTATGAATTACACTTGAAGAATTTCCATAATATTCTGTTTAAAGGAAATAAAGTTGCAGATTTCCATCTATAAATTTAACATGACTTTTTTTGGTGAAAAATAGGAAGAAAAAATTCACTGTTTACATGACAGAGTTGTGGCGTATACACTTTTCTGTAATTTTTTGCAATATTTAGTAATATTTAACTCATAATTTGCATTAATGTTTTTGATTTATCAATTGTATATCCTTCACTGTATTTTCTTATTTGCCTTAATCCTTCCTTTAAACAGCTTGTCTCTTTTGCTTCATGTCTCACCAAAAGTTTGGCAAATTAGAGAGAAGAGGGGAAAAATGTAGTCAGTTTTTAGAGTTTTGAATTTCAGAAGTTTAACATGCAGGAAAAAAAGGAAAGAACTCAAAAAATGGAGAAGAAATTTGGGAGAACACATGAAAGTTAGAAGATGCTACTCTGACCACTTCCCCACCAGAGAGAAAAGAAGAGTTAAAGAGTGAGCAGTAAGATTTTGATAGAATTAAGTAAGCAAGAAAGATACTTAGAACCCCTTCCTTCAGCCATCCTGGGTCAAAGCCAGATTAAGCCCAGGGTAGGGTAATGACAGACTAAAGATGAGTTTGAATATTTAAAAGATGTGAGGACTGGGGCCCCTCTCCGGATAAGAAATAGTTGTATGTCATGTCTAGGCAGATGAGTCTGGGTTAATTTCAAAAGTCAGGACACCCAGGATCGTGCCGGAGTGGTATAAGGATTCCTGTACTCCCAAGGGAAGATCATAATACATCTCCTCTGTCCAAGAATGACATGAACTTAATACTGGGAGTCATCTGACCTGCCAAGGCTCCACAGGGAAGGGACTTCTGCAAATCCACAACCCAGAACAATTAGACAAGAATCACCTCAGTAGCTGCCACAATGGAAAGATAAGAACGAGAATAAGATGCCATGTGTGCTCCTCCCTAAGCCTTCGCATTTTGTGAGCTCCTAACTATAGACTTAACTCTGAGGAAGAAGGTGGGTGAGATGGAGGGGAAGAACTGCTCTGATATTATGAGAGCTCTTTCTATAAGTTATGGAAAAATAAAATTACAGTATTTGTATATTTGAGTTTGTAGAGTAAAATTTGTATCTGCTGCCACCTGGATCTTTTTCTCCTTTCACTTTCTTAAAATCCCAAATTTTACTGTTGCGCATCCCATAGGGAGCTTTTATGGAATAGATAGAGATTTTCACTTTTTTTTTTCCTAGAAGCTTGTATGTTACAGTGAACTTTATTTTTAACAGCAGCATGCACTTCTGTAATTCAAAATAACAAAATAAAAATTGATATTTCCCTCCGTACATATAAATAGTAGGTAAAAAAATCTTAAATTATTTCTTGAAATTTACATATTTCTAATATATCTTTTTGTTATTAACTACAGTAATCATTCATATTTTCTGCATTTAAATTTAAAATTATTTGATCAAGTAAAATAGATGAAGGCATTTTTTAAATAAAAAGAATATTGTCCAATGGACCTCTTCTTTTCATACTCTAATTTCTTGGCAATTGTAGCAACTATTAGCTCTGCTTATGCCTGTTAATAGCTGGATGGAGTCTTTCAGAATTTTCTTTCTAGGACAGCAAGGCAAAATCAATGGCAGTTTCATCTCTCTTGAAGATTGATGCAGCCTTGCAATGCTTAGCAAAACCATGTGATCTTTTAATCAATCACTGAAATAAATCTATGCAACTGGTGTCAGGAACCAAAGTCATTTCACACTCACCTTCCCTGTTGTTTAGAATCAAAGGAAATGAAATCTAAATTAGACTTGCCGAGCCATACTATGCAGCCTCCACTCCCAAAGGAATTGAAACTTTGTCACTGTTCAAAAGACTTGTCTTGCAATAAGAAAATATGAAGGTTTGTCTATAAATATGAAAGCGATGGAGAATCTCCTTTGGTCCTGGCTCATAAATAGGCTAAGCCAGAATACTGTTGCATGAAACCATAACTTCTAATCACTGGCATATAAACAGTAGCTGTATCTTTTCATAGATTCTGGAAAGATTTTGCAGAGATCTTAGGATTCACTACCCTGTCTCACATAAGATTTAATGAAACATTTGTATACTGAAGATTATCTTTTTACTCTTATCCCGAGGAAAGACATTTCTCTAAAAATGTAATTTATAGCCTCACCCTCTTCACTTCTAGGAATTTCTTCCACATAAAATCAACTCTTTATTCAATCCAGGTAAAGGGAAAGATGAGTGAACCAGAGAGTACAGAATGATAAATAATTTAAAAAGTAATTCAACCTTGCCCTGCGGTGTTGTGGGAGAATTGCATAGTGAAGAAAAATATGATGATATCTTAGTAATGTTTTTAAGAACTTCCATTAGCCGACCCACCCCAAATCCAAGTGTGTATTAGGGAGCGGCCATATTCAGTGTTTTTCTCAAATTCAGGACAAAAATAGCACTTAAGTCACCTCTTCAGTCTCTAATCGAACATGTAGCCTCTCTCTGAACACTTTGTTCGTTGCCTAGGATCTAATTAGATTTGTAAATACAGGGAGAAGCAGAAATATATAGTTGACTAAATAGATGTATCTCCCTGCCTTGCGCCTATAGCCAAACAAAGTCACTAAGTGAGCCTGCAGAACCCCTCAATCCCTCCTCCAACTCCATCTATCTTTTGCTTTCCATTCATAGTAGTCAGCATGATGTAGCATATGAAACCTAGGCTCAAAAGCATGCTAGGATCTTCTAGCAGATTAGAGGAATGGAAAAGGAACGGAGAACATGAACAGTGTTGAGAAGTTAACTCAACTGTAATCATGGCTACAGATGAGGGGAGTCAGTGACCATCCTTATCTCTGGATCCATAGAGGTATGATTAACTTGAACTTGATTCTGGCTGTTCTAAATACCCAAGAGCATGCGCTGTAATAGTTGAGACAAAACAGTAGTTGTTCCAAAGTGGTATTTTATGAGGGGAGGTGATGGTATCACAATTCTAGACTCTCCCAAGCAACAGTTAGGTGTATATCCAAATGAAATTCCAGTTCCCTGGAAGAGGAAAGTTTCAGCAGTATCAGAGGTAGCCCAGTGTGCAGCAGAAGCCAGGACATATGAGTAGACTAGACAAACAAGTGGACTTCAGGTGGAAAAGCTGTGGTTCTCTGGACAAAAGATTGTCCAGGCATCCCTTAAGCACACCAGGTACCTGAAGATCAATCAGATCCCATTAGCTGGTCACCTGGAAGCTACTGTTATGTGCTCTACTTTAGTCAAAATTGACTCAGAAACTGGACAAAAATGAGCCTTTAGGTTGAGGTCTCAGGGCTGAAGATACAGCAGAGCTGAGAAAGTCCTGAGCACCCGTTTTGTATGTTAGCCATATGTTTGGGATCCTCTCCCACCCCATCACTGTGCCTCCAGGTGCCCAGGGGATGTATGACATGGATAAACTACAAGATTCCTTCTAGGAAGCATTTCTCTCTCTGATCAGAGTTTAAGACCACATCGTCTGTTATTTTTAAGTCTAAGTTTGAAGATGATTTATTGTCATTGCAAAGCATATGCTACTTTGTGTTTTATAAATGGAAACTGGGTGAGATGTATCCTTTGAAAGATATTCTTCCGGGCTATGTTTAATCAAACTCTAGCACTCACAATGTTGTTCTTGGCAAAATTTCAAAATAAAGGCCACTCTGAGGACAGGACATAAAATTATATTATAGCGAGCAGTATTTAAGCAAGATATCAAGATGACAATGCTGATTGCAGTGACTTTGGAATACAGGACTGTAAGGTCACACCATGTTGTAAAATTAGGTCAGAACATTTTTGATAATAAGTTATGTTTAAGGGTGATATCACCTAGAAACAGACAACTCGGGTCTTAGGATTCCATGGTCTTGTTGTATTATGAAATATAAAATATATCATTAAGATATTTAACCAATGCAAGTGTAACATTTTCTTTATTGAAATAAAAAATAATAAAAAGCAGGTGATGTACGAAGAATAATATAAACTATACAAGAAGTAGATAGTTACATACTGGAAGATGCATATCTAAAGTTCTTATGCCAGGGATTAGACATAGGCAACACAGTAGTATGAATTCTAACAGTACTGATTTTGATTCAAAATTAATAAGTGGTCTCCTCCACAGTGGTGAAGTCTATTACCTCCTCTGTTTCCAATTTGATGAACAGGATCAATCAGCATTCAGAAAGGTGATCTTCATGTCTCCACATGTCTGTGTCTACTAAGAATGCCTCTACCACCTGGAGAGGAGTCTAGCCTGAAACATTACTCTTGTTGGAAATTTTTTTCTAACTATTTTTCTTTGGAGGTATGACACAGTATGCAACTACAGTATTGTTGAAAGAGATTTTGGAGTTTCAAGAGCACAGTAGCAAGAACCTCATATCCTTCAGAGCATGGTCTGTGTTCTTTGCAGTTCTGTGCAGATTCTGAAATAGAATGCTAAAATTACAGACTTGGATTCTGTGTTTGTTCTCAAGCCTTGTGATATAAAGGTATTAAGTTTTCTTCCCAAATAACAATAAAATGTTTCTTTCATTTGATTATCTAGTGTGGCTGGGACTACATCTTGTGCCAGATTAGAAAGAATGATTTATCCATTATCACCTTTTACTCATATAGTAAGGAAACAAAATCCTGTTAAATCCATGAGTCTGTACCTCAAGGATCCTTTTGTTTTGGATAAATAGGTGCCTCTGAGCCAGTTTAATTTTCCTTTAGAGGTAGGGAGCTTAATGTAAGGACTAGTCTTTGAATTTATAGAAAGCTGAGAGGCTATGTCTGCACCTGCTTCAGTTAAATAATCGCAAAGCCATTTTGAGTGTAACTTCTGGACAAATCAATTAGGAATGGCCTGTTTCAAAGTGAGATCAGAAATTTATGATATATATGGCAAAGGTGAAACAAAAGATGATTTTTGCACAATAAGGAAGATGTAAGAAAAAGTCACATGTGAGTGAGAAAGTCTACAGGTCTTGCTACTTCAGTAACGGCCAAAATCTCCTAACTCAGGGTGGGCTTTCTCCAAAGACCCTGAGCAGGCTGCTGCTTGTTTAGATCAGACAGCATAGCCACCTGCCCGGTGCCCGTTCTTTCTTGTTCAAAAGGAAGAGCCTAGAATTAAAACAAAAATCACAGGATTGAAACTCAAAGATCCAGTCTAACCATCCATCTAATTTTTGTATCTCTGTTGCAATATCTCTTCTGCATGGTCATCCAGTATCAGAGAATTTATTCTCTCTCAAAGCACTTCATTTCATATTTGTAAAGCTCCAACCATTAGAAAGATCTTGCTTGTTAAGACTTGAATCCTCTGTTTATAGCTGCTTCTACTCACTCTTGCCAGTTTTACTACTTCGGGTTGTACTAAATAAATGTAATCCCCCCTGACTGTGTCAGTTCCTCAGATATTGGTGGACAGCTATCATATTATCCCTGAGGCCTTATTTATTGTTTTCCTCAGTGGTAAATACTGCCAACTCTTTTGATCATTTTTAATCTAACATAGTGTTGGAATCCTTGCTTTCTAGTTGTTTTTTTTTTAATATATCTGAGTTTGTTTACAAGTTTGTAAAAATGCAGTATTAGGCCCAGAACCCATTCTAAGATTGTAATAATCCAAAAACAGAGGGGAGCTGGATCCTTGCTTTCCTCTAATGAGGTTCAGTGCCTCCCTTGGTGCAGATTAAGTTCACTATTTTTGGCATCCTCAAAATTCCATTGACTTTTCTAGAGCTTCTTCTTCAGCAAAACTTCTGCATCTTTTATATTTGTAGTCTGTTGATAAGACACATTTTTCTCATTCTGTACTTGGGCAGTTGTTTTAGACTCAAATACAGGACCTTGTATTTTTCTGGGTTAAGTTTTAGCATATTAAAATCAGACCAATACTCAGGTCTCCCAGAGTCTTTTTGTATCTAAATGTGGTCAATAAACATATTATCCCTCTGCACTCCAATTTCCTCAGCAATGGGAATGGAGACTACCTCATTCCCATGTGTGTGATCCAGCACATGGAAAGTGCTCAGAATAGGGGAAATTTATAATAAGTGCTCAATAAAAAAATATAACTTTGCAAGCACAGGTAGTCCACAAAAAAGTCTTTTAACTATGAGGCATGTTCATTGATATCATGAAATAAGCTCCAACATATTCGAATAAAACATTTTAGTCAAAATTATACTATTGGTGGAGTTTAATGAAAATGATTTAAGCAACATGATATATGTGAACATTAGAGACCTTTATAATTAGAGTCCAAAGAGAAAATATATATGTTTTAACCTGTATACATTTCCAAGTAAGGGGCTATATAATTGGACAAGTTGAGGCTCATTTTGAATTTCCTCCTAAAATCTACATCCCCACCTCTTAGAGCCATTTGCTACTAGCAGACTCTAGATCTACCAAAATGATCAATTTTTCTGCGTATCCCCTATGTGAAATCATTACCCAAAGCTGTACGGGTGGATCCAAGTTGTTAATGACAAAGCACCATGTGTGTGAGAAAGTTGAAACTGTCCTTACTGTCCATCCTTCACCAAAAGAATTAGCAGAATGGCAGAGAGGAAAATGCTGTTTGTAATATTCTCAGATCTAGATTTACATCTTTAATCTAGATTAGCATAAGAACATTTTACCTGTATGACCTTGGAAAAATTACTAGCCCCTCATTCCCTCCATTTTCTTTTTCATGGGAATGCGATGATGTAACTTCTAGAATTACATCACTCTGAAAACTTTGAACTAACATCCATAAAATACCAAATATGATTAATACTAGCAGTAACTGCAGTCAAACACTTATCTAAATGGATGATGATAAGTATCAACAAGAATTTATTTGATGCTGACCAAGTTTCCATGAACAGAATTTGAAAATTATCCATGTCAACAATACAATCCGATTAGAAGAAAACAGTGAGAGGAGAATTAGAAAATAAGACCATATCATATGGTGATTTCATGCTTTGGAATCAGTGTGGGAGTAAGATCTTAACATACAAACTTTTCATTTATTAATTGAAAACAGGATAGAAGAAAGTCAGAAGAGTTTATAGAATAGTCTAATATTCCAGCATATAATTTCAATGAAACGCAGGAGTATTAAAACTCTGTAACTTCACTCAATCTTTATTAAGTGACTGTTACATGCCAGGTAACCTAGACTCTAAGAAGACAATGCTCTTGGTGGTCATAAAATGTGTCTCACTGCACTCTTTCAGCGTCTACGCACTCTTTCTGAACCATGGAATCATAAATTGAAAATATTCTTATCTCAAAAATCATTGAATCATGGAACACTGTTACATTTTCTTTCTTTCTCTACACAGCACATTAAGCATGAAATGGAACTCAACATTAAATTGCCAAGGTTCATCCTTTGAATGGCTCTTTATCTCAATAGTCCGTGAAGTCTTTGTTTGCGTTGTAGAATGGAAGTATGATTTTGGAGAATTAAAGTACATTGACCAAATGCAAAGAATTCAGTCAAATTTAGTCTCTATACACCACTACTGAGGCACACCATCTCATATAACATACAGATACGAATTTACTTTAATTTGGAAGTAAATGTTTACAGAAAATGTAAACGAATCTTTCATCACATTCTCCTTTGAAATGGAGAATACTTTTCAATTTTCAAGTTTTCAGTATTATAATTTGGTTCTTTATGTATTGTTATTGTTTAAATAATACATCTGATATTTACCAGAGTTTTTGCTTTGGCATCTCTAAAATTTTCTACTTATAAACATTCTAAATATTAGAGAATTTTAAAGAACATTTTGAAATAAATCATTATTCATTGAGAAAATATCAAAAATCTTAAATATTTACTTTTTAAAAAGAAAATCCAAGTAGGCTTGGAGACCTCTCCTCAAATACACTAGGGTAGCACACGGTGTACTGGGTCGTAGTAAGAACACAATGTTATAAATCACTGTGAAAAGAATTTTGCCACAGTGGTCCAATCTTGAGACTACCAAACACTGACTGAGGAAATTAGTGGTATGGAAAAACTATCGCTGAGTAATAACTGGATAATTAGCTATTGGGTATAAAGCAATCAAGAATTATTCACAAAGTAAATCATGTCTAGAGGAGAATGGCTTATATTATTAACCATTGGAAGTTATTTGTTTTCGTAAAGTTATTCCTGAAAAAGAAACTGTCCAAATATAGGAGGACCATCATGCCAAGAAAAAGAGGATATATTGTCTAAAAATGAGAGTGCTCTTTTATATGTGTACAAGTGTGCCTTAGAGGCCATTAAGTATGTTGCAAACACAGAGATGCTTTACTGAGAACACTGTGCCTCCAGCCTCAGATTCAGGTCTCACAGCTGGAAATTTGTAGAGGAGATGAGTTTGCCTGTGGTGATGAGCTGCATGAGAAACAAACTCCTACACACCAGTCTTTATGGTTGAGAAATTTTCTCTTCCAACCACACTATCAGCAACCCCATCCCCTCACCTGTTAATAAGAATCAAGAAGTCCACTAATGCAAGTCTCAGAGCGGGAGATGATACTTGCAAAGCAGACAGTCACAGTTAGGAAGGTAATTTTCCTCATCAGAAGTGTGGAACAGGCAAAGCAGCTGCAAACCCAAAGAAATGAACAATGACGGTTCAATTTCCATGCGCATGAGAAAGCTAAGCCAACTCTCTGGGTTAGGATATGAGGAGCAATTTAAAAACAGAATTAGGAATGTTTCCAAGAAAAGTAAATAAAGTATTTCATGTGCTTACCGGGCAGCATTTCCAAGCAAGATGGGTCATGAGAGAGGCTCCATCAAAATAAGTTTGTTAAATCAGTTTGGGTAATGCTGAGTATTTTATCCATCTCATGGAGAGTCACAGAGCTTAACTTTTTAACATAAAATTTACCATTTCATATAAAATCAATATTTAAACTTAGCTAGGTCCAGGGAAGGCAGATGATTTTATTCTCATGAGCAAAGAGAGATGTCAAATGACTGATCCAAATGCCCAGGTGCAAGGTGGTGGCAATACCTGCCCCAGAAATTCAGAGCTATTGTCCAGGGCACTTGGAGCTACATCAACTCAACACAGAGAACCTTGAAAAAAATTATAAAAGTCTTTTTTCTTTTCTCATCCTTGCTGAAATAGTTGATAGAATAAATAGCTTTAAAAGAAATATTAAGAGTCAGAAGACATAGATCCCCTTAACCAGCTCCACCATTGACTAGCTGTGTGGAACCGTAGGAAATAACATACTGTCTCTAGGCTTTGGATCCATTGAGCTAGGTGACCATTGTTATAGGTCCTCCAGCAGCCCTCTTGCTTTTTTTGATACTAGAATTCCTTCTCCTATGAGGATGCATGGCCTTGTATCCTCACAGGAGCTACAGAAGATTGGTTTGAATAGAACCAACTCTCCTCCCCCATGTTCTCTCTCCTCTCACCAGAAGGGTGTCACTGGTCATTGACTGAGTACACCCTTCTTCCTGCAGCCACCCAGTCACAGCGGTTTGTTCAGCAATTGACACAAGATGCCAACTGGGCCAGAGTTCTCCCAGGAAAAAAATCTCTTTCTGCTGGGGTTATTAAGTTGATGAGATATGAGTGTGGGCCCAGGGGCATCCATGTATTTTTCTTTTCTTACCATGTGGAGAGAGATTTTCTGAGAGATGGAGAAAGTCTGAGTGACACTAGATATCAGCTTCTTTCATGCGTGATGCACCTGTATCCTGGAACTTACAAGTTACATGAATCAATAAATTGTTTTTAATTTAAAATTAGCTTAAGCTAGATTTTTGTTGATTGTAACCCAAAGATTCTTAATTAATAAAGTCCATTCTAGCTTGAACTTTGATGATATTAGGAGACATTAATGTTACTTAAAAGAAGAATGTATCATTTCCTTAGAAAGCTCATCTATGGAATGTAGGGGAGGAAATTTTACTCTTGATCTTCTTAATTATTCAGTCCTTGAAAATTCACAGTGGGGGAAATGAATAAAACACTTGTTCCTGAGCTGAATTTGTAGAAAATTATAAGTAGCCTCGAGATATTCATTTGGAGCACTTTCTTCAGGCCTTCCATATTCATGTTCATCTTGAGTTTGAATATGTAAAGTGGAGCCAGCTTTGCGTATGCTACCTGAAGACATGGGGAAAAGTCAAATTAAATTGTTTGAGTATTTCAGGCCCCATGCTAATTATAGAGAAGGGTGGAGAGTACTTCATTTTCAAGGGGAGAAACCAGGAGAGTGTGTGGCTCACGCAGATAGATCCCGAAGGACATGTGCAAACAGATTAGCAGAAGATAGGATATTAGCACAGAAGGCCCCTTTAAATTCCATGATTCTTTGCACCAAACTTCCAAGGTCTAAGTTAGTACCTAGTGCAGAGTCATGACTATAATAGATACTAAATAATAAATATTTATTGATGATAAAGATAAGAAGGCCTGGCAAGGCCTCTTTCTCCTTTGGATATAAGAAAACTCAGCCAGCGGACAGGATGTTTGCAATCATTCCAAGACTCCACAGAGAAGAGAAATAGAGAAGGAATTTACAACCTTCCACATTCTCACAATGTTTAGTCCTCCCTCTCAGCAGTCTTTGATCCTTTTATTAAGCCCTCTAAATGTAAACGTTTCTAGCCACCATTTTGAGAATTTAGAATCTGCCTGTAAATTTCTAGAGATTTTACTTGATAGGTTCTTTTCGTTTTCATTGACCTTCTTCAAATTTAGGGTCCCAGCTCATTTCTCTTAACTTAGCTTTTAAAGATTTTCAAGCCTATGCAATACATAATCTTTGACTTTTCTGTCTCTTAGGGTTTCAGCTTCTTTCCTTTATGATTCTTAGATTAAGATTAAAGCATATATCTCAAGATACAGATGTATTGTAAGACTCCAGACACTTCAAATAAATCTTATTTACTGGACATTTTGAGACAATTTACTTGCAACATTTCCTATGCATTGTTTTATTGTAAACAAATAAATAATGTAAAACAAAGAATTGGGGAATGTGGAATGGGCAATGCTCATTTCTAGTCTGTAGTAGAATAAACATGTTTCATGAGTATACAGTAAAGGAAACACTGAGTATGAGAATATGTGCGCATGCATCTGCCTTAATCAATACTACGTAGAATATGAACTACATGATCCTGCTCAATTTATAGGAAAATAAATAAAGCAAAAGAGACACTCTGGATCCCAGAGGGATTCTTTTTCCAAAGCAATCAGACATCTGGAGTCTTGGTCTGATAAAAATCAATGACTCTTTCAGGGCAGTATATCTTTAGATGTGGGTGTGGGAAGGAGTGCATAATGAAAGAGGAATTGGTGAGGGTACAAAGCAAATATTTAAAAAACTAAAAAAACTATAACCTTCTCTCTCTGTAATAAAAAATACCAACATGTAGGCTATGGCATAATTATGTGTGTATATTTATATTACTATGAATTCTAGAAATAATAGGAACAATTTCTTATCTTACTCTTGTGGGTAGAGTATATACCTTCCCTTACATGTGTTTGTCTGTGCCAGTGTTTTGTGGTTCAAATGGAAAGGAATCATGTCATTTTTTCCAGTAATAAGTAGTAATGTACCATCTATACATGAGTGCTTGAGAAACACTATATAACTCTTTGAATTATGAGGTCATAAAATATTACTATCTAATGGAAACCAGTTTTAAAATGGGATTAGGCAGGGCAGGATTTCTTCCAGCATTATTGCAGATCACTTGACCTTTTTAGTATTGATCATTCTATACCTGCATTTACCCACTCAAGAATACTTCAGCAAGCATGCCCTTAAATATATTTAGAAAATAAAACTATCCATTATCCCTTCAAAATATACATAAATAGTTAAACAAATGAAAATAAGCTTTGTTTATTCTCATTTAGTGTATATTGTTATTTAGGTTAGATGCAAGCCACTGTTTGCAATGTGACTGAGGAATATTTAAAAATACATGCAGGAACATGGATGAAGCTGGAAACCATCATTCTCAGCAAACTAACACAGGAACAGAAAACCAAATAGCACATGTTCTCACTCATAAGTGGGAGTTGAACAATGAGAATATATGGACATAGGGAGGGGAACATCACACACCAGGGCTTGTCGGCGGGTGGGGGGCTAGGGGAGGGATAGCATTAGGAGAAATACCTAATGTAGATGACGGACCGATGGGTGCAGCAAACCACCATGGCAGTACGTGTATACCTATGTAATAAACCTACATGTTCTGCACATGTACCCCAAAACTTAAAAGTATAATAACAAAAAAAAGGAAAAATACATGTAGTTATCCTTACAACAGTCCTTAGAGGAGCTCTGTCTGGAGTATTTTAAGCTTCTCAAATATAATAATAATCAAAAAATAAGATGTATACATATAAATTCAAAGTATGTTACTATGATCACCATAAATGATACATGACTGATAATAATATTATATAATTAATTTTTCTGAAAGTTAATCCTGGACTTTCAAGTCTTTTAAACATTTAAAACAACACAAAAATATCAGGAAATGAGAACAAAGTGAGATTGGCCATGGAAACAACTTACTATTGAGCATTTAAATTCAGACATTAGGAAACAATTACTACTGAGGCAGCTGCTTTTAAAACATATCCCATTTGAGCTATTGTGCATAGGTCTACATGGGATTTGACAGGTAGAAAAAATATTTGTTGATTCCTGTTTGGAGGATTGCTGCAGACTTGCTGCTTCCACAGGCTTTCAAATTAGGTTTGAGTCTTACAGAACAAACCGAACCCTGGAATCTTTCCTGTCATTGTAACCCCCAAAGTGAGAAGTAAAATAAGCCAGGGTTAAGGAAGGCTCTAAACTGCATGTGGAACAGGTGCTGTGTGCTGTTGCAGAAACTCAAAAGGAAAAATGCTTTAGGGAGAAAAAGTGGATGTTAAAGAGTCTTCAAACACCCTAGTAGTTTCTATAAACAACAGTGCATATTAGTCTGAATGCGTACCTAGAAGAATTGCTTACTCCCCAGTACAATGGGCTTTACTTTCATGGCTTTGTCCTTTGAGAACGCAGAGACCTGGAAATTTAAGGTGCTGGTGAGATCATGCGTAATCGATCAGGTTAAAAACTGTCATCTACTCTGGCCTGGCTAGGTGTCTGAAATTTTGCTTTGATTATTGTAAATAACTTATTTCCAGTAGAGGAGCACTTGTCTTTTGTGAGAAAAACATCTACACAAAAGATCAAGACTGGAAAGATAAAATATATTTTTAAGACACATAATTAAGAGATTTATGAAACATCTTAAGAGAGAACACGTTAAACCAATTAATTCAATGGAATCATAGAATTGGAAGGTTCTTTAGAACCCCTCTTCCTTATTTTAGGGATCAGGCCATTCAGCTGCTTAGTGACCAGAACCAAAATTTCTAAAATCTCAGCCCAGTGTGTCTTTCCCTTCCTAATTCAGAGTTAGTATAGGAAGACACAGTAGCAGGATTGACTTGCATCCAGTGAGAAGCCAGGATGGCTTGGAAATCAGAAATCATGGACCATCTACCAGGAACTAGTGTGATCTCAGACTTGACAGAGTAGTGTGACCTCTGCTTTCACTTCCTTAAAGCTGTCCAGCACTCAAGCTCTTGCTACATTTTCAGAGAGAGTGGGGAGATTCGTATCAACAATCTTAAGAACACTTATCAACAATTGGTTAAGCTACTTATACAGAGGCCACCCAATTAAGCTAAGAGGTATCACTAGCTGTCTGCCCAGCCTGAGATCCCACTAATCCACCAGCTGTGTTTCATGAAAACTTCTCCCTGCATTTGCTGTATTTCCAGAAGGGCTTCAGGAAATATCAGATAAGTCCCCCTGGGCCATGTCAGATCAAGCAAGCTTTTAGAGGAATCTGTCTCTGTCTCTCAGGGACTCCCACTAATTACTGACCAAATGGTGGACTTCAGTGTGGCATGGTAGAACCTGCCTGTTAAATTTATGTATCTAAACTTCTGGTCTCTTAAGGCTGACATTGTTTTCTTAGGTGAAACACAGACAATGGCTTTCAAAACCTTTTTTTCTTAGAGAATGTCTCTGGGAAAGGACCGACACTCCATAAATTCTGAGCAGGATTAAAATGTTTCATTTAAAGCAGTTGTTAGAATGAGGGACAAAGAGAGTCAAAGGCAGAGTGAAAGAGGGAGTGGTGTGGCCCCAGAAAGTGGTTGCTCTGTGGCCATCGGGGAATAGAGAGTGTAAAAAGCTTCTTGCACACATTGCCTCATCTATAAAAACCAGAACTACTTGGCATCTCTCTAAGTAACAAATGGATCTAAGGGCTGGAGAGAAGTGTTGTTGGCAGGAAGTAGTCTCCAGGGCTATGTGCATTGCAGACTGTGCATTTCCCTGTAGTGCATAGATCATAGATTACAAAGCTGTGTTCACATACCTTTTGTATCTAAGGACTACATTTTGCAGGTTTTGGCTTGTTTCATGCACAATTTCTGGGGGTGAGAGAATAAATGTGGATAGTTGAGATAAAGAGAAACTGCATTTTGCTTTTGAGATGCAGGGAAGAGGAAAGAGATGTGAAGAAATACTAAGAGGAACAAGATAGAGAAGATAGAGGTCTTCAACCTTGGCTCCTCTCTCAACTTTCAGGACTTTCAGGACTTTTGTTTTAAATGAAAACCTGTGTTCTATACAATTTAAAATTGACCTGTAGGTTTGACCCCTCCTTCAGCCTCCGCGTGTCTGAAACTCTAAGCATGTGCCCGTACACAGCAGAGTAAAATGCAAGATTTCTACACTCTAGCTGATTTGTTTTTTTATCCCAAATCGAATTCTACCAGAGTACTGGATTCACAGGTGAGCTAATAAATCTTCCAGAAGAAGGGACCCTCAGAGGATGTTGCAGCCACAGCGTGAGTTAAATTTTAAGTGTCTGGTTTGTCCCAGAGAATCCATTGCTCTGCTTTGTGTCTCCCTTTGAAACATGCAGGCAGCAGATTAACTCGGTGCCACAGAAACTGTCTATAAAATAGAACATTGCCATTTCTTGTCCTGTCGGTTAGCAAAAGTAGATTGCTTTCCAAGACTCCTACTGACTACCTATTGACTATCTCTTGACCCTGCCCCCTGCCCAGATACCAAAACAACAAACAAGCAAACAAACCCTTACCTGTTTAAAAGACAGGAACAACAAGCAAAACTTCAAAATCCTCTTTTCTCAATCCTGATATCCATTAGAATTCAAAAAACCATCCTAGGTTGTGATTTCTAACAAGGTTTACTTGAGAGCGAAATGGACACTTAATAGTGGATATGACATTAAAGGCACTCAAAACTTTTGATCCCAATCTTTGAGTCGTTAACATTGTTTACACCAGTTGTGCTTCTTTCTGAGTAAATGGAACACTTTATTATTATTTGATTTTAGTTACTCTTATAGCTGCCATTGTGAAGTCTTTGAAATTTTAATTGCTATATAGCATCCTAGTGGATTCTTTATAGTCTTGAAAATATTTAGGATCCTGTCTCAGGCATAAAAATAAACTGCTCAAAACCTTTTGTCAAGTTTATGCTCGAAGCTATTGTATCCTTTGGGTTATTTTCACAGGCACGGTTTTTAGGCGTTTCTTTCTAACACTGTTGAATTTCTGAACCTTAAATGTGTCAACGGCCATCTGTAGTTCTACTCCAAATATCCTTCCCAGTTGGGGTTGTAATACTCATCTCCCACATTCAGGACCTCGGCTAACTCCTCTCAACCCTTTGCCTGGTCTGGGGCATACTAAATTACAAAGAACAGGCTGAATCTTTTAACGTGGTCTTTTTGCTAGAAAAAGTAATATCACAACGACAGTAATGCATCTCATGTTTTAGTAACAATGGTTTACCCTAGGGAGCATTAACGTCACTAACGTCACTGTGTACCTTAGCAGCTACTTTTCCTCGCATTTTATAATTCCCCTTCCCTCCGCCCCCCGGCCCCACCCGTGGGCAGCATCCCAAAGCCGCCTGGCTGACGTTGGTTAGGGTAGAGACGCCCTCCCTAAAGGCTGTCCAAGCCGTCTCTTCCTTTCATTAGCGGTGTAATCCTGTGTTCCCGCCGGAGCCTGGCACGGAAGTGTAATCTTCCCGCGGGGGCCCTTCTGTCGTCTCGCCTACCTGAGAGCTGAGACTAAATGAAATATAAAATATTCACGATAAGAGGAAACAAAGGATGCTGCCTCCAGGACGGCTACTGTGCCTGAGGCTGGGCTCCTTCTCAGTCATCCCAGGGCCTCTCCGTCTGGCCCCACCCTCGCCCCTCCAGGGGATCCACAAGTTGAATCGCAGCTCTCCAGGGTTAATTGCCCTGGCCGGGAGCCAGACTCCTCACCGCCGCCCCGTTCCCCCCTGCTGGGGAGCGCAGAATGACCACCAGGAGGCCAGGAACAAAACGCTTAAATGTTGCATTTATTAAGGAAATGTTAAATAAGAAAAAAACAAAAAGTCAAAACGGTGTCACGGATGTCAAGAGCACTTTTGTGGCGTAAACCGTGCAGTCACGAGCTACGAGTTCTATTCTGGGTCTTTGTCCCAGGGCCAGCAGGAACGCTAGACGCCTCCCAAAAGACCCAGTGGGAAATGCACTAAAAGAAACAACTCACCCCGTTCAAATTCGCAGGCTCCCCCTCCCCCCACCCCTTCTCCCACAATGACAAAACTGTAACTCCTCAGGCAGGCAAACAGGCCACTGGGGCAGAAAAAGACTTATCAAACATTTGTATTCAAGCAAACAAACACAAAACCTCTTAAAACGGCACGTTACAATCAAAGGTATTTATCGCCCCTCCCCTCCAGGGCAGGGGGGGAGCAGGAGAAGAGTGGGAGCGCACCCGGACACGGATTTGTGAGACCCCATGAGTCTGCTGCGTGGCTTTTAACAGGTCACTCTTCCGGTCACAAGGCGATCAGTGCCGCTGGGTCTCTCCCCTGCCCGCCCTCTCCACCTGCCCCCAGAGCTTGGCCCACCTGCGGGTGGAGAAGGGCCTTCGCACCGTCGGTCTCCCCGCATTCCAAGTAAGTAGCAGCTTCCAAAGTTCTGCGCCCTAATCGCCCTCTTCTTGCCACTTTCTGCTGAGTTCAGAGTCTGGGCGCTCTCCTCCGACTGCCAGGCATGAGGACTTTCAGAGGGCGAGGGAGAAACCGGTCGCTTCTTTCCGAAAGGCCGAAGTCGAGAGAAATAATTGACTCCGACAGGTTTGCTTCGCCCAGTCTCTGATAGTGAGGGGCACAGCCGGGCTAGCAAAGTGGGCAGGCGTGGGAGCGGTTGCCGCGGGGGCAGAGGGCGGGTCAGTAGGGCCCCACGACCACCGCCTCCACCTCCTTAGACGGCCTCCGGTCCTTCACGAGGAAGTTGATCATGCCCTCGGACTTGATGAGCAGATTGCAGCCGAGGAAGAAGATGCCGAAGACCACGGTGAGTGAGAGCACGCACATGACCGCGATCTGCACCACGCGCATTATGTACAGGCTACGCTCGTCCGGGCCTCCCTCCGCGAAGCCGTCGTCGGTCACCACGGACGCCTGGGTGCAGCAGCGCACGGCTCGCTCCAGCGCCTCGCTGCTGTTGGCCAGGAACAGGCCCGCCACGTCCGTCTGGTTGCCTAGGGCCGGATTCATCGCAGGAACGGGCGGGCGCCGCGAGCGGCGCGGGTCCGAGGGGTGGGAAGGCGGCGGCGCTGGAGGAACAGGTGCCGGGCTGAGCGCTCACTCGCAGACTAGCGCGTGCGAGGGCTCCTCGCTCTGCTTTCGAAAGTCCCTGGGCCGTGGGAGTTTCCCAGGAGCCTCTCCGACGCGCGCAGCAGCTAGGCTCTTCTAAAGCCGTCCGCTCCAGCCCTGGTGGTGCTCGTTCCCGGCGCTCGCTCGAGGGGGGGCTGTTGGAACTTGGCGGGGCTGGACCAGCCCGGCCGTGGGAGGTGCGGGCCGCGGCGGCTGCAGCGGCGGGGTGGCTGCGCTGAGCAAACAGCGGCCCCTTCCGGCCGCACCGCCGCGCTGCGCGCTGCTCTTGGGAGGTGGAGGAAGCAAAGGGGCGAACCTGGTCTTGCTTTTTATTGCTTGCTTCTTTTGCAAACTCCAAAGGCCAGGCAGAGGTCACTGTACTCTTCTAGCTTGATGGATGATTAAAGAGTTTGTCGGGGGAGGGTGCGGTCAGCTGAAAGTTTCAGAGGAACTGGGACACACGAGCTCTGCGTGTCCTTTGCCTGCTGCCCCCCTGACCTCTGGGCGAATGGAAAGTGGCGATGAATCGCAGGTGCCAGATGGTGCCGGCTGAGGCCACCCGCCCACTGCCTGTGCTTGACTCCGACTCGCCTGCGTTGGATTTCTAGTGGAGTGGAGGTGATCTGAGAATGTTTCTTACAAAGCAATGAATTTGGAAAGACAGAAAGGCATGGAAGAAGGAAGGAAGAAAGGAAGGAAGGAAAGAAAAAAGGAAGGGAGGGAGAAAGAAGAGCTCTACACCCAGCTTCCTTTACAAAAGCGATTGGGAGACAGAGCAAGGCAGGTTTTACCGTGAGGTTTGAGGCCAAGGAAAGAGGGTTAGAGGAAGGAGGAGTTCTTCTGTGGCCCTTGGGTGGAGGTAGTTGCCGGGAGCAGGGTCACCTCTCTGGTAAAGGAGGTGAACAGAGTGACCACTTGCTTGTAATTTTAATTGCAGATAAGTTTTTGGATGTGCTTCCAGCATTTTGTCCGTTGGCAGTAAATCAGTTGTTGAAGGGAATTGCTCATCAACATCCATCACCTAGAACGCTGGCCAAATACTGGGAGCCCTCCCCATTTTCCATAAGCTGATGTATTTCACCCTTAGTCATTTAAACTAAACACAGATGTTTTTATAGGCCTGATTGACGCTTCAGCCATTGTGATTTTGCTCTAGGTTCCAACGAAATTCTATAAACCTGTCAGATTAAGTTTCTTAACTCTGAAAGAATATTGCATGTTCCCGCTCCCCCTTTTCTGTTTTCTTTCCCCTCCCTCCTTTTCCCCATTACTCCCTGCCTTCCTCCCTCTTTCTTTCAGCTGTAACAGCTGGAAACCAGTAACTTGAGCTTCCAATAGAATACATTTACTTTCTATTAAATGTTCTCACCACAAAGAACTGATAAAAATTTGAGATAATGGGTACGCTAATTACTCTGATTTGATCATTCCACATGTATATGTGTATCAAAATATCACTTTGTACCTCATAAATATGTACAGTTGTCAATTAAAAATAAAATAAAACTGAAAAATAGTAGCTGTCTTGCCATTTTCAACTCTACTCTTAATTTCATTCTGTTTGCTTGGTAAATCCTCTTATTTCTGTTTCTTAAAACATCATTTATTCCATCTTCAGAGTGTTCCTTAAATGTTTTTGCACTGCTTCATGACTATCATAAAATAGAATGAAATGCCTTCTGGTTGAGTTTTCAATTTTTTGATATTTATGGTATATCAGCTGCAATAAGTTTGATTTTTTAAAATAGCTATTATTATTTTGAGGGGGATGTTTAACAGCTGAAAATTCAGGCTTGGGCTTCTACCACAATTCACTGGCTTATTGTTCTAGTTTCCCATAATTTAATTAGAATTGAAAAATACCTCACTCTCGGCAATTTCTTCTTTGAAGAAATTTATTAATAATTGATAAGTAAGAATTTACTTAAATCTCATCATACAATCAGTCTATCTTAGTTAATGTGGGTAGTCCTCAAGAATAATAAAACGTAATGTATACATGGAAAAAATTACAACAAATTTAAGGCAATATAAAGTCATCCTGAGATGAATGGTAGAGAAAAGTAATAGAAATTTAGAAAAATAAAAGGTCAGAGAACAGAGGCCCACCTCCAGGGATCAAGTTGTACAGAACTGTGTGTTCAGTAGAAGTTAGGTGTAAGCAAATGGAGAGCCCCTTCTTTATGTGACAAAAACCAAGAGTTAGTTTATAGTACATTTGTAAGATCCAATATGGAAGGATGCTAAAAGTGTTAGTTGAATCATTATCAGAATTTGAGTATATTTATTGCTAGGAACAGTATTGCTGTTTTCGTCAGGTCAGTGTTAAAATGATCAAACCTTGGAGTCAGGAGAGTTTTTATATTTAATCAAATCTTTGGGTGGGATCTTTTCTCTCAGGTTTAAGGACTAATTAGTCACAAAATTGTTGACAAGGTAATAGGTATTTCCCCCATCAGCTAGTTCAGCTCTCTGGTTTTGTTCAAGACAATCTTGGGATTGTTTCCCTTATTTTCCCTCCACTCTGATTTTGTTTAATAAAATTACTTAGAACATATAGATGGAAATTAATTATAAACTTAGTCATACAAAAATTATATTTATTATTCATTCATTAATTGACTTAAGGGGATCTGTGTTGCTAGAGAAATCTTTATGTTTTACAGAATCCCTTTTATTTATCTTTTCCTTTTGAATTTTCAGTGAACAATTTCAGTTTTTCTCCTTTTATTCACCTGTTTCTTAGGAGAATCTCACAAGTGTGAAAAAAGAAATCTTTAAGAAATGTTGACATTGAAAAACTTAATTTCCAGAAAAATGGATGAACATATGGTATGCAGGGAGCATACTGGTAATTCACTTTAAAGCAAAGATTTTTGATACTGAGAAAGACTAACTGCTGTATTTATTTAACTAGTGTCCTCTTCTACTTCATTGGAAATAGGTAGGTGTGATTTTATGAGAGTTAAAGGCCCAGTATTTTATAACATACATGTTACACAAGGACAGAAACACTGCCTACTCTTTCTGGAAAATATATCCTTGGCCTATAATGCATTCTGTAAAGGTATTTTTACAGAATGCTGATATGGATGGTTGCTGTAATTTATAGTTTGAATAGCCTTGAAGTAGGACCAGATACTCAATGCCAAAAGATTTTTGATTTTCTCTTTTTGTACATTATGAAAATATTAAGCAGATATTTTAAAAAAGGAAATATCAAACATTGAAAGGATATTTATTGCTTTGGGGCAAGCTTTTTAAAAAATAAATTACATTATATTACACAATGTAAGCAGGAGTAAGAGTAAGAACTCAAATTCAGAAGCCACTCATAATAGCAGATTCCATAGCCAAAACATAAGAAAAAAGCCAGAAATAAGCAAAATAGTTTATTGAACCACCAAAATAAATGTCGTAAAAGCTAAATACCTAAGCTCATATATTTCACCCTTAGATTATCCCTCCCCAAATTCTTTCTCAGAACCTACGACTTTGATTTTTCACAGTTTTAACTCACTTCTTTGTCTATTTTTCTTAATGACAGGATATCAGTATCAACATGTGTTCTGAAGAGGAGGAAATGGCTAGGGGGTAGGTGCTTTTACAACCACAAAGAGTAACAACAGAAGGAAAAAACAGAATGTTAAACAGCATACACAGACTTTCTAAGAGTATTAAGTAATAGTTTGGAGACATTTAATATAGAGACAAGCAGTCTAAATGGCAAGTAGACTACATAAAGGCATGGCTTTCAATCCTGTTGTCTTTACTTACAACCATGTAATCTTGGGCATGTTTTTTGTTTTTGTTTTTGTTTTTTGAGATGGTGTCTCGCTCTGTTGCCCAGGCTGGACTGCAGTGGCACGATCTGGGCTCATTGCAACCTCCGCCTCCCAGGTTCAAGCGATTCTCCTGCCTCAGCCTCCTGAGGAGCTGGGCTTACAGACATGCACCACCACACCTGACTAATTTTTTATATTTTTGGTAGAGACAGGCTTTTGCCATGTTGGCCAGGCTTGTCTCAAAACCCTAACCTCAGGTGATCAGCCTGCCTTGGCCTCCCAAAGTGCTAGGATTACAGGCGTAGCCAACGCACCCAGCCTTTTTTTTTTTTTTTAAATCCTCTATGTACCTCATTTACTTATCTGTTAAATGGGGATAACACTTTACAGAATTTTGAAAGGATTGATCTATTCTATGGAAACAACTGGAAAACAGTACCTAGCACATAGCAAGATCTCAAATACAGATATATTGCAATAGTTCCTGAGGTGGACATCAATATGCATAAGTCATTAAATGAAAAAAGCCATTAAATTTTATTCAATAGTTTTCTTCTAAGAAGTCTGGAAAGTGAGTGAAACATTTTAGAAAGATTTCCATATAAAATGGTTGACCTTGGTGAGTAAAAAATGCTAAGGATGTGGAGAAATTGGAACCCTCGTGCATTGCTGGTGGGCATGTAAAATGGTACAGCCATTGTGAAAAACATTATGGTGGTTCCTCAAAAAATTAAACATAAAATTACCACATAATCCAGCAATTCCACTTCTAGGTATATACCCCTCAACATTGAAATCATGTACTTAAACAGGGATATGTATATTACTGTTCATAACAGCATTGTTCACAATGGCCAAAAGGTGGAAGCAACCCAAACGTCCATCAACAAATGAAGTGATAAACAAACTGTGGTATTTACATAAATGGAATATTATTCCGCCTTAAAAAGGAATAAAATTCTTTTTTTTTTTTTTTTTTTTTTTTGATACGGAGTTTTACTCTGTTGCCCAGGCTGGAGTGCAATGGCGCAATCTCAGCTCACCGCAACCTCTGCCTCCAGGGTTCAAGCAATTCTCCTGCCTCTGCTTCCTGAGTAGCTGGGATTACAGGTATGAGGCACCATGCCCAGCTAATTTTGTATTTTTAGTAGAGACGGGGTTTATCCATGTTGGTCAGGCTGGTCCTGAACTCCCGACCTCAGGTGATCCACCTACCTTGGCCTCCCAAAGAGCTGGGATTATAGGTGTGAGCCACCACGCCCGGCCCTGCCCTGAAATTCTTATAGATGTTACAACATGTATGAACCTTGAAGACATTATGCTAAATGAAATAAGCCAGATAAAAAAGAATAATATGGTATGATTTCACTTTTAAATGAGGTACCTAGACTAGCCAAATTCAGAAAGCAGCATGATAGTTACTAGGGATTGGGGAGAGGAGTAACAGTAGTTATGGGTACAGAGTTTGAGTTTGGAATGATGAAGAGTTTCTGGAAATGGATAGGGTGATGGTTGCACAAAAATATGAATCTACTTAATGCCTCTGAATTGTACATATAAAAATTGTTAAAATAGTTTTATGTTTTATGTACTTTACCACAATAAAATATTCTAAATATTTTAAATTAGATTTGAGATAAATATTTACATTTTTGAAAATACAGAACACTTAGAAAATAATCCCCCCAAATGTATTACTCTCATAGCTCAAAGATACTCACCCTAGTAATGTAGACTATTTTTTTCTTTTTACTATACTTATTTGAACATAGCCATGACTATATAGTAAATACAATTTTATACCTTGCTTTTCCTTCTTAATACTACATTTGTCCATGGCATTAAAAACTTATATACACATTTTAGTGAGTATAGTATTCCATTATGTGAACATACTATAATTTATTTATTAAACCATAACTGAGCAGTTATATTGATCTCGAATATTGTTATTGAATTAATTATGCACAAAGAACATTTTTCCTTATAATGTTTCCTATATTTAAATTACACTTTTAGGATGAGTTTACAAATTGAAATTTTTAGTAAAAACTATTATTTTTACAGAAAGCAAAAAGCAACCAAATTGTTTGCCAAAAAAGGTGTACCCGATTTTTACTCCTATTTGTAAAGCATGCAAACACCCATTTTATCCTAATCTTTAGAGCATTAGTTCTCAACTTTGGCTACATGTTAAAATCACCTAAAGATGCTTTAAAATTTTTTATACCCAAACCAAACCCACAATGATTAAATCAGAATTTCTGGAGGTAGGGCCCAAATGTCAGCATTTCTCAAAATCTTCCAAATGATTCAATAGTCTAGCCTGATTGAAAACCATTGTTTAATGTTTTCCAAGCTTGCCTTAAGATCAACTAGGATGGGGATGGGGGATAACTGGTTTCTGCCTCCTATTGCCAGTCAATTGAATTAGAGTTCCCCAAACTTGCTTCCTGGGTCTATCTACTGAGATTTTGCTTTGGTCAGTTTGAGGGGATTCCTATAAACTTGTGTTTTTACTGCATAACCCCAGAAAGACTGTTCTTGAGCACCAAGAGTTATGATTTTTAAAATTATGGTTGCAAGTTTGTCAGGGAAAAGGTGGTACCTTGTTTGAAGTTGCATGTTAGTATTGTAGTGGACAAATTTTCTAAAACTTTCTTATAGGACTGTATATCCTGCTTTGTAAACTTTATGTTCAGGTTCTTTGTCTTTCTCAATTGATATTTTATCATTCATATTGATTTATAATGTCTTCTTTTATCAGATATATTAACCTTTTCGTAAGACATATTTGTAAATTGATTTCCAGCTCATTTGCCTTTTAAATTAGGCTGTATTCTTCTTGGATATATGGAATATTCTTATATATGTAGATAACTTTCATCTGTGATTTCTTTCACTGCTTTTAAACTTAGAAAGTTCACTCTCATCCAGAATTTAATTATTATTTACACACTTCCTTTTTATTAAAAAACATTTTTGATATTTGCATTTGCTTTACATTTAACACAATGGAATATCTGGAAGGTATTTATGTGTAAGATAGGTTTGCCGCCACCCAAACAGTCCATCAATAGGTAAATAATAATGCTGACACAATTTTTGAATTCAGAACTTAAATGAGGGATTTCAGGTATCTTTTTCTTTACAAAGGAAAATATATTACTGGGCCAGGCACACTGACTGACTCCTCTAATCCTAGCACTTTGGGAGGCAAAGACAGGAGGACTGCTTGAGCCCAGGAGTCCCAGACCAGCAACACAGCGAGACCCCATCTCTATAAAAAAATAAAAAGGCTTTAGCCGGGCATGGTGGTGCATGCCTATAGTCCCAGCTACTTGGGAGGCTGAGGTATGAGGATTGCTTGAGCCCAGGAGGTTGAGGCTGCAGTGAGCTGTGATCGTGCCACTGCACTCTAGCCTCGGCGACAGAGCAAGACCCTGTCTTAAAAAACAAACAAAAAAGAAAATAAATCACCTTCCTTTTGTTTTTTTGGTTTTTTTTCCAAGAGTCTTTCTCTGTCACCCAGAGCTGGAGTGCAATGGCATGATCTCAGCTTACTGCAACCTCCACTTCCCAGGTTCCAGCAATTCTCCTGCCTCAGCCTCCCGAGTAGCTGGGATTACAGGCATGTGCCACCACACCTGGCTAATTTTTGTATTTTTGGTAAAGACAGGGTCTCACCATGTTGGCCAAGCTGGTCTCAAACTCCTGACCTTGTGATCCACCTGCCTCGGCCTCCCAAAGTGCTGGATTACAGGTGTGAGCCACCGTGCCCAGCCTCACCTTCCTTTTAATGAAATTTGTAAACTTTAAGCTTCTAAAATGTAGAGACTGTGTCTGTCTATTTTATCTTTTGATTTTAGTATTTATATTCTTATGGCACTCAAAATTATTATGTAATAAGGGTAGATCAGAGGAAAAATAACCGAGGTTGTGGGGACAGCCGTAAAAATTAAACCTCTTCGTCTTTTATTTAAATACATTCCCTCAATCTCTTACCTGTGACATCTGATTACAGTGGACTTCTTTCTGTGGGAGGAGAGTGAAGACTGAACTTGTGTTACCCAGTTGGCTGCACTGAGTCAGGGCTTTCTTTACATGCCAGGCATGTGAAATAACGTTGTGAGTAGTAGCCACAGTGCTCTCTCATCTGTTAATATTTCTTTAATGTCGTTGAAATAAAGGGCCAAAGAAAGCATGTAATAACTCACCCCAAGCTTGATTTAAAAATTCTGACCACTGAGCATGCAGTTTTCCGAATGATACATCATAGACCTATAGCATCCTATTTTTAGATGTGCAGCATAGACAATTTTTGCCTCCACAGAATTTTTGTCATTATTTCACTCTGACTTTCCATGTACTCTTTAAAGTCTGCATGATTTAGACTTTGGAGTGAAAAAGCCACTGAACTGCTTATAATCTTCCATTTCACTGATGTATACCCTCCCATCCTAAGAAACAAGAGTTGCACCAGCTTCAATATGGGGAAAAGCAGGTGGCTGCAAGGAGGCACAAAAGTTGCAATGTCTCCAGTTTATCAGATTCAGCTCGATTAATCAGAGGTGGGATTATATCTGTTTCCATAGGACAAGTGTGTGTTATTTTACTCCAATATTGATTTTAAAAACATGAAGGAGAAATCATCCCAGAAGCAAAGGAGGAAAACGAAATCTCTACAATACCATGTTCAATTTAGACTTGTATATTTGCACTCATGAAGATTTACAACTTCTGCAAGAGAGAAACAATGTAGGTCACCTATTTTCAGATAACAAGCAGGGGTAGCAGCATTTCTGTGTGTATACACTGCTCATAGTGGCAACAATAGTCCAACATTTACTGTATGCACACCTGTGATTCTGCAGTTGACAAATATTAAAAGTCAATGTGATGGATGTCGTTGGGCCAGTCGCCTACCAACATCACTCTGCTCAATTTCCTTATCTGCCAACCATTTCTCTTTTCCCTCCAATATTTTTATGGCAATTAATTAGTGTATTTATCCAGGAAACATTTACAGAGCATCTTATGTGTATAACATTCTCTAGGGGTATAGATCTAAGGGACACAGTCTCTGCCTTCCAGAAATTAGGGAAGCAGATCATGCAAAAAAGCAATTATGGTAGCCTGTGATAAATTCTGTGGGAAATGTATGAAGAGCATGTAATCCAGACTGGGGCACTGGGAGAGTGGTAATGAGGACATGATACATGAGCTGAGTCATGAAGGATAAATAGGAGACAGCTAGCCAGGCGAAGCATGCCAAATGCACCAAGGCATGAGAGAACATGCATTTTACTTTTGTGCATGCAAGGAGTTCTGTATTTTTGGAGTATTGACTATTACAAGTTTGGGAACAATCAAGGAATTTGAAGGGTCCAAATCATGAGGGCTTTGTTTTTTTGCATCTTAAAGAATGTGGATTTCCACTTGAAAGCCATGGGGACACATTGAAGGGCTTTAAGCAGCAGACTAAAAAAAGTCAGATTTGCATTTTAAAAAGAACCTCTGCAGGCAGTCCAAAGGAATATTAAGGTAAATGAAACTTCTGGGAACAGCATAAAGTCTTATACATTACATGTTAAATAAATCATACCAGAGATGCCTGGTAGCCAAAGGAAGGAGGTGGCTTCTCATTTCTAGAAACTCATTTTGTAATTCACTGACAGCAGCATCCAGAACATGAATATCCTTGTTTTAGTTTCAGTTTCTTCAGTTGTGCTGGACACCTTAAAAGAGGACATTGTCACCATGGCAAACCTGACTGAAATGCACAGAGAAGGCACTTCCGCCTGGGGAGCCTCAGTTCTTTCTCTGTGAAGAAGGCTCTTTTTGTTGTAGTCTGTGTCTGCATTCAGCATGTCACATTCGCACACACTGAGCAGTGACACGCAGTCCTTGCTAGGGTGTTCTTTTAGACACTGTTTTTTTCCTCAGCCACCTAGAGCTATAGTATACTGCTCCAAGTGAAGGTTTTGTGATGCTTAACAAGCAATTATTTTTCAGGCTGCTGAGTGACCCACTTTAACCTTAATAGTCACCAGCCACCTCTATGTCCTGCCCAGATAATGATGTTTTTGGTGGGTCTTGAATCTCGCTGATGGTCTGACTGCATTCCACAACATCATTGCTGGAGAGCCTGCCTTGAATTTAATCTCTATGGAGCTGGTGTAATGACATTGTTGAGTCCAAATTCTGTAAGATGCATCTGTGATACATCCAGAGCTATTTCCAGTATGAAAAGACTCAGACAATTGAAAACTCTAAGAAAAAAATAATGGAGCCTGCTATGGTTTGACTGCCTCCCCTCCAAAATTCAGGTGTTGCTAATGTGATACAATTAAGAGGTGAGGCCCTTAAAAGGTGATTAGGCCATAAGTGCTCCTCCCTTATTAGTGGGATTAGGTGCCTCTGCAAAGGAACCTGACGAAGGGAGTTTGTCCTCTCTTGCCATTCTGCCTTCTGCTGTGTGAGGACATAGCAAGCATATTGATCTTGGATTTCCTGGCCTCCAGAACTGTGATAAATAAATTTCATTAATTTAAGTGAAACAACTGAGAGGCAGAAAGTCAAATACTGCATGTTCTCACTTATAAGTGGGAACTAAATAGTGTGTACATATGGACATAGGGAGTGGAATAATAGACATCGGAGACCAGAAGGATGGGAGAGTTGCGGGGGCTGAGGGGTGAGAAATTAATTACCTATTAAATAAAACGTACACTATTTAGGTGATGGCTACACTAAAAGCCCAGACTTCACAACTACACAACATATCCATGTAATAAAACTGCACATATACTTCCTAAATCTATAAAAAACAATAATACAAACAAAAGGCACATGTAAGCATGCTTTCTTTTTTAAAAAATAAATTTTTGTTCTTTATATATTACCCAGTCTGTGGTATTTCATTATAGTAGCACAAAAGAGACTAAGAGCCTCATTCTACCTTTTCAATAATTGACTCTTAAATGTTAAACATCTCTTGATGCTCCCTGTAGTACAAAGATTGTTTGGATAGCACTCAGACATTTAAAGAAAAAGAAGACAGTTGGTGGGGCATGTTTATTTTTCCTAACGCAAGGTTATATTTCACTGTTGCCGTATATCCAAGGTTATATTTCATTGTTGTAGTCAGTAATTACTAAATACAAGTGGAATTACTAATCCCCAACCTATGTTTCGATTAATACAAGATAGGGCAAAATCAAGGCAACCCACCATTTTGGAGAAGGACTTTAAATTAAGGGCATAATAGGTAAGATCAGGTGTATACGAATGGTTCCTAGGAACTATTGGTTCTCAAACCAGATATTTAAGAGTAAATAAATTGTGTTTATAATAGCATATCAAAACTGTTGCAAAGTAAAATTTCTTAGCATGCATAGTTAGGTTATGTCACTCAAAAAGAGGAAGCTTCACTGAGGTGGGAGGATTATTAGAGCCCAGGAGTTTGAAGCTACAGTGAGATATAATCACACCCCTGCACTCCAGCCCGGGCAAAGCAAGGCCCTGTTTTACACACACACACACACACACACACACACACAAACACACAATACAAAACAGGGGCAGCTTCAGCAATGCAACATTCAGTGATGCTGATCCAAAGCAAGTAAGCTTGCTAATGTGTTTCTTATTCTGTCCAGAAGACAAAGTGTCCTGGCGTGTGGAATTCATTTGTTCGGTTCTTGTGACAGGAATATCTGTTAAGATGGCTGCCTTTGGATAATATTCTAATGGTATTAAAAGTTATCTACGTTTTCCATTAATTTACTGGAAAATTTTTTAAAAACTTTAATGTTTTGGATTATTCATAGATAAATATAGACAATATTTTTTAAAAAATGATTGGTATTTTTGCCTGTTTAAGAAATTTTTAGTCATTTTCATGGATAAAAGAGAAATATTTTATTTATTATTTATGTATTTATTTTGAGACAAAGTCTTGCTCTGTCACCCAGGCTAGAGTGCAGTGGCACAATCTTGGCTCAATGCAACCTCTGCCTCCCAGGCTAAGTGATTCTCATGTCTCAGCCTCCTAAGTAGCTGGGACTGCAGGCATGCACTGCCACTCCTGGCTAATTTTTGTATTTTTAATAGACAAAGGGTTTCACTATGTTATACATTTTACAAATGTTGCCTCAACCTCAACCTTCAAGGACAATACCAAAATAAACCACAAATCAGCTTCACTTATGAGTAAATACAAAATTGGCTGAGCGCAGTGGCTCACACCTGTAATCCCAGCACTCTGGGAGGCCCAGGCAGTCAGATCACCTGAGGTCAGAAGTTCAAGACCAGGCTGGCCAATATGGTGAAACCCCATCTCTATTAAAAATACAAAAATTAGCCAGGTGTGGTAGTGGGTGCCTGTAATCCCAGCTACTTGAGAGGCTGAGGCAGGAGAATCACTTGAACTCAGGACCCAGAGGTTGCAATGAGCCGAGATTGTGCCACTGCACTCCAGCCTGGGTGACAAAGCCAGACTCTGTCTCAAAAAAAAAAAAAAAAAATTATAAAGGAATATCTATTAACTCAACCTGATAGTATCGATATAATTTTATACCACAACTATGATTTATTTTAGGAATAAGTGGATGACTTAATACTATAAATCTATTAATATGGGACATACTAATTTGATGTAATATGTGAACATAATTTATCTAATTAGGAGATGAAATGAAAAAAGCAAAATCATTCAAACACAACAATAATTATTCTTTAACTCAGCAATAACAGATTATAGTATGTTAGAAATAAATCATTTCACAATAGAATAAAAATTTAACAGATATACAATAAATATAAGAAAAAATGTGAAGCTTCACAAAGGAAAAGTTTGAAATTTTACTAAGAAACATAAAAGAAGATTTGAGCTAATAACGTACCACATTCCTGGATAAAATACTTAATAGTAAAGACATTAATTAGATTTATAACTACAATGTGATTTCATTCAAAATCCTAAAGGGCTCTGATACTTAGGAAAATAACTGAAATCATTTAGAAAGGGAGATAGTGAGCACAGACTCTCCCTGTGAGAACAAGAACAGTATGGTATTAATGAAGGAAGAGCCATGCCAGAAGATCACATTTGAAAACTCAGAAACACACCTAAACCATATTATATTTATTTATTTATTTATTTATTTATTTATTTATTTATTTCTTCAGACGGAGTCTCGCTCTATTGCCCAGGCTAGAGTGCAGTGGCGTGATCTTGGCTCACTGCAGCCTCCACCTCCCAGGTTCAAGTGATTCTCTTGCCTCAGCCTCCCTGGTTGCTGGGATTACAGGTGCCAGCCACCGTGCCCAACTAATTTTTGTATTTTCAGTAGAGACAGGGTTTCACCATTGGCCAGGCTGGACTCGAACTCCTGCCTCAAGTGATCTGCCTGCCTCGGCCTCCCAAAGAGCTGGGATTGCAGGTGTGTGCTACCATGCCCGGCCGTATTATCTTTATTTCTATATGAAGCATTTTAAATCAAAGGAAGCATTTTGTTAAATACAGAGCCAAGGAAACTGTTTATAAAATACTAAAATTCCAATTCCATTTAAAAAAATAAATGTAAAAGTGACTAAAATGGCAAACTACACATAAAGGAGGAAACATTAGCAAAATACTAGGAGTTCAGAGGATTCTGGCAGAATGATGGTAGTGGGTGGTAGAATAGTTTATGAGTCTTCTCAAATCCAACCATTCAAACACATAGGGAAATTAGGATATGAAAGCCTAACCTGAAGACAGCGTCTAAAACAAGTGGAGGTGACAAGACATCCTCATTAACCCTAAAGTATGAGTGAGTAAGGACAAATTACCAACAGCTACAAGACCAGTGTAGTATCAGCATCTGCAAAGGAGGAAGCAGAAGACAGCCACAGTGTATCTGACAGACATGAGAACACCTGATTAACTAAAAGGTACTAATCCAAAAGTTTAGCAAACCTATTGAAGAACATTAGCTACAACTTTAGAGTTGCTGCTTTGCAGAATTCAATAACAGGTGAGTGCAAGCGGTCTACATAAAAGACTAAAGAAGCTAGCAAGAGAGGCTGAGACATAAACTCTCAGCATTAACCAGCTACATCTCCTTTCAAAGTCCCACACTGCTGGGAATAGAAAACAATTTGAGCATAACAAAAACAACAGAGGAAAAACGAAATAATGTTCACATGAAAGTGCAGATAGGAACAGAGCTAGAAAAACTAAAAAATAAGTGGCAATAGTCTTGACTCAATAGATATTTATGGAATGCTACCCTCAGCAATTGCAGAATATTCATTTTCAGCATGTGTGATACATTCACCAATATAATACATGTGTTGGGTCCCAAAATTAGTTTTACTAATTCCAAAAGTATTGAAATAGAGTATATTGTCTGATCATGGCATAGTTAAATTAGTATTCATTTACAATAAAACATCTAGGAAAACCTCAAATACTTAGAAATTTAACAAACAATTTCTAAATTATTCATGGGTCAAACGGAAAAAAAGAAAATTAAATGCTCAAACTGAATGATAATGTGAAAACAATATATTAAAATGTGTGGGGCATAGCAAAAGTGGTGTTTAGGAAAACACTTAAAGCTTTAAATGTTACAAAAGAAGGACCTAAAATGAAGAGCTAAGGTACCACCAGAAGAAGCTAAGAAAAAAAAGAGCAAAGTAAATAGAAGACGGAAATAATAAAGCTGAGAGCAGAAAGTAATGAAATAGAAAGCAGGCAAACAATAGAAAAAATTAATGCAGAAACCTGGTTCTTTGAAGATATCAACAAAATTGATAAGCACCAAGCAAAGATGATCACTGTTTCACAGAGAGAGAGAAAAGGAGGGAGAAAGGAAAAATTGCTAATATTAGAAATGAAAGGTCTTACAAATATTAATGGAAAATAATAGAATATTGTCAACAACCTCTATTTCAAAAATTCTACAACTTAAATGAAATGGATAAATTTATTGACAAATGTAACAAACACAATACGAAAATAAAAATTTATTTAAAATAATTTCGTTTTAAATCAAAAAGCCTTCTTACTCAGAAATTTTCACATGATTTCACTGGTTAATTCTGTCACAATTTGAAGAGGAAATAAGACCAATCTTACACAGCATTTTTCAGAAAAATAGGATAATAATAAAGAGGGAACATTCTCCAACTCATTATATAAGGCCAGCATAATCTTAATAGAAAACCTGACAAAGATACTACAAAAATAAAATCATTATAGATGAATATTCTTATGAATATAGATATTAAAATCCTTAATAAAATATTAGCTAATCAAAGCCAACAATGTATGAAAAGGAAAATATATTGGACCAAGTAGGGTTTATCCCAGTAATTCAAGCTTGGATTTCACATCAAGAAAAAAAAATCATAGTAGTTTGTTGTATTAGTTCATTTTTGCATAACTATAGAGGAATACCTGAGATTAGGAAATTTATTTAAAAATGAGGTATAATTGGCTTACAGTTCTATGGGCTATACAAGCACGGCTCCACCATCTGCTTTTTATAAGGTCAGAGGATAGGGGGCTCATATAAAAGCAACAAATACATTTTTGTATAACAGCAACAAATAACATTTAGGAATAATTTTAGCAAAAAAAAAATGAACAAGACCTCTTCACTTACAACTATTGAACATCACTGAGAAAAATTTAAAAGGCCTATGTAACTAAAAAGATGTACCATGTTTACACATTTCCTTTCTTAGTATTGTTAAAATTATAATTTTTCCCAATTGTGTGTATGTATTTTTCCCAACACAATTCCAATCCAAATTTTCCACAGACTTTAAAAAAGTATAAATTTATCAGATGACTCAAAAATGTATGTAGAAATCAAAATGACCTAGAATACTGCGGGCAATTTAGAGAGAAAATTAATTTGGTGGACATGCACTATTTTAAATGTGGTTTGGCAACAAAAGGATAGATATAAAGGTCAATATAATAGAATAGAGGGTCTAGAAATAAACTTATACATATATGACCAATTGATTTTCAGCAAGTACCCCAAAACAATCCAATGGGGAAGGGAACATTTCTTTTAGATGTTGCTAGGATAACTAGATAAATACATGAGGAAAAGTGAACATTTACCCTTACCTCATACTGTGCTAAAAAACTAACAAGAAATGGATTATTAATATAAATGTAAAAAAGTAAAATTATAATATTTCAACAAAGAAATAGAAGAGAAACCTTTGTGACCTTAATGTAGGCAAAGGTTTCTATGAAAGGAAAGTATAAGTAATCCAAGAAAAAAATGGTAACTTAGATTTCATCAGAATTTAACAACTTTGCACTTTGAAAGAAAACTTTAGCAAAACAAAAGAAGTAAGCCACATAGTAGGAGAAAACATACATATCCAGAATATATATAATACTCTTTTGAGTCTATAAGAAGACCAGAGACCTAATAAAAATGAACAAACTATTTGAATAGATACTTCTTAAGAAAGATGTAAAAATGTCCAGTAAATACAATGGAGAAGATTCACAATATCTCAATTGGGAAAATGCATTTAAAATCAGAATGAGATAATACTACATAGACTAGTTAATCTTGCCTACTGAAAATAGACACAATTTTACTTCTTTTTCTTGATTATTTTGCCTTTCTTTTTTTTCCCTTTTATTACAATGACTAAAACTAAAAAGAATATACTAAGTGTTAGTGAAGATGTAGAACAACTAGAATTCTCATACATCACTGGTAGGACTACACAATGGTACAATCCTTTAGAAATCTGTTTGGCAATTTCTTAAAATGTTAGACATTCACCTACTATAAGCACACCCCAGCCTGGGCAACAGAACGAGACTCTGTCTCAAAACAAACAAACAAACAACAACAACAAAAACAACAACAACAAAATAAAAAGACTAATTCATTTCACTCCTTGGCATTTACCCAAGAGAATAAAAACATTTGTCCACAGAAAAATGTATCCAGGAATACCAGTACAATAATAGTAGCTTACATCACAGGAGCCCAGATCTGGAAACAACCATAATTGCAATAAAGACATAAATGTATAAACACATTTTGTTTCATGAATTCAAAAAAGTACTCAAAAAAACAAAACAAGCAAACAAAAACCAAAGGAACCTACTGATGCAAACAACATATTGGATGAATCTCAAAATGCTGATTGAAAAAATTCATACAGAAAAGAGAACATACTATTTTGTTTTGTAGATATAAAATTCTAGAGAATGCAAACTACTAATCTATCATATCAAAACACAGAACAATGGTTTCTGAAACAGTGGGGAGGGAATCATGGAATGCAAATGGGACCATGACACTTTTGTTTTCTGTCTTGTTTGTGATGGCTGTTTTCTGTGTAATACACATTGGTCAACACTCACTTGAGAGGAGTAATGACCTTCCATTGAGGGAAAAGTTAGCCTGAGGTAACCTTACAGGAAAGGAGCCAGGAGAGTAAATATCCAGACCTCACTCTTCTTGGGCTTGTTAGTGTCTTGGCAGGCAGAGTTCCTACTGGCTGAACTGACAGGAAACCAAAGGTTATAGCCCTGCCGATGGTGTCCAAACAAATCAGTCTCTAGCAGCAGCATGAAGAGTGGGGAAGGACAGAGTGGAACCAAAGAAGGAAGAGATGCAGCATTGATCATTTGCCAATGTTCAGATTATATTTTAGGGTTTGATTTTCTCCAAGCCCCATTAATAAACGTTATTGCAATATATTCTTCATAGCATTGTTCCATTTTCTTTAGCTCAACGAGTTCACATAAACCATGGTTTATCCTAATAGAATGGTTTCTGGACCTTTCCTTTTTAAGGAATCCCTAATGGCAGAGGGAGATAAATACTTAACTCTTAGGAAATCTGGGAGCATGGCTTGAAATTTACTGTATACATCCAATTTCTTCTAAGTCTCTTTTTGTTTGTTTCAGCTAAATAATTGATGTGAGTTTTGAATTGCACTGCATAGAACATTTGTTTGATATTACATCAAAGTTACTTACAAAAAGGAAAAATCAAACTAAAAAATATCCTGACTTTGTAAAATAGTTTTTTTCAGATCAATTTCCAGTAATTGGGTAAAAATAAGATCACAGATTTTTTTCTAATCTATAAAATATTAACAGCCATAAATATTAAATCTTCATATTCCAAGTAGCCACTGTTATTTCTTCTACTGCTTTTCATTAAACCTGTTAGGTGGGAAACCACTGTTTCTTAAGAATGTATCTCTTGGCTGGGCACAGTGGCTCATGCCTATAATCCCGGAATTTTGGGAGTTCAAGGTGGGTGGATCATCTGAGGTCAGTGGTTCAAGACCAGCCTGGCCAACATAGTGAAACCCCATCGCTACTAAAAATACAAAGAAAAAAAAATTACCCAGGTGTGGTGGTGCACGCCTGTAGTCCCAGCTACTCGGGAGGTTGAGGCAGGAGAATCGCTTGAACCCCAGAGGCGGAAGTTGCAGTGAACTGAGATTGCACCACTGCACTCCAGCCTGGGCGACAGAGCAAGATTTTGTCTCAAAAAAAAAAAAAAAAAAAAGAAAAAAGAAAAAAAAGAATGTATCTCTCATTAAGACATAATAGGTACTGCATTCCTCTTTGAGATGAAATTCACATTCAAATAGCGGACACTCTGAGAAATTCTGCAATTAAAACATGCCTGTTGGCTTTTTAATAGCCAAAATTTTTTTCAGACTTATTTGACTGTGGAATTCTTTTCTGCTAAACACCTATTTACATCTCACGGAGCACTAAATATAGTTGATAAATGTTGCTCGAACCTAAGGAAGCACAAATAATAAACCACCTCAAGTATATAAGTTTTTTCAAATGAAGATTAGCTGTTTCTTTTGGGGCTGGTGTCTGTTGCCTAATTCCTTTATGAGCCTCTTCTCTATGTTCCCACAGTTCTTTATGTGTCCTTCATATTTTATGTCTCCTGCTGCTTATTGGTGCTTGACACACAGAAAGCATTCCATAACTATGTATTGGATTTGGAACACATTAAGTTCATTAGCTACTTTTTATTTTCTTTACGTTTCTCCCGCATTTTTTTTTTTTTTTTTTTTTTTTTTTTTTTTTGAGACAGAGTTTCACTCCGTCTCCCAGGCTGGAATGCGGTAACATGATCTTGGTTCACTGCAACCTCCGCCTTCCGGGTTCAAGCAATTCTCCTGCCTCAGCCTCCTGAATAGCTGGGATTATAGGCGCCCACCATCACGCCCGGCTACTTTTTGTATTTTTAGTAGAGACGGGGTTTCACCATGTTGGCCAGGCTGGTCTCGAACTCCTGACCTCAGGCGATCCGCCCGCCTCGGCCTCCCAAAGTGCTGGGATTACAGGCGTGAGCCACTGCACCTGGCCATGTTTCTCCCAGTATCTTTTAGATTAGGGACCATCTGTTTACTCATCAATGCAAACATTCAGAATTTGGAAAAGAAAGAGTCAATAAAAAGAAAAATGAGAATGTTGCTTTGTAGGTTAATGTATAGAATTGCTGTGAGAGTTCAGAAGAATTCATTTTTATTAGTACAATGGCCAGATACAAGCAAACCTGCCGCTGTCGGGAAATGTGCCTGGAGATTATTTTGTACTCTTACTGATCTTGCCTATAAGGAGAGTAAACAAATAGATCAAGTTAGAGCCAACACTTCAGGTCATGCAGTGACATCTAGCGTGTGTAGGAAACAGCATTTTGGAATCACATGGTCACCTGACTCTTAAAAGATACAACCTTTTTAAAAAATCTTTCAAACGTTTTGTCTTAAAATTGTAAAGCAAAAATAGTGTCATGGGATCCTTGGGGTGTCACTTCGCCAGCTGGAAACCTCTGTGGCTGGCGGCACCTTCTGCTGAATATATCTTGTGCCCACTGGGCTTGTTCCGCCCTTGAAGGCTGGCAGG
Organism: Homo sapiens; assembly: GCF_000001405.40. NCBI lineage: Eukaryota > Metazoa > Chordata > Mammalia > Primates > Hominidae > Homo > Homo sapiens. The sequence goes on from NC_000002.12 coordinate 153,498,378, forward strand.
CTGTGCTTGGCTAACGCTATTGGCCCAGATCCCATACTTGCCAAGGGCGAGCCAGGCGCAGAGCAGCTAGGGGTATGTAGGCGAGTGAGCACGGGGTCCAGCCACTTTGCACAGCCAGGCATGCTGGCTGCTGTGGTGGGGCGGGCAGCTACAGGTGCTGGTACAGGTGCCACTTCTGTGTGAGGCTGTGGCTGGACCAGATGTACCATGTGTGGCTTCCTCTGCGGGCACCCACATCTGGACAAGGGGAATGCAGTGGTGTCCAGAAGCTTGGAGATGACAGGAACTGCAGAGCTCCAAAGAGGTTGTCACAGCCCTGGCTCGGGGAACCCCTAGGTCTGCCCTCCCTAAAGGGCCGCAGCTCTTCTCTCCTTCTCATTGCCTGAAATGCGGTGAGCAGGGTTGGGGGGTGTGTTTCAGCCCTGTTTGTGTTACAGCTCTTTCAATCCTGCCATTTGGTGGGTCCTAAGTTCGTTCTTTTTTTTTTTTGAGACGGAGTCTCGCTCTGTCACCAGGCTGGAGTGCAGTGGCGCGATCTCCGCTCACTGCAAGCTCCGCCTCCCGGGTTCACTCCATTCTCCTGCCTCAGCCTCCCGAGCAGCTGGGACCACAGGCGCCCGCCACCACGCCTGGCAAATCTTTGGTATTTTTAGTAGAGACGGGTTTCACCGTGCCAGCCAGGATGGTCTCGATCTGATCTCCTTACCTCGTGATCCGCCCGCCTCGGCCTCCCAAAGTGCTGAGAATACAGGCGTGAGCCATTGTGCCTGGCCAGGTCCTGGGTTCTTATCTTGCTTTCAGGAAGAATGAGGTACACAGACAACTGGAGGACGAGCAAGGTGAAGAGGAGCTTCACTAAGTGACAGAACAGCTCTCAGGAGACCCAAAATGGGTGGCTCCTTTCTGCAGGCAGGTCATCACAAAGTTTGTTCGAGTCTGGCTAAGTCTGGGATTTTTATGGGCTTAGAAGGGAGGAAGTGCTGATTGGTTCATGAGTGGACATGGGTGGGTCTGGAAAAAGTCCCGTAAGTTCTCACTCTGGTTTATTAACTTCACCTGGAACTGACAGCCTGCTCCCCATGCTTCAGGCCGTCACTGGCTTGAAGGTGGGATTTCACTGGGGACCTGCCCCTTTCCACCCAGGAGCCTGTCTGCCTCCTGCCACCATCAGTCATGTCGTCCATGATGCCCAGGCTTTTCATGCCGAGGAATGCCCGCAGACCTGTGCCAAGCCACCCTACACTTCACCTCAGCCTCCCTCCTGTGCTCATCGCACCCAAATTCCAGAGGGGGCTGAGGGGGCAGGGGGCTGGCATGTAAGCATTGCCTTGGGCACATGCATATCCAGCTGGGTAGTGACAGGGCCCAGGCTTGGCTTCAACTTTGCTCTGAAATCAGAGCATCCACCTGGAGCTGGGAGAGGCCAGGCAGTGGGAGCAGGCACTTCTGAGCCTCTGGGGTTAGGGGGCTTCCCAGTCCCCTGAGAGTGCAGGGATGCCTGGGTGCACAGCTGCGGCTGGGCAGCTGCAGCTGAACCCAGGAGTGCAGGGCTCCCACAACTCCCAACTTGGAAGGGGCCAGCTCTCCCGCCTGCTGCTTGTTCCCACCAGCTCCCTGGAGTGCACAGCTCCAGCCATGCCTCCCCCACTGCAGCTGGCATCCCCACAGGTGGCTGCTCCAGATGGGCTGCTGCTGCCATCAATCCCTCATGTGAAGAGGTACATCTAACTGTCATTAAGATAGGGATGATGCCTCATCTTAATTGCTTCATAATGACAGGGGGCATGTTTTGGGGAAAACAGCAGTCAGATCTCTCAGAGGCCTATCTAAGGGTTCCCAGTAAAAGGGAGCCATCATCCATGGTTCCATTTGCATGACCATTTGGAGTGTGATGGCCTGAAGACAAGAAGAGACAACTGGGTTATTAGAAGACATAGATCAAAATGAAACAAGAGGGTAAGGACAGCTCAAAAGTCCTGAGGCTGCTGACACACCTAGATAACTGGTAGCTACAGTTGTGCTTGCTAAGACTTGGGTGCATGGAGATTGGCTTCAGTTAGCTCCTTGGTCTTATTTTTTCAAAAAAGAAACCTGCGGGTTATGAGGACCACATTTAACCCCATCACCTGGCAGCGTTTGCAGGATAATTGCCCAGAATTAGAATATTGGTCCAGATTTTTACATTATGTATCCCTTTTGTTTCTTCTGAGCTGCAGTTAGAGATCACTGGTTGGTCACAGGAATAAGCAGGCTTAGTCTAAAATGCAGACAAAAACTTAAAAACAACTAATGAGCATCTGTCAAAGTCCTATAGCTGATTATAAACTATCTTTAGAAGAGGATCAAACAAGAGGATCAAAACAAGACAACAATTGTCTGTGAATGGCAAAATGTTTTAGGGTAGTCACAGTCAAAAACCTGATTGACAAAGAAATTTGGTTATTTCTGTGGTTTATAATAACATAATAACCCTAGTTATGATTGATAACATATACTCAGACATTAAAATTTAGAAATCTCATACAATTTTGGAACATATATTAATATTATTCACAAAAATATAACTGAAAAAGATTAAGCCTTATTTTTATTTTGACAATCCCATGTAACTAAGCACATCAAATAATCCTGTTTACCTGTCTTCCGGATATTTCAGGGGCCCTCTGTAGCATCCCAAAGTTACCAGTAAAAAAAAAAAATATATAAATTTGAAATTTCATTTTGGGAAGCCTATCAAATATATTAAAGGTTTAAAACACTTGATATTATGAAATAGAATTCCAGATTACCGTAAGTCATTTATTTAGCCAAAATGATGACTCAAAAATTTTCAAAGAAGGCAAAGCTTTTACTCATGAAGAGGGAAGACTTAGCTTTTCAGTCTGTTTTCTTTCAGTAGTTTAGTTTCACCTCCTTTTTTGTTGTTGTTGTTGTTTGCTTTTTGGTTTTTTTTGTTTTTATTTTTATTTTTTGAGATGGAGTCGCCCTCTGTCGCCCAGGCTGGAGTGCAGTGGCACAATCTCGGCTCACTTCAACCTCCACCTCCTAGTTACAAGCGATTCTCCCACCTCAGCCCTCCTGGTAGCCAGAATTACAGGCGCAAACCACCATGCCCGGTTAATTTTTGTATTTTTGGTAGAGACAAGGTTTCACCATGTTGGCCAGGCTGGTCTCAAACTCCTGACCTTAGGTGATCCACCTGTCTCGACCACCCAACATGCTGGGATTACAGGCATGAGCCTCCGCACCCGGCCACCTCCTTTGTTTTTCCCAAGGAGTCCCTGGACATCAGAAGTTATCTTAGGGCTTCTCATATGTGCATTAAGAGAGCCAAGATAAAATGGAGAAAAATAATTCAGTCGACTGAGAAGAAAAAAACTTTTTTTAAGAAAAACAAGATCCACAAAGAGAAAAGACATAAAGGCTTTTGAAATATAACTACAGCTTGGCTATCCGCTTTTAATTAAGCTGGCTTTTAACCATAGCACTCCTTTTAAAATAAGTCCTTTTAATTCTCTTATTACCCAACCTTAGCCACGCCAAATGGCCAATACTTCTGGCTTTTGAACTCACGGAGGGGCAGAGAATACAGTAATTTTTACCATTCCTACAACCAGTTTGCACAGAGAGAGACAAAGCAGAAGTCTGACTAGTAAGAAAAGTTAAAAAAAATTATTTATTTTTTGTGAGGCATTTTATTTATTTATTTAAATTTATTTTTATATTAATAGGTTTTTGGGGGAACAGGTGGTGTTTGGTTACATGAATAAATTCTTTAGTGGTGATTTCTTAATTTTTAGTGTACCCATCACCCAAGCAGTGTACACTGTACTCAATGTGTAGTCTTTTATCCCTCACCCAACTCCCACCCCTTCCCCCAAGCTCCAAAGTCCATTGTATCATTCTTAAGCCTTTGCATCCTCATTACTTAGCTCCCACTTATGACTGAGAACATGCAATGTTTGGTTTTCCATTCACAAGTTACTTCACTTAGAATAACAATTTCAAATTCCATCCAGCTAGCTGCCAATGCCATTGTTTTGTTCCTTTTTATGGCTGAGTAATAATATTCCATGATATATATACCACATTTTCTTTATCCACTCATTGATTGATGGGCATTTGAGCTGGTTCCATATTTTTGCAATTGCAAATTGTGCTGCTATAAACTTGCGTGTGCAAGTCTCTTTTGTGTATAATGACTTCTTTTTCTCTGGGTAGATACCTAGTAGTAGGATTGTTGGATCAAATGTTAGATCTACTTTTAGTTCATTAAGGAATCTCCACACTGTTTTCCATAGTTGTACTAGGTTACATTCCCACCAACAATGTAAAAGTGTTCTTTATTCACTGCATCCACACCAACATCTACAATTTTTTGATTTTTTGATCATGGCTATTCTTGCAGGAGTAAGGTTGGTATCACATTGTGGTTTTCATTTGCATTTCCCTAATAATTAGTGATGTTGAGCATTTTTTCATGTTTTTTGGCCATTTGTATGTCTTCTTTTGAGAATTGTCTATTCATGTCCTTAGCCCACTGATGTGATTTTTTTAAATTTCTTGCTGATTTGTTTGAATTCTTTGTAGATCCTGAATATTAATCCTTTGTCAGATGTGTAGATTGTGAAGATTTTCCTCCACTCTGTGGGTTGTCTGTTAACTCTGCTGATTATTTCTTTTGCTGTGAAGCTTTTTAGTTTAATTAACTCTCATCTATTTATCTTTGTTTTCGTTGCATTTGCTTTGGGGTTCTTGGTCATGAAGTCTTTGCCTAACCCAATGTCTAAAATGATCTTTTCAATGTCATCTTCTAGAATCCTTATGGTTTCAGTTCTTATATTGAAGTATTTGACCCATCTTGAGTTGATTTTTGTATAATGTAAGACGATGAGGATCCAGTTTCATTCTCCTGCAGTGGATTGCCAATTATCCTAGCACCATTTGTTGAATAGGGTGCCCTTTCCCCACTTAATGTTTTTGTTTGCTTTGTCAAAGATCAGTTGGCTTCATTTCTGGGTTCTCTATTCTGTTCCATTTGGTCTATGTGCCTATTTTTTTTTTAAATAATTAATTTATTTGAGACAACGACTTGCTCCGTTGCCAAGGTTGGAGTGCAGTGGCAAAATCTCAGCTCACTGCAACCTCTGCCTCCTGGGTTCAAGCTATTCTTGTGCCTCCACCTCCTGAGTAGCTGGGATTACAGGTGTGCACCACCATACCCGGCTAATTTTTGTATTTTTAGTAGAGACAAGGTTTCACCCCGTTGGCCAGGCTGGTATCAAACTCCTGGCCTCAAATGATCCACCCACCTCGGCCTCCCAAAGTGCTAGGATTACAGGTGTGAGCCACTGCACCCAGCCTATGTGCCTATTTTTATACAAGTACCATGCTGTTTTGGCAACTATGGCCTTATAGTATAGTTTGAAGTTGGGTAATGTGATGCCTCCAGATTTGTTCTTTTTGCTTGGTCTTGCTTTAGCTCTGCAGGCTTTTTTGGTTGCATATGAATTCTAGGATTTTTTTTTCTAGTTACATGAGGAATAATGGTGGTATATTGATGGGAATTGAGTTGAATTTGTAGATTGCTTTTGGCAGTATGGTCATTTTCAGAATATTGATTCTACCCATCCACAAGCATGGGATGTGTTTCCATTTGTTTGTTTGTGTTGTTTGTGATTTCTTTCAGCAGTGTTTTGTAGTTTTCTTCTTAGAAACCTTTCACCTCCTTGGTTAGGTATATTCCTAAGTATTTTATTTTTTGCTATTGTAAAAGGGGGTTGAGTTCTTGATTTGATTCTCAGCTTGGTTGCTGTTGGTGTATAGCAGAGCTACTGATTTCTGTGCATTAATTTTGTATCCTGAAACTTTGCTGAATTCATCTACCAGTTCTAGAAGCTTTTTGGATGAGTCTTTAGAGCTTTCTAGGTATACAATCATATAATCAGCAAACAGCAACAGTTTGACTTTCTCTTTACCAATTTGGATGCTCTTGATTTCTTTCTCTTGTCTGATGGCTTTGCCTAGGACCTCCAGTACTATCTTGAATAGAAGCGGTGAAAGTGGGCATTTTTGTCTTGTTCCAGTTCTCAAAGGGAATGTTTTCAACTTTTCCCCATTCAGTATAATGATGGTTGTGGGTTTGTCATAGATGGGTTTTATTACCTTAAGGTATGTCCCTTCTATGCCGATTTTGCTGAGGGTTTTAATCATAAACGGATGCTGGATTTTGTCAAATGTTATTTCTGTGTCTATTGAGATGATCATATGATTTTTGTTTTTAATTCTGTTTATGTGGTGTGTCACATTTATTGATTTGCAGATGTTAAACCATTCCAGCATCCCTGGTATGAAACCCACTTGATAATGATGGATTCTTTTTGATATACTGTTGGATTTGGCTAGCTCGTATTTTGTTGAGGATTTTTGCATCTATGTTCATTAGGGATATTGGTCTGTAGTTTTCTTTTCTTGTTATGTCCTTCCCTGGTTTTGGTATTAGGGTAATACCGGCTTCATAGAATGGTTTAGGAAGGATTCCCTCTTTCTCTCTCCTGTCGAATAGTGTCAGTAGGATTGGTACCAATTCTTCCTTGAATGTCTGATAGAATTCAGCAGTAAATTAATCTGGTCCTGGACTTTTTTATTGGCAATTTTTTAGTTCCCATTTCAATCTGGCTGCTGGTTATTGGCCTGTTCAGAGTTCTATATCTTCCTGGTATAATCTAGGAGGGTTGTATATTTCCAGGAATCTGTCCATCTCATTTAGGTTTTCTAGTTTATGTCCATAAAGATGTTTATAGTAGCCTTGAATAATATTTTGTATTTCTGTGGTATCAGTATATCCCATTTCATTTCTAATTGAGCTTATTTGGATCTTCTCTCTTCTTTTCTTGTTTAATCTCACTAATGGTCTATCATTTTATTTATCTTTTCAAACAACCAGCTTTTTGTTACATTTATCTTTTGTATTGTTCTTGTTGTTTCAGTTTCATTTAATTCTCTGCTCTGATCTTTGTCATTACTTTTCTTCTGTTGGGTTTGGGTTTGGAATGTCCTTGTTTCTCTAGTTTTGTGAGATGTGACCCCAGTTTGCTCTTTCAAACTTTCTGATGTAGGCATTTAATGCTATGAATTTTCCTCTTAGCACCACTATTGCTGAGGTTTTGATGGGTTGTGTCACTATTATTGCTCAGTTCAAATAATTTTTAAAAATTCGTTTCATTGTTGACCCAATGATCATTCAGGAGCAGGTTACTTAATTTCTATATATATATATGCATGGTTTTGAGGGTTTTGTTAGGAGTTAATTTCCAATTTTATTCCATTGTGGTCTGAGAGAGTACTTGATATCATTTTGATTTTCTTAAATTTACTGAGACTTGTTTTGTGCCTTATCATGCGGTCTATCTTGGAGAATGTTCCGTGTGTTAATGCATAGAATGTATATTCTGCAGCTGTTGGTAGAATGTTCTGTAAATATCTGTTAAGTCCATTTGTTCTAGGATATAGTTTAAGTCCATTGTCTCACAGTTTACTTTCAGTCTTGATGACCTGTCAGTGGAGTATTGAAGTCTCCCACTATTATTGTGTTGGCATTGATCTCATTTCTTATGTCTTGTAATAATTGTTTTATAAATTTTGGAGCTCCAGTTTTAGGTGCGTATATATTTAGGATTGTGATATTTTCCTGTAGACTAGAACTTTTATCATTATATAATGTCCTTCTTTGTCTTTTTTTATTCCTGCTGCTTTACAGTTTGTTTGATATATGAATAGCTACTCCTGCTTGCTTTTGGTGTCCATTTGTATGGAATATCTTTTTCCACACCTTTACCTTAGGTTTACGTGAGTCTTTATGTGTTAACTGAGTCTCCTGAAGACAGCAGAAACTTGGTTTGTGAGTTATTATCCAGTCTGCCATTCTGTATCTTTTAAGTGGAGCACTTAGGCCATTTACATTCAATGTTAGTATTGAGATGTGAGGTACTATTCTATTTGTCATGCTATTTATTGCCTGAATACCTTTTTTTCATTGTATTATTGTTTTATACGTCCTGTGAGATTTACTGTTTAAGTAGGGTCTATTTTGCTGTGTTTCCAGGATTTGTTTCAATATTTAGAGCTCTTTGAGCAGTTCTTGTAGTGCTGGCTTAGTAGTGATGAATTCTCTCAGCATTTGTTTGTCTGGAAAAGATGTTATCTTTCCTTAATTTATGAAGCTTAGTTTTGCTGGATACAAAATTCTTGGCTGATAATTGTTTTGTTTAAGGAGGCTAAAGATAGGACCCCAATCCCTTCTAGCTTGTAGGGTTTCTGCTGAGAAATCTGCTGTTACTCTTATAGGTTTTCCTTTATAGGTTATCTGATCCTTTTGCCTGACAGCTCTTAAGATTCTTTCCTTTGTCTTGACTTTATATAACCTGATGACTATGTGCCTAGGCAATGAACTTTTTGTGATGAATTTCCCAGGTGTTCTTCAGGCTGCCTGTATTTGGATGTCTAGATCACCAGCAAGGCCAGGGAAGTTTTCCTCTATTATTCCCTCAAACATGTTTTCCAGACTTTTAGATTTCTCTTCTTCCTTGGGAACATCAATCATTCTTAGGTTTAGATGCTTAGCATAGTCCCAAACTTCTTGGAGGCTTGGTTCATTTTTTAAAATTCTTTTTTCTTTGTCTTTGATGGATTAATTTGATGGGTTAGTTCAAAAGCCTTGTATTCAAGCTCTAAAGTTCTTTCTTCTGCTTGTTAGATTCTATTGCTGAGACTTTCCAGTGCATTTTGCATTTCTCTAAGTGTGTTCTTGATTTCCAGAAGTTGTGATTGTTTTTTATTCGTTATTTCACTGAAGAATTTTTATTTCGTATCCTGCATCATGTGTTTTCCTTCTTTCTTTCCTTCTTTTTTATTTTTATTTTTGGAGATGGAGTCTCACTCTGTCGCCAGGCTGGAGTGCAGTGTGCTATCTCAGTTCACTGCAAGCTCTGCTTCCCAAGTTCAAGCAATTCTCTTGCCTCAGCCTCCCAAGTAGCTAGGACTACAGGCCCGTGCCACGATGCACAGCTAAGTTTTGTATTTTTAGTAGAGATGGGATCTCACCATATTGGCCAGGATGGTCTCTATCTCCTGATCTCGTGATCCACTAGCCTCGGCCTCCCAAAGTGCTGGGATTACAGGCTTGAACCACCATGCCCAGGTGATGTTTTTTATTTCTTTAAGTTGAAGTTCACTTTTCTCTGGTGCCTGCTTGATTAGCTTAATAATTGACCTTCTGAATTCTTTTTCTGGCAATTCAGAGATTTCATCTTGGTTTGGATTCATTGCTGGTGAGCTGGTGTGATCTTTGGGGGTGCTAAAGAACCTTGTTTTGTCATATTACCAGAATTGTTATTCTAGTTCCTTCTCATTTGGGTGGACTACGTCAGAGGGAAGATATGGGACTGAAGAGCTGCCGTTTAGATTATTTTGTCCCACATGGTGTTCCCTTGATGTGATGGTCTCCCCATTCCCTTAGGGATGGGGCTTCCAGAGAGCCAAACTGTGGTACTTGTTTTTGCTCTTCTGGGTCTGGCCACCTGGAAGAAGCTACTGGGCTCTGGGTTCGTACTGGGGAGTGTCTGCAAGGGTCCAGTGATGTGATCTGCCTTCAGATCTTTCAGCCATGGACACCAGCACCTGCTCCAGTGGAGGCAGCAGGGGAGTGAAATGGACTCTGTGAGGGTCCTTGGTTGTGTTTTTGCTTAGTGTACTGATTTTGTGTTGGTTGGCCTCCAGCCAGAAGGTGGCACTCTCAAGAGCACATCAGCTCTTATAGGGAGGAAGCAAACATGCCCTAGGGTCGCCTGGTTATGTATTCAGGTTTCTCAGGCAGTGGGCAGGGCCATAGAGCTCCCAAGAGATTATGTCCTTTGTCTTTGGCAACTAGGGCAGATAGAAAAAGATCACCAGGTGGGAGCAGGGATAGACATGTCTGAGCTCAGACTATCCTTGGATGGGGCTTGCTGCAGCTGCTATGGGGGATGGTGGTGTGGTTGGTTCCTAGGCCGGTGGAGTTATGTTCCCACGTGGAGTATGGCTGCCTCTGCTAAGTCATACAGGTCACCAGGGAAGTGGGGGAAAGCAGGCAGTCACAGATCTGACTCTACACCCATGCAGCCCACAGTCCTAAAGGCTGGTCTCACCCCTACTGTACTCCCCCAACAACACTGAGTCTACTTCCAGGCAGCTGGTGACCAGGGCTGAGAACTTGCCCCAACTACCAGCCTCCCCGCTGATGAAGCAAGTTGACTCACGGTTTTTTAGCATCTCAGGGAGCCTGCAGCAGTGATCCAGTTCCTTCAAAGGGTTTATGGATTCTCTCAGCTTTCCTGGTATGTTGCTGCGGTAGTTCTTGGAGCAAAAGCTCATGATGTGAGTCTCCGCAGGCTGCTCTGTCTCCCAAGTGGGAGCTGCATGGTAGTCCTGACTCCTATCTGCCATCTTCCCCCCTATAAATCTCCTAAGAACTTTAACCCTTTTGCCGGCATGTCAAGTTTCTGGGTTCTCTTCCTCTGAGCCGTTAGCCCTATCACCCTGGAGTCCTGCGAAGGTGAAACAGACAAAGAAGTTGTCCTTCCCCAAGAGATTGGCAGGCAGTTTAAGGTTTGGGGAAATTAAACCCTTCCCAGTTTGGGGGATGCATCCGAGGGAAGTGTCTTGTGGTTATAGAAACGTGATTACCCGTCCAGGAAGAGAGGACAGAGGAAGAAAGAAGGAAATAGCGGGCGCTGTGTGTGGGGAGAGGCCAGGCAGCGGGAGCAGGTACTTTTGAGCCTGCGGGGAAACAGGAGCTTCCAGGGTCCCTGAGAGTGCAGGGCTGCCTCAGTCAGCAGCCATGGCTGGGCAGCTGCAGCTGCGTCAGGGAGCTGGGGCTCCCGCCCTGCCAACTGAAAACGGGGCGGGGCTTCCACCTGTTTCTGGTTCCCACCAGTTCCACGGAGTGCGCAGACCTGGCGGAGCCTCCCCTGCTGCAGCTGGAGTCCCCGCAGCGGCTGCTTCAGACGGGCCACCGCTGCCATCAATAGTGATTCCTTTGCTTATATTTAAGAACTTGAAACTGTTTTAATAAATAATTAGAATATTTAAAAGCACAGACCATAAAGAAAAACCCTAGATGAAATGTTTAAAGAAATGTTGTAAATAAATTAACTGAAACTTCTTGTTAAAAGTGTTATTGTAGATGGTCATTGAATTGCTTCTATATAGATAGGAGGTGTCAAATTCCAGCAATCAACATTTAACTCTCTGTGTATGTGTGTGAACTTGGTTGAGCCAGGCGTAGTGAATAATAGTCACTAATTACAACTACTTTCTTCCTCTCCCAGGGCTAGACCATGCAAAGCTTTGGCCCCTAAGGGACTCAGACCTGACTCTAGCAGAAGGCCTTTTATGTTTGCCTCAGGGGATTATAAAGTTTTTCAAGAAGCCTAGTTTCATTTCATTAATTGGTGATGGAAAAATCTCGTAATTAAAAATTTTTAGATACAGGGCCTAAATTTGTTTTCAGTGAGACTTATTTTTACTACTAAGTATATTTTTATCTCATTTTTACACTGCACTATGTTGTTTGATTGCACTTATTTGAGAAATATTTTGGTAGCAATACCAGGACTTGTCTTAAAGGAGCTGTGACCCTTTAGGGTCTCAGGAAATTTAGGAAAGAAACAGAGTATCTAATTGCAGGCAGAAAATGTTCCAGCCTAAGCATGACTCAAAGAATGCAAATCTCACAATGATTTATTTTAAGCCACAATATTGCAATATCATTTTTAGTCTGTCCCAATTTCATCTCTCCACCCAAATCCGAGAGATGTTCCTAACAAAAGGGACAAGGGTAAACGTTTCTGGGGGTACGTATTGTTTCCAAAAGACTTGTCTGGCCCTTTGATATTTTATTACTACAATAACTCCACATAAGCTACGGCCAGAATCTTGAGCTGGACTCATTTACTCAATACGTGATTACTGAGTGTCTAGGATAAGCCAGGAACCATTCCAGGCTTAGACAGAGACCCTGCCCTTAAGAAGCTTGTATTCTATCTGAGAAGACTGGAAACAAACACGTATATAAAGCCAACACAGGTAACAAGGAGTGTAGGCTAAGGAGGTGCTATTTTATGCAGACACACCAACGTTGCCAGGAATTATCAGCCTGGCGGCACATTAGAATCACCTGGGAGTCATGAACAAAATTGACCAAGCCTTTCAACTCACCTTCAGCGATTCTGCTTTAATTAGTCAGAGATTCTGATTTAATATGTTGAGGCCTGGGCTCTGTTGTAGTTTAAAAACTTGCCAGGTGATTCTTATGTGCAGCCAGAATTGAGAAGCTGTGGTCTAAAATAGGAGGGATAAGGACGTATCAGCAAAAGAGACAGAGACTGTGGTTGGCGAGGTAGGAAGCAGACAGGAGAGCCGTGGTGTAGGTTTCAACTGAAGAAAATGTTTCTAGAAGGAAAGAGTTACCCAGCAAATACAAGCAGAAGGAGAGAGTGGGCCACTCTGTGGTATCTCGCAATGGAGCAGACACTGTTGGACAAGAGCAGATTCACTGGAGAGGTAAGGATGAAAGACTGACCTAGGAGTTACAAGAGGGAGCGAGAGAAGCAGAGAGAAAAAGAATAACTCTGTCCAGACGATTTCCTTTATTTGGGAGCAGAGAAAGGGGTGGAAGGAGGAAGAGGATGTGGAGTTGGAGGAGGAGGATTCTTAAAAAATCTATTCATGCCTTTTGATAGGAGCTATTAAAGTACATTTGTATGGTCCTGGGAATGACTCAGCAAAAAGGAAGAAATTGTTGAGATAGGAGAAAGAAGAAATTTCTAGATGTCCTGGAATGTGGTGGAAGAGTTGGGGTCCACTGCAAAAAAAAAAGGGGCGGGGGTTGGCTATAGATTAGGGATGACCCAAGCAGGTTCCTATAGATTAGGCGTGATTCAAGCAGGTTCCTGTTACCTGTGGATGGGTAACAGGTGAGAAAACCGAGCATGGGGGTATAGATTCAGTAGGGTTTCAAGAGATGTGGAACTCCTTTTCAGATTATTTTTGTATTTCTTTTATCTCCATGAAATAGAAAGCCAGGCAGGGGAATGCGTTAGAGGTCTGAGGGAAGAACATAACCACTCTAGGAAAAAGGGAAAGTTATTGGATCTTGACCACAGGAGGTTAGTGTTCATGAAATTGAGTTTATGCTAGTTAGCGTGATTCTGTATTTTTCACTAGCCACAGTCAAATGTGTTGGGTACAAGTTCAGAATAAATGAAGTGGATAACAAGATGACTGATTTTGCCAGGGTTGTAGTTTTGCCAAGTGAGTACTATAAACAAGACTGAAGCGGGAGTTTTATGGGTGAGTATAAAGAAGTATTTATATTGATAAACCATGTAATCCCACATTGGTAAGAGAAAATTAAAACACAAAGGAAATGAGAGGTAGGGATAGGTGGTCAGCCAAAATAAATTATATCCCAATGGGGTTGAAGAGGAACTGGAGTCTGGAGTCCAGTGTCTGGGAAAGATAAGAGGTTGTAGGCAAAAAGGAAAGTTCTTGAAAGGAAGATTATGGAGAAGGCACAGTTATTGGTAATCTGCGTATGTATGACCTACAATGTAACCATGGGGAGAGGGGCTGAGATATGATAGGGTCAGGGTCAATGGAGGAGTTGGGGATAACTGAACGGGGAAGTCATGGAATTGGAAGGCTTACCTATGAGGACATTGAAACCACTAAAACCCATGGCGGGGGAAGCACTGAAGAGAAAGACGGTTATTCAGATCCAGATCTTCAATGAAAGGGAGGATGACCCTAGAGTTTGTAGTTGACTGCCACAAAGCAATGTGGCAGGTGGTGTAGACTTCAAAACTGGGTTTTTAGAGAAGAGAGGGTCAATTGTTTGAAAGCAAAAATGAGAAGTATGAAGAGCACCTACACCACTTCTAGACACCATGAACAATACCCGTGGAAGTAAAAACAGCCATGCTTCGTGAGGGCTACAGACTTTTTACACTAGATGAGAGTGAAAGCAGTATTTGTAAATTCATTGACAGCAGCAATATGTCATGGTGGTTAAGAGTGTGAGCTCTGGAGCCTAACTGTTTATATTCCAGTCACACTTCCTTTGCTTACTAGCTTTGTGACATTAATGCCTGAGTGCCTTGTCTTCTTTATCTATAAAATTGGGAGAATAGCAGTATCTGTCTCCTAGGGTTACTGTGCAGAGTAAATGAGTTAATACGTGTTAAAACACTTAGGATAACACCCGGCACATATTAAGAGTATGCAGTTAATAAATGTTAGCCATAATGATGATAATTAGTCATTTTTAATTTGCTTTTGAGGGGTAAAAAAGATTATTATTGTTGTTATTATTATTACTCATTTTTAATTTGCGTTTAGGGGACAGAAAAACAGATGCCTGGCAAAGAATGAGTAAAACTGTTTTCTGCCCAGCTGAGTTTATTCCAATTTCATTTGAACATTTGGTCCCCATATGATATACATTAGGTTTCTGTAGCATCAGTTCCCTGTAATATTAATTGTTTTCAACACATGTTATTTGCTAATTTAAAAAAAATTCTAAAATATTCTGAGAAAAGAAATTGTAAATAAGGGGACGATCTGTTGGATGCTTGAGTCCCCAGCATAGTATTGAATTTTAACCCATAGCGTAAAATAAATACCTGTTGAGTACATATGATAGAAATAAATAATTGGATAAATTAACTTCCAGGTTTTTGTTTTTGTTTTCAGACTCTCATGTGTTCTTCTAGGTGAAATATATTTCTCGTAGACAACTTATTCATCGTCCTTTTCTCTTTCCCATTTGAGTGCTTCTGAATCTTATTTAATTACTTTCATAGATTCATATTTATTGAAATTGCTGCTTTGGAAACTTAACTTTGCCATCTTATTTAGAGAAGTTGATTTTCCACAAGTCCTATTTGTTTTGTTTCCCTTACTCATTCCCCTAAACACATCAAATTATCAGACTCAAACTTGTGCTGTTTTCTTTTTCTTATTAATCACTAATGCTTGTCAATATCTATGTCTATCTCCTGAATAAGAAAATAATCTGAGCAAATTTTCACTTCCTTAGGTCACTACCACCTACCCTCTTCCTCAGTTAGTTTGGTGCCTAAGTTTTAGTTGTGTTTATTTTTCCATTGGTCATCTTTCTCTAGAGAACAAAACACTTCAGTAATTCCATTATTCCTTTACTTTCATACTTGTTTCCATTCCCATACCTAGGGCTTTTCCCACCACTCAAGCTCAGGGGAAGTCCATGGGTTTGGGATCTAGCTGAACTGGAGGCAAACTGACCAAGGAGGCACAGGAAAGCAGAAGCTGGCAGACAAACCCTTCTCATTTCCTAACCCGGAAGACACTTGCCTGTCTGGAATATAATAAATATAACTAAGCCTCCAGCTGCGGTTTTCTGTGTGTTTGAAGCGTAGAGAACTTGGAAACACACCACCTGTACTTGCTTTCCCTGCTTCCTTTCTTTACTTTCCTTTTCCTCTCATTCTTGCCACCCTAGAATTGTAGTTTCTAAAAGATCTTTAACCTGTAAGGTTTGTCTCAAGCTCTATTTTCTAGGGGATATTAAAAACATTACATTATTTCCAATCTAAAGTTTTTAATTTTTTTTCTCTAATTCTGGGGAATTCATTTTTATTATTCAAATTATCTTGTTTAGTCTTTCTTAACACTTTTATTTTCATCCTCATATATCTTATCTCCTTTCTTTCCTCTCTTTAGCTCTTACCCATTCCTATTTGAAGAGTTTCTTGCCATGACATTCCAGCTTCTGAAATCATTCTTTAGGCCTATCAATTTTTTAAAACACATCCATTGGGTTATTTATTTCGGTGACTATATTTCTCAAGCCCACTGTTGCCAATTGATTGTTTTCATACTTCATCTTCCTGCTTCATTTTGCTCATATTTTTCCCATCTCTCTGAAAGCATTTGGTCATTTTATATTCTTACTCTTTTTGTTCCATTTGTTAAAGTTCTGCTTTTGTAGTGTCTTGCCAAACCTGTCAGTCACTTTTTGCCAAGAATGGTAACCTTGAGGGAAGGATAAAAGCCTGGGCCCTGATTTCTGCTCCTGCAGGAGAGTTGAGGGATGTGAGATGAGGACCTTTTACGGATGGGCATTTCTGGGTTCACATCTCCCCTCTCTTCTCCTCCGCACTCTCCATCATTCCTCGCTCCAGAGGAACTTACCAGGATTTCTTGCTCCAGTCCTCTTCATTATCCAGGTGCTACCATTCATGTTGCAATTGCCTATGGATTTTTCAAGGGGTGGGGATAAGGGACACTCAGATGCTTGTTCTTTATGCTATTGGCTGCTTCCTCCATGCTTTTGGATACTTGGTTGGATCCTGCAGTGCCTAACAGGTGCTGTGCTGAGAATGCTGCTTTAGTGGCCAATCATCCTGGTCAGTAATCGGGACGGGACAATGTGGGAAGAGCATACAGACAGAATGTTCTCCCTCTGCCCACCCACTCCTCCCCATCCTGTTTCCTCTGTCCTTCTCCAGGAAATCCAGAAGATGTTTATTGCTTCCCACCCAAGACCCCTAAGGGTTTTTAAGTGTTTTGGTTGGGAAGATGCTGAGAATCACCCTAAGATCCATTAACCTTTCTGTTTTTCTGGTCCATCTCCAGGTTTGGATGTTGGGGGAGGGAGGGATATTGTAGCCCAAATTGGTTCACTGTCTTTTCTCCACTGGCAGTATTAGAGGGGTTTAAACCCTTCAGTGACTTTCTTTAAGATACATCCTAAAGTGTAAATCACTTGATAGGTCATAGAAACCATAACCCTGATCTGGTCCCTCTTTTTCCCAGCCCGATGACCCCACCTCTCTGCCGTAGCTCCCTCTGCTCCTGCAGCAAATAGTCCTTTGCCGCTCATTGAACACATGCTGTTATTTCAAGCTTCTGTGCTTTGCACTTTCAAGTCCCTTTGCTCTGAAAACCTTCTGGCTTTATCTGCGAAATTCCTAGAATATGTTTACCCATTCTCCCACCATCAGCAAGCACTGAACAATCTTGATCATTTATTCAGGAGACAAATATTTGCCAAGCAACAACCATGTACCAAATCCTGAGAAATAAACTAAGGCAGCATCGGTGAGCAAGGTAGCCCGTGCCTTCTTAAAACTTCTACTGAGAAAGACAGCTTGGCGATTGACATGCAGTTATAATAAATTTAATAGCTAGACGATTAAGTATATGATCCTATGGGACCACTTAGTGGTGGTACCCAGTGCAGTTTACGGGAAGTAGGGAAGGCTTCCTGTACTAAATAACCTCTCATGGGTTAAGTTATGCAGAAAAAATGATCCAGAAGGTGTTCCCTGCTAAGAGAATGTTATATGTTGAAAGACACTAAGGTGAAAAAAAAAGTATGTGAGGAATTAAAGGATTCTCTTTGGCTGGAATATATGTTGGAAGAGTGGCAAGAGGCTGGATAGATTAGGTGCCAGCTCCACTATGGCTGCTGTTAGACGTGATAATATCTTACCAAAGGGCCATGACAGCAACTGAATGTTTAAATTTATTTTTGAGAAATCATTCTGCCTATTGCATACAAGAAGAACCGTAGGGGCAACTGTAAGACAAAGACCAGTTATGAAACTGTTGCATTTAATTCAAATAAATGATATGACTTGGATTAGAGTAGTTGAGGGCAAAGTTCTCATTATTCTATGCCACTTTGATCTACCATTATTGTACTTATTGCACAGTATTTTAATTATTTATTTATCAATATGTCTTCAAAAGTAGGCCTGAACTGTTTAATATAGCTAATATCCTTTTTGGAGTATGGATTCTCAGTGCCTGATAGTGCCAAAGTCCTCAGTAAACAAACACCTGTAGAATGAATGAGCGAATTATCTTACTGGATGATTAATTTGGCAGGATTGATTAAGGAGGTGGAGAGTTTGAAGGCAGGGAACTGACCAATTAGGAGTTAGGAGACTTTGCAACAGCTAGGAATGGGAGAGGATGTGTTAGATTTTGATAGGAATAAAGAAATGTCATTTATAGTAATAGGTTAAAAAGAGAAGTAGAAATAGAGTTTTGGGGAGATTACAAGTTAGGTGGTAGGAAGAGAGGGAATTTCCTGTCTGGTTTCTTCTGTTTCCTTAATGAAATATGAGAAAAAGGGCATGTGATGGAGGATGGGAGGATAGAGAATAATTGAAGTGAGAGAGGATGTGAAATGGCAATTTTATAGAGGGAGAAAGGGAAAATTCTCCCTAGGAAATTGTAGTAGCATCATGTGCTGAGTCCCATTTTTGTTTGACAAATAGTTAAATAATTGAAATAATTAAGCATGAATTCCATTTTTAAAAACTCAGATCTATAGGATATCAAAAAAGATCAGGTTCAGGGCCAAAAGATATGCTTTTATACTTCCTTTACTCCTTCCCACTTCTCTTTACACAGTATTCAAGTGCTCTCTTATCCTCCCCACAAATAACTTACTCTCTTGTAGGGTTTAGTTTTTCCTTACCTTCCACCTCCTTCTCCACTCTTTATTTTTTAATTAGTAACTATTTTTTCCTCTGAGTTCTTAGTATGTGTGTCCCACTATGGCCAGTCTTCTCTGCTCAGAATTTGGTTCCAGGTGAGAGGCTCAGAGTCTGGGAAAGAAAATCTGTGGGGTTTGCTATTGCAAGGGACTAGTGGTAGTAGGTGGGTTAGTCTATGGACATTCCCACCTTCATTTTTATCATGTCATAAAAAATAGTACATATACTCTCCCTGCCTTTTAGAACAGTAGGTCTCAACCATGAAACTGTATATGCTTACCTCTATGGCTTTTAAAATATTCAGTGGCTTCTTCAGGAATTCAGATTCAATAGACCCTGAGTGTTTTCAAAAGCCCAGGGGGTGAAACTAATACGTGCTCTGAGTTAAGAATTACTTTTCTTACTCGATAAAAGGAACCAGAGCTTCTAGGAGAAGTGATTGACTTCAGCGCTGGGACAAGAAAATATAGTATGAGGTTTGAAACCCTTTATGGTGCCAGAAAGCAGAGAAATGTTCAGAAGAGAGAGGTTTGTCAGAGAAACACAAGAGACAAACCTGAAGGAACTAATGGCCAACACTGGAACAATTCGAGTCAGAAAATATTGATAGTATTGAATTTTACCCATGGAATCAAGCAAATTTCCATGAGTCCTTACTACTATAAATGAATAATTGAATAAGTAAATGGGAGCTACAGATAGCTCTTCCTCACAGTAGAATTTCCATTAATGTAGAAGGAAAAGGGAAATAGAGAATCACCATTAGGCAGACATCATAGTAACACATATTGTAGATAAATATCCACCAATGTGTGCTAAAATCAGTTGGCAAAAGTTTGAAGAGAAAGAGGATGTATATAGTTTCAAGGTATCTCCCCTAGGATGCTCATCAACTACAGAGAAGAAAATAGTAAATTTGCAGTGGAATAACCAAATACACAGTGACTGAAGTGACCAAGGTAAACATCCCCAATAAGAAGACATATCAATAGCATGAAACACTTGATATGATGCACTGAGCAGGACACAACATGATTTAAAAAATGATTCGTGCCAGAAATGAGTATCATCTTTATGGTGCTGAGAAAACATGGTAGCTCAGGACAGTCACACATTTTCTTCTTCCTGGATATACTGCCCTCAACTCCAGACCCCTGTCCAATACACACACCCTGGCCCTTCCTTTGGTAGGTTCTTATTTTTTCAGTGTTCTTCCAATGACTTCAGACATGTTATCTGACCAATCCAAATATGTTCTTCTATTGTTTTTCTCATAGTTCTTTCTTCGTAGCCCTTATCATAATGAAAGTCACACACAATCTGTCTCCTTGTTTAGTGCTGTACTGCATGCTCTTTGATGGGAAGGACCATGTATATTTGTTCATCCAGGATACTTGATACCTGACATGGTTTCTGAAATGCGTATGGAGACTATAAAGATTTTATAAAAATGAGAATGAATAAGTGGAGAAACAAACAGAAGAAAAATCCTGTTTCTGAAGTAGAAATCCAAAATATACTAAGAAAACAAAGTCACAAGACATGGGCTTGAATCATGTCTGTTACTGACTTTATGTGACTAGGCAAGTATATTTTAAACCTCTTTGTATTCTAGGTACTGCTAAATTTATAAAGTAAAGGGTTTGTATGAGTTCTTAGTATTGGAGAAAGATTATTATTTTAAATTATAAAATTGTTATTTGAGTTCAATAACTAAAACTAGAAGTTACTGAACTAGAATAACTATAAATATCTATTAGATGGTGAAATATCTGGTATCTGGTTCTATAAATGTTTAGTGGGTTCCTAGAACAATAATTAACTTCTCTGAGCCTTTTCTTATCAGTCCCAGAGATGGAAAATGGGTTTCATATGAATTGAGAGCTCTACTGAAAAGGCTAAGAGCCTTGCATTGACTCAGCACAATACAGTACTGTAATTGGGTACTGTGATTTCTGACTTGGGCACAAAAGGGTGCATAAGACATATGCTAGCCAGATCATTTCCATCCTTGGAACAAATGACTTACTATATTCTTTAAATTTCTGCTAATTATGTCATTCTATATATGTTAAATTGTTGCTAAGCCATAGACTAAGAAGTTAATGGGTAAGTCTATTGTGTCCAAGGCTCCTAGGACTTTTAGAAACCCCTTTAGCTTAACTTTACTACAAATTGCTGCTATTTCACACGTCCAAACAGGATTCTGTTGATAAACTGTAAAATCGATATTTTCCATTTAAACGGCTTGATTTAATAATTCACAGGGTTGATAATGTTTATTACAAATTTTGATTGTTGATATTGTTAGCAGAGTTAATCTATCAATCCTGCAGGTCTAACAATTTCCTTTGAGTTCTGTGCTGAAATGAAAACAACTGGGCACAGCATGCCATAACACACCAAGTTAAAAGGATCAGGAAGAGTCTAAATAGGAAATTACAGTCAACAGGATAGTACAAGTATTCTTAGATTTCCAATTGGCTAACAATGATGGATTGCAGCGCCACCTGCTGGTCAGAAGCATTGTCTTTTTTTTCTTTTTAACTGTTTTATGATTTTGTTGCCCTTTCATGGGCTTTTTGCTTGTATGTCATCTATAAATGTAGGGTTTATTTAGATAAAGTTTCTTCTTCAATCAGTTGACAAATCAAGCCATTCTGTTGCTAGCTCACTTTTGCTATAAAAGATAGAGCAATAGGCTTCAATGGGAAATATTTCTTGTGATTAAAAATTCTCAACCTTATTTTTTCTCCTATTTTGTATTACAAATAGAATCCCCCTGTAAGAAGCTAAAGTTAGAGGAGTCACAAAAATGGAGTGACAAGGCACCATTGGAATCCATTACATTTTATTCCTTTGGGTTTGTTTTAGCACTTCAAGTTTAGTATTATTTCTTAGGTAAATCCAGAATATCTGGAGTGTTCTGGACATGTCACAAATTATGGCTAGCAACCCAGCAGCATATAATGTGGCCTGAAGATCTTCGTTTTCTTAGAGTCTGACTGCTTTGATTGGCTATTACTAACTGCAGATGTGGTCCATCTTTAATCTCTCTCCCTGTAGGGCTGGCAGCAAAGGCACCAGATGCTAAATTAAACTATTAAACATATGATGATGTTAATATGAGCCAGACATCTTCCTGTCTTACTAGAAAAAAAATTTACTCATTTAAAAATAATATTTAACAACATATTTGAGTTATTTATTTTAATGATCTTTGCACATATAATTTTTATTTCAGGCAGTAAGGTACCTTAAGGAATGGATAATTGTTGCATCTGTTTCTCCAGAGGTCATAAAAATAATACAAACACTAAGCAATTCAGGCTAGTGTAGATCCTAATTGGTTGGGAAGGTTAGCAGCTAAATTTTGTGATCTCAGGGCATCATTTGAGGTTCATAATTCTTCAAAATTTTCTGGTGACCAAAGAACACAGATATCTTTTCAAGCTTAGTTTGGGCTTTCAAAATTTTATGAATTGTTGGCTTCATTGAGAATCTAAAGATTTATTCAAAAATGCAATCTGAAGAAATCAGAACTCAGTCTGACCTCAGGAATGCTTCATTTCTTTATTTCTTTATTTTCTGGTCAGAAAAGGAGAACTCATCAGAGGTTCCCATGGAAGAGTTTTATCTTAATGCTCGAAAAATAAAAGTAAATGCTGAGAGGTTGGCGCATTGGCACCTAACATTTTCCTGCTATTGACTGCCCTACTGCTTTTCATTTCTCTTATAATTTATTTCAAAGACATTTTCTCTTCTATTTTGATTATTCCCAAAGTGATTTTAGAACCCTTTTAGTGGTACATTATTATCTTCATAAATTATTAGAATATAATAATCAAATCTGAATAATTTCCTTTCCGTAGACAAAAGTACATGAACAGAAGAGACCATGAGATATGTAAATCATAAATAGGTTATTTTGTTGATGAATATGAGCTCATGGAGATAATTGAATAGAGATTTCTTTTAAATTGCACATTTTATTAGTGAATGTTTATACATTCCCTATAGCTCCCAAAATTCCTTTTGGTGCATGACAGATTTAATTTTAACCCTATTTTATACTTTTAAAACATGTTATTATTTTACTTTAAAGGAAGACAGTGATGTTTAGGAAGTACACCTGAAAGCGCCATATAAAGTATCCTTGTAAGTTATATTTGTTCTATGTTACAGATGTTTTAAAGCATAGTCCTTCTTCTGAAGAGCTCCAAACATTCTTTTAACTCATTCTAATTTTTCATTAGTGTTTTCATTCTAATTAATTTACACAGGACCACTATGGTAGTGGATGATAAATACCATTAGGTTTTTTTTTTTCCTAATGGAAAAGCTTTACCATAAAGTTTTAAGTTGCTTGCCTAAGTTCTTATTGTCCAAAAACATAAACTACATCAAATTTTTAAAAGACTATTTTTGAGTAGTTTTAGGTTCAGGGCAAAATTAAGAGGGAAGTACAGAGATATCTCATATATCCCTTCCGTCTACACATGCACAGCCTTTCTCATTATCAACATCCCGTACCAGAGTGGTACATGTTATAATTGACGAACCCACAATGACACATCATTATCACCCAAAGTCCATAGTTTACATCAGGCTACATTCTTGGTGTTGTACCATCCTGTGGATTTTGACAAAGGCATAATGACATGTACCCACTACTATAGTATCATACAGAGTATTTTCATGGCCCTCAAAATCATCCGTATTCTGCCTATTTGTTCCTCTCTCCCTCTACTCCTGGCAATCGCTGATCTTTTTTGGTCTCCATAGTTTTACCTTTCCTAGAATGTCATATAGTTGGAATTATATAGTATGTAGCCTTTTCAAATTGATCTCTTTCCCTTAGTAATATGCATTTTATGGTCCTCTGTGTCTTTTCATGGCTTGACAGCTCAGCTCATTTCTTTTTAGTGCTGAATAATATTCCATTGTCTGGGTGTACCACAGTTTGACCATTTGCCAACTGAATGATATCTTAGTTGCTTCAAAATTTTGGAAATTATGAACTAAACTCCTATAAACATCTGTATGCATTTTTTTGTATGAATATAAATTTTCAGCTTCACTAGCTAAATAAAAGAGGAGCACATCATGCCTGTAATCCCAGCTCTTTGGGAGGCCGTGGTGGGCAGATCGCTAGCTCAGGAGTTTGAGACCAGCCTGGCCAACATGGTGAAAGCCTGTCTCTACTAAAAATACAAAAAATTAGTCAGGTGTGGTGGCACGTGCCTGTAGCCCAGCTACTCAGGAGGCTGAGGTGGGAGAATCGTTTGAACCTGGGAGGTGGAGGTCGCAGTGAGCCCAGATCGCGCCATTGCACTCCAGCCTGGGCGACAGAGTGAGGCTCTGTCTCAAGGAGAAAAAAATAAAGAGAGAGAGAGAGTGGCACAATAAGTGAGAGTGTGAGAAGTGAGGCACAAAACTAAACTTACTCATATGCTAAGAGTAAGTTTAGTTTTGTAAGAAACCAGTGTACTGTCTTCCAAAGTAGCTTTACTATTTGCATTCTTACCTGCACTGAATGAGAGTTCCTGTTGTTTCTGTTGGTGGTGGTGTTTTCATTCTGGATTTTGACCATCCTAAAAGGAGTATAGTGGTATCTTGTTGTTTTAAATTTGCATTTCCCTGAAGACATATGTGGAGCATCTTTTCAGGTACTTATTTTCCATGTGTACATCTTCTTTCGTGTGGTGCCTATTGAGATATTTGGCCCCCTTTTTAATTGGATGTTTTCTTATTTTTGAATTTTAAGAGTTCTTTGTGTATTTTGGATAACGGTGCTTTAATAGATATGTCTTTTCCAAATATTTTCTCCCAATCTGTGGCTTTTTGATTCTCTTCATAGTGTCTTTTGCAGAACAAAAGTTTGTAGTTTTAATGAAGTCCAATTTATCAATTCCTTCTTTCATGGATTGTGCTTTTGGTGTTGTATCTAAAAAGTCATTGATAAACCCAAGGACATGTATGTTATCTCTTCAAAGGTTGACAGTTTTGTGTTTTACATTTAGGTCTATGATCCATTTTGAGTTATTTTTTGTGAAGGATGCAAGGTCTGTGTTTACTATTTTTTTTTTTTTTTTTTTTTTTGCATGTGGGTGTCCAGTTGTTCCAAACACCATTTGTTGAAAAGATTCTCCTTTCAATTGCGTTGGCTTTGCTCCTTTGTCAAAGATCAATTGACTATACAGGTCTATTTCTGGGATCTATGTTCTCTTTTGATGATCCAAATTTTTCTGATTACTGTAGCTTTATAGTACATCTTAAAGTCAGGCAATATCAATACTCCAACTTTGTTCTTCTTACATATTGTATTGGCTATCTGAGTCATTTACTTCTCCATATGAACTTTAGAATCAGTCTGGTGATATCTACAAAAATAACTTGCTGGAATTTTGACTGGAATTGCATTGAATCTATGGACCAAGTTTGAAAGAACTGACATCTTAACAATATTGAGTCTTTTGTTCATAAAAACAAAACATCTCACCGTTAATTTAGTTCTTTGCTTTCTTTCATCAGAGTTTTATAGTTTTCCTCAGATAGACCTTGTACATATTTTGTTAGATCTGTACTTAAGTATCTTATTTGAGTGCTAATGTAAGTAATATTGTGAGTTTAATTTCAAATTCCACTTGTTTATTGCTGGTAGAGGGGAACGTGATTGACTTTTGTATATTAACCTTGTATCTGGCAATCATGCTGTAATCACTTACCAGTTTCAGAAGAATTTGTTGACTCTTGAATTTTATATATGGATAATTATATCATCTGTGAACAGAGTTTTATTTCTTCCTTTCTAATCTGAATATGTTTTACTCTTTTTTCTTCTCTTATTGCATTAGCTAGGACTTCCAGTATGATGTTGAAAGGCAGTGGTGAGATGACCTTGTTCCTAATCTTAGTGAGAAAGATTTGAGTTTCTCACTATTAAGTATGATGTTAGCTGTAGGTGTTTTGTACATATTTTTAAGTCAAGTTGAGTTATATATTTCCCTGTATTAAACATTTACTGGGAATTTTTTTTAATCACAAATGGGTGTTGGATTTTGCTACTTTTTCTGCATCTATTGATAGATTCATGTGTTTTTGTTTGTTTGTTTTCTAACCTGTTGACGTGATGAATTACATTACTTAGTTTTTCAAATGTCAAATCACCTTTGCATATCTGGCATAATTCTCACTTGATTGTGGTATATAATTCATTCTATACATTGTTGAACTCAATAACTGATATGTTGTTGAGGATTTTAAAATTGATATTCCTGAGAAATATTGGTTAATAGTATTCTTGTAATGTCTTTTTCTATGCTGGCTTCATAGAATAAGTTAAGTATTCCTTCTCTTTTTTTTTTTTTTTTTGGTGGAGCAAGATGGCAGAATAGAAGGCTCCACCAATTATTCCCCCTGCAAGGACACCAATTTAACTACTATCTACACACAAAGAACACCTCTATAAGAACCAAAAGTCAGATGAGCACTCACAGTGCATGGCTTTAGCTTCATATCACTGAAAGAGACACTGAAGAGGTAGAAAAAAAGTCTTCAATTGCCAATGCCACACCTCCCCCATCTCCCTGCAGTCGTGGGTGGTGTGGGGAGCATTTCTGTGTGCTGGGGGAGGAAGATGGCAGTATTTGTGAGCAGTGCAGTCCTGTTACAGTGGAAACGAAAGCCAGATCAAACTTGGCTGACTTATACTCATGGAAGGAGCATTTAAACTAGCTCTAGCTATAGGGGAATTGCCAATCCCAGCAGTTGAAACTTGAGTTCCTACAAGCCTGATCACCATGGGCTAAAGGAGCTCTGGGGCTCTAAATAAATCTGAAAGGCAATCTAGGCCACAAGGACTGTAACACCTAGGCGAGTTCTTGTGCTGAACTGGGTCTAGAGTCACAGGACTGGGGGAGGCACGTGATCTGCTGAGATACTAGCCAGAGTAGCTAGAGGAGTGCTGGCATCACCCTCTCCCCTAATCGCAGGCTATACAGCTCACAGCTCCAAAAGAGACCCCTTCCTACCTCTTGATAGAAGAGGGAAGAGTGGGGAGGACTTTGTCTTGCATTCTGGATACCAGATCAGCCACAGTAAGATAGGGCACCAGTAAGAGCCATGGGGCTCCTCTTTCAGGTCCTAACTACTGGATGACTTTCCTAGACACAATCCTTGGCCAGAAGGGAATCCACTGCCTTGACGAGAAGAAACCAGTTCTAACAGCATTAATCACCTCCTAGCTAAAGAGCCCTTGCGCCCTGAATAACCAGCAGCAATACTAAGGTACTACATTGAGGGCTCAGGCAAGACTCAGACTTACTGGCTTCAGGTGAGACTCAGCACATTTCCAGCTGTGGTGGCTAAGGGGCAAAACCCCTACTGCTTGAGAAAAACAGAGGGAAAAATAAAGGGGACTTTGTTTTGCACCGTAAGCACCAGCTTGGCCACAGCGGGATAGAGCCGGGGTCCCCAGTTCTTGGGCCAAGGACCTGTACTAGAACCAGGCCACGCAACAGGAGGTGAGCAGCTGGTGAGTGAGCATTGCTGCCTGAGCTCTACCTCCTGTCATATCAGTGGTGGGATTTGATTTTCACTGAAGTGTGAACCCCGTTGTGAACTTCACATGCAAGGGATCCAGGTTATGTGCTCGTTATGAGAATCTAATGCCTGACGATCCCCCACCCCCACCAGTATGTGAAAAAATAATGTGTTCCATGAAACATCCCTAGTGCCAAAAAGGCTGGGGACCACTGGAGTAGAGCACCAAGTGGGCCTTTGGGGTCCCTGATTCTAGGGCTTAGTTCTTAGATGGCATTTCTGGACCTGCCCTGGACCAGAGAGGAGCCCAGTGCTCTCAAGCATGTAAGTCCCAGGCCAGAGAGCATTCACCACAAGCTGACTGAGGAGCCCTTGGGCCTTAAAGAAACATTGTTGGTAGGCTGGCAGTACTGCACATGGACCTGTGGTGGTGGAAGCCGCAGATGAGGCTCCTCTGCCTTTAGAAAAGGGAGGAAAGAATGGGAAAGACTGCATCTTGTGGCTTGAGTGCGAGCTCAGCTGCAGTACAATAGAACACCAGGTATACATCTAAAGTATTGTACTTGAATCTCTGGCTCCTGGATGGCACTCTAGACATGCCCCAGGGCCTGGGGGAGCTCATCACCCTGAAGTGAAGGACACAGGCCTGGCTGGCTTTGCCATCTGCTGATTGTAGAGCCACAGGGCCTTGAGCAAACATAGGCAGTAGCTAGGAAGTGGTTATTGCATGCCTTGGGCAAGACCCGGTGCTGTGCTGGGTTCAGGTCTAACCCAGCACAATCCTAGTGGTGGCCACAGGCGTGCTAGTATTAATCCACACCCAGCTTCAGGTGGCTCAAAACAAAGACAGAAACTCCATTTGCTTGGGAGAAAGTAAGGGAAGAGAACAAGACTCTCTGCCTGGTAATCCATAGAACTCACCTGCATCTTGTCCAAGACCATCAAGGTGGCACCTCAAGAGTCTGAAAGAATCAGTGTTACTAGGCTTGGGGTTTCCCCTAAAGCAGATATAGCTTATATCACAACACCCAAGTTCTTTCCAATATCCAGAAAGCCTTCTCAAGAAGGATGGAAACAAACAAGTCCAGACTGTGAAGACTAAAATAAACACCTAACCCTTCATTGCCCAGACACAGACAAATATGTACAAGTATTGACCATCCAGAAAAACATGGCCTCACCAAATTAAATAAATAAGGCATCAGAGACCAGTTATCAACAGAGATATGTGACCTTTCACACAGATAATTTAAAATAGCTGTTTTGAGAAAACTCAAATTCAAGATAACACAGAGAAGGAATTCAGAATTCTATCAGATAAAATGAAAAAAGAGATTGAAATAATTAAAAATAAACAAGCAGAAGTTCTGGAGCTGAAAAAATGCATTTGGTGTAATGAAGAAGCATCAGAGTCTTTTATTAGCAGAACTGAGCAGAAGAAGAAACCCTTAAAGATAAGCTATTTGAAAATACACAGTCTGAGGAGACAAAAGCAAAGAAGAATTAAAAAAAAATAAAGCATGCCTTCAGGATCTAGAAAATAGCTTCAAAATAGCAAATCTAAGAGTTATTGGCCTTAAAGAGGAGGTAGAAAAGAGAGGGGAGTAGAAAGTTTATTCAAAGGGATAACAACAGATGCCTTCCCAAACCTACAGACAGATATCATTATCTAAGTACAAGAAGGTTATATAACACCAAGCAGACTTAACCCAAAGAAGACTACCTCAACACATTTAATAATCAAACTCCTAAAAATAAAGGATAAAGAATCCTAAAAGCAGCAAGAGAAAAGGAACGAATAACACACAATAAAGCTCCAATACATCTATCAGTAGACATTGAAGTGGAAACCTTACAGGCCAGTTGAGAGTGGCAAGACATATTTAAAGTGCGGAAGGAAAAAGACTTTTATCCTAAAAAGCATATCCAGCAAAGAACACAAATGAGAAATACTTTCCCAGACAAACAAAATCTGAGGGATTTCATCATCACCTGATCTGTCCTAAAGGAATGCTAAAGGGAATACTTTGATCAGAAAGAGAAGGATGTTAATGAGCAATAAGTAATCACCTGAATGTACAAAAATCACTGGTAACAGTAGGTACTCAGAAAAACAGAATATTATAACCCTGTAACTGTGGTGTGTAAACTACTACCCTAAGTAGAAAGACTAAATGATGAACCAATAAAAAACAATAACTACAACAAATTTTCCAGACATGGACAGTATCATAAGATATAAATGGGAATAACAAAAAGTTAAAAAGTTGAGGGATGAAGTTAGGGCATACAGTTTTTATTGGTTTTCTTTTTGCTTGTTTATGCAAACAGGATTTAATTTTTATCAGCTTAAAATAGTGGTTTGTAAGATAGTATTTGCAAGCCTCTTTGTAACCTCAAACCAAAGAACATACAGTGAATACACAGAAAATAAAAAGCAGGAAACTAAATTATATTACTGGAGAAAATCACCTTTACTAATGGGAATACGAGAAGGAAAGCAAGAAGGGAGGGGGGACCACAAAACAATCAGAAAACCAATAACAAGTGGCAATAGTAAGTTCTTATCAATAATAATATTGAATGTAAATGGACTAAACTTTCCAATCAAAAGATATAGAATGGTTGACTTCATTAAAAAAACAAGATCATTGATCTGTTCTCTACAAGAAACACACCTCATCTATAAAAAACATACATAAACTGAAAGTAAATGGATGGAAGAAGATATTCCATGCCAATGGAAGCCAAAAAAGAGTTGGAGCAGCTATACTTTTATCAGATAAAATAGATTTTAAGACAAAAACTATAAGAAGATACAAAGAAGGTCACTATATAATGATAAAGGGGTCAATTCAGCAAGAGGATATAACAAATTTTAGTATATATGCACTCAACATGGGAGTACTCAGATATATAAAGCAAATATTATTAGAGCTAAAGAGAGACTCCAATACAGTAATATCTGAAGACTTCAACACCCTACTTTCAGCCCTGGACAGACCTTTGAGACAGAAAATCAAAGAAACATTGGACTCTATCTGTACTGTAAACCAAATGGTTCTAATAGATATTTACAGAACATTTCATCTAACAACTGCAGGATACACAGGTTTTTCCTCAGCCTAGGGATCATTCTTAAGGATAGACCATATGTTAGGTCACAGAATAATTTTTAAAATACTTTTAAAAACCCTGAGTAATATCAACCATGTTCTCTGACCAGCACAGAATAAAACTAGAAATCAGTAACAAGAAGAATGTTTGAAACTATGCAAATACAAGGAAATTAAATAATATGTTTCTGAATGACCTGTGGGTTAATAAAGAAATTAAGAAGGAAATTGAAAATTTTCTTGAAACAAACGACAATAGAAACACAACATTTCACCAATTACGGGATACAGCAAAAGCAGTACTCAGAGGGAAGTATATAGCTATAAATACTTACATCAAAAAAATTAGAAAAACTTCAAATAAAGAACCAGAAATGCATCCTCAACAACTAGAAAGCAAGCAGGAAAACAAACCCCAAAACAGTGGAATAAAGGAAATAATAAAGATCAGAGCAGAAATAAATGAAATTGAAATGAAGAAAACAATACAAAAATCACTGAAACAAAAAGTTGTTATTTTAAAGTTAAACAAAACTTACAAACTTTTAGCTAGACTAAATAAAAAAGAAAAAAATCCAAATAAAATCAGAGATGAAAAAAGAGACATTACAACTGATACTGCAGAAATTCAAAGGATGATTTGTGGCTACTATGAGCAACTATATGCCAATAATTTGGAAAATCTAGAAGAAATGGACAAATTCCTACACAGATATGACCTGCCCAGAGTGAACCATGAAGAAATTAAAAACCCAAACAGGCCAGTAACAAGTAACAAGATCAAAGACGTTATAAAAAGTCTCTTAGGAAAGAAAAGCTCAGCAACTAATGGCTTCACTGCTGAATTCTACCAAACACTTAAAGAGTAACTAATACCAATCCTACTCAAACTGCTCCAAAAAATAGAGGAGGAGGGATTACTTCCTAACTCATTCTACAAAGCCACTATTACCCTGATATCAAAACTAGACAAAGACACATTAAAAAAAATACAGGCCAATATCTCATGAATATTGATATAAATATCCTCAACAAAATACTAGCAAACCAAATTCAACGGTATGTGGAAAACATCATCATCACGATCAAGTGGGATTTGTCACTGGGATGCAAGAATAGTTCAACATATGCAAATCAATCAATATGATACCTCATATCAACAGAATGAAGGACAAAAACCAAATGATCCTTTGAATTGATGCTGAAAAAGCATTTGAAAAGTTAAACATTCCTCCATGATAAAACCCTTCAAACTAGGTACAGAACATAATAACATAATAAAAACCATGTGAAATAGACACACAGCTAGTACCATATTAAATGGGGAAAAACAAAAAGGCTTTACTCTAAGATCTGGGACATGATAAGGAACATGAAATAACACTTTCACCAATGTTATTTAACATAGTACTGGAAGTCCTAGCTAAAGCAATCAGACAAGTGAAAAATAAAGTGCATTCATATTGGGAAGGAAGAAATTAAGTTATCCATGTTTGCAGATATGATATTATATTTGAATAAACCTAAAGACTCCACCAAAAACTATTAGAATTGATTAACAAATTCAGCAAAGTAGGACAAAAAAATCAGTAGCATTTTTATATGCCAACTGTGAACAAGGTGAAAAAGAAAAAAAAAATCCTATTCACAACAGCCTCACCTAAAACTAAATACCTATGAATCAACCAAAGAAGTGAAAAATATCTATAATGAAAACTCTAAAATATTGATGAAAGAAATAGAAGAAAATTTCAAAAAATTGAAAGACATTCCATGCTCATGGATTAGATGAGTCAATATTATTAATTTTGTCCATACTCCCCAAAGCAATCTACAGATTCAATGCAATCCCTTTCAAAATACCAAAGATGTTCTTCAAAAAAGTAGAAAAAACAATTCTAAAATTCATATGAAATCACAAAGACTCAGAATAAACAAAGCTATTCTGAGCAAAAATAACAAAACTGGAGCAATCACATTACCTGACTTCAAATTATACTATGGAGTTGTAGTAACCAAACAGCATGGTACTGGCAACAAAACAGAACAAAAAAAAATCAAAAAGAGAGACACACAGGTGAATAGAATAGAGAACCCAGAAACAAATCCACACACCTACAGTAAACTTGTTTTCCATGAATGTGCCAATAACATGCACTGAGGAAAAGACAATGTCTTCAATAAATGGTGCTGGGAAAACTGGATACCCATATGCAGAAGAACAAAACTGGAACCCTATCTCTTGAAATATACAAAAATCAAATAAAAATTGATTAAAGACTTAAATCTAAGACCTAAAACTGTGAAACTACTGCAAGAAAACATTGGAGAAACTTCAGGACATTGGTCTGGGCAAAAATTTCTTGAGTAATACCCCACAAGCACAGGCAACCAATGCAAAAATGCACAAATGGGATCATATCAAGTTAAAAAACTTCTGTATAGCAAAGAAAACAACTGGCAAAGTGAAGAGGTAACCAACAGAGTGGCAGAAAATATTTGCAAACTACCCATCTGTATCAGTTCATTTTTGCATTGCTATAAAGAAATACCTAAGAATGGATGATTTACAAAGAAAAGAGATTTAATTGGCTCACAGTTCCACAGGATGTACAGAAAGCATGATGTTGGCTATCTGCTCAGCTTCTGGGGAAGCCTCAGGAAACTTACAATCATGGTAGAATGTGAAGGGGAAGCAAGCAAAGTGTTACATGGCTGGAGTAGGAGAGAGGGGGAGATGCCACACACTTTTAAACAATTAGATTTCATGAGAACCCCATTACAAGCTTTATTGGGATGGTGCTAAACCTTTAGAAACTGCCCCCATGGTCTGATCACCTCCCACCAGTCTCCACCTCCAGCACTGAGGATTACATTTCAACATGAGTGAGGACACAGATCAAAACCATACCACTCTGCTCCCAAGTCTCATGTTCATCTCACATTTAAAAATACAATCTTGCCTTCCCAACAGTTCCCCAAAGTCTTAACTCATTTCAGCATTAACTCAAAAGTCCACAGTCCAAAATCTCATCTGAGATAAGGCAAGTTCCTTTTGCCTATGAGCCTGTAAAATAATAATAATAATAACTACTTAGTTACTTTGAAGATACAATGAGGATACAGGCATTGAATAAATACTTGCATTTCAAAAGGAAAAAATTGACCAAAAGAAAAAGGCTACAGGCCCCATGCAAGTCCGAAACCCAGCAGGACAGTCATTAAATCTTAAAGCTCTGAAATAATCTCCTTTCACTCCCTGTTTTACATTTAGGCCACACTGATAAAAAGGGTGGGCTCACGAGGCCTTCAGCGTCTCTGCCCTGTGGCTTCTCTCAAGGGCTGGCTTTGAGTGCCTTCAGCTTTCCCAGGTGCACAGGGCAAGCTGTCCATGGATCTATCATTCCAGATTTTGTAGGACCATGGCCTTCTTCTCCCAGCTCCACTAAGCAGTGCCCCAGTGGGGGCTCTGTTGAAGCTCCAACCACACATTTTCCCACCGCACTTCCCTAGTAGAGGTTCTCTGTGAGCGCTCCACTCCTGCAGCAGGCTTCTGCATGGACATCCAGGATTTTCCATACATTCTTTGAAACCTAGGAGGCTCCCAGATCTCAACTCTTGCATTCTGCATACCCACAGGCTTAACACCACATGGAAGCCACCCCTCTGAAGGCAGCAGCCCAAGTTTTACCTAGCCTTTTTGAGCCACGGCTAGAGCTGGTCCATCTGGGATGCAGGAAGCTGTGTCCCAAGGCTGCATGAGACAGCACAGCCCTGGGCCTGACACAAAAGATCATGCTTCTCTCATACGCCTCTGGACCTGTGATTGGAGAGTCTACCTCAAAGGTCTCTGAAATGCCTTGAAGGCCTTTTCCCCATTGTCTTGACTATTAGTAATTGTTTCCTCTTTACTTATGCAAATTTCTGCAGCATACTTATATTCCTCCCCTGAAAATGGGCTTTTCTTTTCTACCACATGGACAGGAGAAAATTTTTCAAAATTTTATGGTTTGCTTTGTCTTTATAAGTTTCAGTTTTACATTATTTCCTTGCTTACACATGTGAGCATAGGCTGTTAAAAAACACCCAGGCCACATCTTAAACACTTTGTGCTTAGAAATTTCTTCCACCAGATTCCCTAAATCATGACTCTCAAGTTCAAAGTTCCACAGATCCCTAGAGTGGGGGCACAGGGCTGCCAGGTTTTTACTAACACATAACAAAAGTTACCTTTGCTCCAGTTCCCAATAATTTCCTTATTTTGAAACAACTAAAAGAATAAAAGTGGATTGTTTGTAATACAAAAGATAAATGCTTGAGGGGATGGATATTCTATTCTCCATGAGCTAATTATTAGGCATTGCCTGCCTGTATCAAAACATCTCATGTAATATATATGAATTTATTGATTTTTGTGGGTATTCGATTCTCTTTTTGCTTGAATGGATTCTGACAAGTCAGATATAATTCTTATTTTTGTTACTCCAAAGGTAAAATTTTTTTCCTTTAGCCTTCTTTAAAAAATGTTTTTCTTTATCTTTCATTTTCTGTAATTTGAAAGGGGTATAATGATAGGCCTAGGTGTAGTTGGTCTTTTTAGGTGGAGAGGCATTTATTTATTCTGCTTGGGGTTTTTTTTCTTTTTCAATGGAGTTTTGTTTTTGTAGCCCAGCCTGGAGTGCAGTGGCTTGATCTCGGCTCACTGTAACCTCTGCCCCCCAGGTTCAAGCAATTCTCCCACCTCAGCCTCACAAGTAGCTGGGATTACAGGCAACTGCCACCACGTCCAGCTAATTTTTGTATTTTTAGTAGAGACAGGGTTTTGCCATCTTGGCTAGGCTGGTCTCAAACTCCTGACCTCAGGTGATCCACCGCCTCATCCTCCCAAAGTGCTGGATTACAGGCGTGAGCCACTATGCCTGGCCTGCTTGGTGTTCTTGAGCTGTTTTGATCTATGTTTTGGAAAATGTTATTAATTTGAAAAAATTATCAGTCGTTGTTTTGATGTTTGTTTCTCTCTTTTTCTTCTGCTATTCCCCTTCACGTATGTTGCATTTTTCATAGATGTCCCAAAGTACTTTGATATCCTGAGGTTTTTCTTTTTTTTTTTTTTTTTTTTTTGCTTTTTAGTTTAGGTAGTATCTATTGGTATTTCATCAAGCTCAGATTTTTTTCCTCAGTTATATCCAGTCTACTGATAAGCCCATTTCTGTTATTGTGTTTTTGATCTCTAGTATTTCTTTTTGTTTCTTAGAATTTCCATCTCTATTCTTGTCTTTTTTTATTTCTTTTTCTGGAGAACGGGGTCTTGCTATATTGCCCAGGCAGGTCTCGAACTCCTGGGCTCAAGCTATCCTCCCACCTCTTGCCTCCCTGAGAGCTGGGATTACAGGCGTGAGCCACCGTGCCTGGCATAGAATTTCCATCTCTATTCTTATATTGCTCATCTTTTCTTGCATGCTGCCTACTTTATCCTTTAGAACCCTTAGCATATTAATAATAATTGTTCTAACTTCCCTGTCTGATAATTCCAACCTCCCTGCCATATTGAGTTCTGATGCTTGCTCTCTTTATACTGTGGTTTTTGCCTTTAGTATACCTTGTACTTTTTTCTTAATAGCTGGACATGATGTACTGGGTACCAGAAATAGCGGTAAATAGGCCATTAATAATTTGGTAGGTGTGAGGGGAAGAAATATTTTATAATCCTATGATTAGGTCTCAGTTTTTTTTCATAGGCCTATGACTCTGGACTAACTTCACAAGTGTTTCTCCGATTTGTTTCTCCCCTTTTAGATGAAACAGGACGGCTAGAGTGAGCTGGAATTGGGTACTTACTTTCCCCAAGGTCAGTTAGGTTCTGATAAAATGCTAGCAAGTTAGGCCCCTCTTTCTTTCTTTCTTTTTTTTTTTTTTGTGAGCAACATGGCTGTTTATTTCACCTGGGTGCAGGCGGGCCAAGTCCGAAAAGAGAGTCAGTGAAGGGAGATAAGGGTGGGCCGTTTTATAGGATTTGGGTAGGTAAAGGAAAATTACAGTCAAAGGGGGTTTGTTCTCTGGCGGGCAGGAGTGGGGGTCGCAAGGTGCTCAGTGGGGGAGCTTTTTGAGCCAGGATGAGCTAGGAAAAGGACTTTCACAAGGTAATGTCGTTACTTAAGGCAAGGACCGGCCATTTACACTTCTTTTGTGGTGGAATGTCATCAGTTAAGGTGGGGCAGGGCATATGCACTTCTTTTGTGATTCTTCAGTTACTTCAGGCCATCTGGGTGTATACGTGCAAGTCACAGGGGATGCGATGGCTTGGCTTGGGCTCAGAGGCCTGACATTCCTGACTTTTTATATTAATGAGAAAAATAAAATAGTGTTGAAGTGTTGAAGTGTTGGGGCGGCGAAAATTTTTGGGGGGTGGTATGGAGAGAGAATGGGCGATGTTTCTCAGGGCTGCTTCAGGCGGGATTAGGGGCGGCGTGGGAACCTAGAGTGGGAGAGATTAAGCTGAAGGGAGGTCTTGTGGTAAGGGGTGATATTGTGGGGATGTTAGAAGAAACATTTGCCGTATAGAATGATTGGTGACGGCCCGGATACGGTTTTGTATGAATTGAAAAACCAAATGGAATAACAGAAGGAGAAAAACAGGTATAAAAGGTCTAAGAATTGGGACAACTCAGGATATCTGATTAGAGAGTGCCTAAGGAGATTCAGCATAGTCCTGCCAGCAAAGATTATTTATTTACTTCAAGAGTTAAGAGTGGCAGTTTGGGGATAGCACCAGGAGATATCAGCTGTGATGGCTTGGAAAAACAGT
Source organism: Homo sapiens (assembly GCF_000001405.40). Classification (NCBI taxonomy): domain Eukaryota; kingdom Metazoa; phylum Chordata; class Mammalia; order Primates; family Hominidae; genus Homo; species Homo sapiens. The sequence continues at coordinate 153,535,430 of NC_000002.12, forward strand.
GTAAACCGGCAGTGTAAACAAGAGCAGGGCATGTATGAGTAGTTGAGAACGGTGAATAGGAGTATGACTAGACAGAAGATAGTAGGGATGACAAGTTTTTTTGGGGGCACAGTCTAAGTTGGTCTGGTGTCTGGAATGAGACTGGGGCCTAATAAAAAGGAGCATCTATATAGGAGCTTAAATGGGCTGTACCTTGTAGCATTCTGAGGACAGGTCTGACTTCTGAGAAGGGAAAGTGGTAAAAGTATTGTCCAGTCCTTTTTAAGTTGGTGGCTGAGCTTGGTGAGGTGTGTTTTTAAAAGACCTTTAGTCTATTCTACTTTTCTTGAAGACGGAGGACCATAAGGCATATAAAGGTTTCACTGAATACTAAGAGCCTGAAAAACTGCTTGGCTGATTTGACTAATAAAGGCTGGTCTGTTATCAGACTGTATTGAGGTGGGAAGGCTAAACTGAGGACTTAAGTCTCACAGAAGGGAAGAAATGACTGCAGTGGCCTTCTCAGACCCTTTAGGAAAGGACTCTACCTATCCAGTGAAAGTATCTACCTAGACTAAGAGGTATTTCAGTTATCTGACTCGGGGCATGTTGAGTAAAACTAATTTGCCAGCAAGTTAGGCCCCTCTTAGCAAAGTCTGCCCTTAGGAGAAACTTTTTAAGAATAGAGTACGCTGACATGTTTAAAAATAGTTCCTTTTCTCCTCCTCCTGCTGGAAGCATGAGGGTTTTCTTTTCTCTCCCATCTTTAGTGTGGGAATATGATCAAGCTCCAATGGTAAAACTAACAAAAGCATGAGGGCCTTGCATGACTGAGTTTCCCTGGAGTTTTTAACTTTGAGATTTATTCACACCTAGCCTCCAGCAATTTGTCAGTTCAGGTTTCTCTATCCCAGTGCTGGTTCTCACAAGGATTACTGCTTCAATGTGTTGTAATTCTCTGTATCTGCCTGCCTGTCTGTCCAATCTGGAGGAGGAGGGCATTCATTTTCCCTATTGCCTCATTTCTGTTACTGATGTAAGAAGTGATTTTGAGTTTTTTTTTTTAGTTTGTTTAACTTTTTACTTGTTAAGATGAAGTGATGACTTGTAAGCTCCTTACATGTGGAACCAGAAACCAGGAGAGAGATATCAAGTTTTAAACTGAACAAAACAGGTATATGCTTATCATTTTTATTTTTTACTATGAGAATCCTTTCCATTTTAATTTGCACTTAATTCATTCATTTAACTAATATTCATTAGCATATAATAGTGTAGAACTTTACATTGTGAAATAAATGATTTCTACTCTCAGGGTACTTACACTTTGGTGGGAAGACACATAAACCTGTAAATCAGAAATTTTAAAATAGTGTGCTAAAGGATTTTTGTCCAAAGACGTGTAATTATAAAAGTATGAAAATAAGATACAATTATTCTTGCAATAAAATACATTAAATTATGATAGAAATGTGTAATTAAAATAGAAATGAATGCATATTTATAAAATAGTATGATAAAGGCTTTGACAGTATTTGACACATAGTTATGTACATTTAGTTAAAAGCTAACTACATCTTACTGGGAAATCACTGCGAGAACTTCTTATTGGAGGTGAATATTGAGCTGCTTTTCAAAGGATTAGTAGGCTTTAGTAGACAAAGTAGGGGTGGAACAGTCCAGCAAGAAGATTCTGTGTGCCTGAATGCTCAAAGGTATGCTTTGCCTGCTGTATTCAAGGAGCCACAGGTAGTTCTCTCTGTAAACATGAGAGAGAGATATGAAGCTGCAGAGGCTGTATAGGACATGAAGATGAAAATTGAACTTGGCCTTGGAAGCTTTGGAGGCTAATTGCAGAAATTTAAAACAGGTTACAGTTGGGTTTTCCAAAGAGCATTCTGGCAGAGACAAGCTCTTTTTAAGGCTGTGTCAACCACCAGGCAAGAGCTTGAACTAAGGTTGTAGCTGTCAGAAAGGGCAAAAGAAGAGGGCTCCAAGATGTTTATAAGTATAGATTCTTTGTGAGGGAGGAGTGCATCCTCTGTCTTGGGTGGCTGATAAATGCTGTTGTCATTTCCTAAGTTGGAGAAAACATCAAGACTGTGTTGGGACTCAGAAAGTACTACAAATTAAGGCCTCTGAAGCAAAAGCTTTTCTGTGACTTGTATGGTTTGGCTGTGTCTCCACCCAAATCTCATCCTGAATTGTAGTTCTCATAATCCCTAAGTGCTGTGGGAGGGACTTGGTGGGAAGGGATTCGCTTGTGGGGGCAGCTCCCCCATGCTGTTCTTGTGATAGCGAGTGGATTCTCACGAGATCTGATGGTTTTATAAGGCGATTTTCCCCCTTCACTCAGAACTTCTCCTTCCTGCTGCCATGTGAAGAAGACATGTTTGCTTACCCTTCTGCCATGATTGTATGTTTCCTGAGGCCTCCTCAGCCCTGCTGACCTGTGAGTTAGTTAAATCTCTTTCTTTTAAAAATTACCCAGTCTCAGGCAGTTCTTTATAGCAGCATGTGAATGGACTAATATACTACATTGGTACCAGAAGTGGATTGCTGTTATAAAGGTAGCTGAAAATGTGGAAGCAACTTTGGAACTGGGTAACAGGCAGAGGTTGGAACAGTTTGGGGGACTCAGAAGAAATGTGGGAAAGTTTGGAACTCCCTGGAGACTTGTTGAATGGTTTTGATGAAGATGCTGAGAGTGATCTAGACAATGAAGTCCAGGCTGAGGTGGTCTCAGATGGAGATGAGAAACTTTTTGGGAATTGGAATAAAGGTGACTCTTGCTATGCTTTAGCAAAGAGATTGCTGGCATTTTTCCCCTGCCCTAGAGATCTGTGGAACTTTGAACTTGGGAAAGATTATTTAGGGTATCAGGTAGAAGAAATTTCTTTTCTTTTTTTTTTTAATTCTTTTTTTTTTTTTTTTTACTTTTTTATTTATTTTTATTTTATTTATTTTATTTTATTTTATTTTATTTTATTTTATTATTATACTTTAAGTTTTAGGGTACATGTGCACATTGTGCAGGTTAGTTACATATGTATACATGTGCCATGCTGGTGCGCTGCACCCACTAACTCATCATCTAGCATTAGGTATATCTCCCAATGCTATCCCTCCCCCCTCCCCCCACCCCACAACAGTCCCCAGAGTGTGATATTCCCCTTCCTGTGTCCATGTGATCTCATTGTTCAATTCCCACCTATGAGTGAGAATATGCAGTGTTTGGTTTTTTGTTCTTGCGATAGTTTACTGAGAATGATGATTTCCAATTTCATCCATGTCCCTACAAAGGACATGAACTCATCATTTTTTATGGCTGCATAGTATTCCATGGTGTATATGTGCCACATTTTCTTAATCCAGTCTATCATTGTTGGACATTTGGGTTGGTTCCAAGTCTTTGCTATTGTGAATAATGCCGCAATAAACATACGTGTGCATGTGTCTTTATAGCAGCATGATTTATAGTCCTTTGGGTATATACCCAGTAATGGGATGGCTGGGTCAAATGGTATTTCTAGTTCTAGATCCCTGAGGAATCGCCACACTGACTTCCACAATGGTTGAACTAGTTTACAGTCCCACCAACAGTGTAAAAGTGTTCCTATTTCTCCACATCCTCTCCAGCACCTGTTGTTTCCTGACTTTTTAATGATTGCCATTCTAACTGGTGTGAGATGGTATCTCATTGTGGTTTTGATTTGCATTTCTCTGATGGCCAGTGATGATGAGCATTTTTCCATGTGTTTTTTGGCTGCATAAATATCTTCTTTTGAGAAGTGTCTGTTCATGTCCTTTGCCCAGTTTCTGATGGGGTTGTTTGTTTTTTTCTTGTAAATTTGTTTGAGTTCATTGTAGATTCTGGACATTAGCCCTTTGTCAGATGAGTAGGTTGCGAAAATTTTCTCCCATTCTGTAGGTTGCCTGTTCACTCTGATGGTAGTTTCTTTTGCTGTGCAGAAGCTCTTTAGTTTAATTAGATCCCATTTGTCAACTTTGTCTTTTGTTGCTATTGCTTTTGGTGTTTTAGACATGAAGTCCTTGCCCATGCCTATGTCCTCAATGGTAATGCCTAGGTTTTCTTCTAGGGTGTTTATGGTTTTAGGTCTAACGTTTAAGTCTTTAATCCATCTTGAATTGATTTTTGTATAAAGTGTAAGGAAGGGATCCAGTTTCAGCTTTCTACATATGGCTAGCCAGTTTTCCCAGCACCATTTATTAAATAGGGAATCCTTTCCCCATTGCTTGTTTTTCTCAGGTTTGTCAAAGATCAGATAGTTGTAGATATGCGGCGTTATTTCTGAGGGCTCTGTTCTATTCCATTGATCTGTATCTCTGTTTTGGTACCAGTACCATGCTGTTTTGGTTACTGTAGCCTTGTAGTATAGTTTGAAGTCAGGTAGTGTGATGCCTCCAGCTTTGTTCTTTTGGCTTAGGATTGTCAGGCAGAAGAAATTTCTAAGCAGCAAAGCATTTAAGAGGTGACCGAGCATAAAAGTTTGGAAAATGTGCAGCCTGACAATATGGTAGAAAAGAAAAACCCATTTTCTGGGGAGAAATTCAAGCCAGCTGCAGAAACGTGCACAAGTAATGAGGAGCCAAATGTTAATTGCCAAGACAATGTGGAAAATGTCTCCAGGATATGTCAGGGACCTTTATGGCAGCCTCTCCCATCAGAGGCCTGAAGGCCTACGAGGAATAAATCGGTTCTGTGGGCCTGGTCCAGGGCCCCCCTGCTGTGTGCAGCCTAGAGACTTGGTGTCCTGCATTCTGGCCACTTCAGCCATGTCTAAAAGGGGCCAAGGTACAGCTCAGTCCATGGCTTCAGAGGGTACAAGTCCCAAGCCTTGGCAGCTTCCATATGGTATTGGTCCTGCAGGTGCATAGAAGACAAGAGTTGATGTTTGGAAACCTCTGCCTAGAATTCAGAGGATGTATGGAAACATCTGGATGTCCAGGCAGAAGTTTGCTGCAGGGGTGAAGTCCTCATGGAGAACCTCTACTAGGGCAATGAAGAGGGGAAATGTGGGGTTGGAGCTCCCACACAGAGTCCCCACTGGGGCACTGCCTAGCAGAGCTGTGAGGAGAGGGCCACCATCCTCCAGACCCCAGAGTGGTAAATCCACTGACAGCTTGCACTATGTACCTGGAACAGCCACAGGTACTAAACAGCAGCCAATGAAAGCAGCCCCCGGGCCTGTATCCTACTGAGCCGCAGGGGCAGAACTGCCCAAGTCCATGGGAGCCCACCTCCTGCAACAGTGTGACCTGGATGTGAGACATGGAATCAAAGCAGATTTTGAAGCTTTAAGATTTAATGACTGCCCCGCTGGGTTTCAAACTTGCATGAGGCCTTTGGTTCTTTTGTTGTGACCAATTTCTCCCATTTGGAATGTGTGTATTTACCCAATATCTGTACCCCCATTGTATCTAGAAAGTAAGTAACTTGCTTTCTATTTTACAGGCTTATAGGCAGAAGGGACTTGCCTTGTCTCAGATGAGACTTTGGACTTGGACTTTTGGCTTAATGTTGGTATGAGCTAAGACTTTGGGGGACTGTTGGAAAGGCATGATTTTGTTTTGAAATGTGAGGACATGAGATTTGAGAGGGGCCAGGGGTGGAATGATATGGTTTGGCTGTGTCCCTGCCCAAATCTTATCTTGAATTGTAGCTCCTATAATCCCCAGGTGTTGTGGGAGGGACCCAGTGGGAGGTGATTAGATCATAGGTGTTGTTCCCCCACCCTGTTATCATGATAGAGAGTGAATTCTCATGAGATCTGATGGTTGTATAAGGGGCTTTTCCCTCCTTTGCTCTGCACTTCTCCTTCCTGCCACCATGTGAAGGAAGGATGTGTTTGCTTCCTCTTCTGCCATGATTGTAAGTTTCCTGAGGCTTCCCTAATCCTGCTGACCTGTGAGTCAATCAAATCTCTTTCCTTTATAAATTACCGAGTCTCAGACAGTTCTTTATAGCAGGGTGAGAATGGACTAATCGACTGACTTTCTCTTGCCCTCCTGTCTCTCATTTCTCTTCTTTCTCAAGGCACCATAGAAACTAGAATCCTTCTTCTCCAGTGTGGGTCATAGAAACCAGAACACCTTTCCCCAAAGCCAGTCATAAAACCTACAATTATTACTCTAACCTTCTCCCCTGCGTTTCTGTGTAAAAACTGGTCATAAATAAATTATCTGATCTACCTTGTTTGATTGTAGGCCATAAGACCTTCATTCCAGAGGGTGTCCTGGCTTAACCTCAGAAAGGAGGGGAATACATGCTTAGAGAAAACAGGAAGAATCTAGCTGGACAGGGCTTGCTTGGTTTCCCCACTCAGTTATTAGCATTAGCTTTTTTGTTCAACGTATTTCTATACAGTTGCCCATAGTTTGTTGAACATAAGCATAAAAATGGACAATTTCCCCTGTATCTTTGGGCCTTCATTCTGAAAGCTCTTGTGTTATATGAAACTATGATCAAATACATTTCTATGCCTTTTCTCCTATCCATCTGCCTCTAGTCAGTAATTTTTAAATGAACCTTCAAAGGGTGAAGGGGATATTTTCTCTTGGCCCTGACAAGTTGCAAACGAATACTAGAGCTGAACAGTAATTAAAGGCCGGGTACAGTGGCTCACCCCTGTAAACCCAGCATTTTGGGAGGCTGAGGCGGGTGGAACACCTGATGTCAGGAGTTCAAGACCAGTCTGGCCAACATGTTGAAACCCCATCTCTACTAAAAATACAAAAAAATTAGCCAGTCGTGGTGGCACAGGTCTGTAATCCCAGCTACTTGGGAGGCTGAGGCAGGAGAATCACTTGAACCCAGGAGGTGGAGGTTGCAGTGAGCTGAGATCATGCCATTGCACTCCAACCTGGGCAATAAGAGCAAAACTCCATCTCAAAAAACAAACAAACAAACAAACAAACACACACACACACAAAAAAAAAACCGGAAGTAGAAGCACATTTTATTCAGGACTATTGCAATAGGAGAAAAGAGATTTAAGTATAGAATGGGTCTCAGTTCTGAATACAGCTTGAGCAACTAGGAATTTATAGCAAGGGGCCAAGTTGGGGATCAGTAGATGGAAAATTATGAAGAGGAAACATCAGGGGTAAGGAATATTTTGATTAAACTGAACTAACAGGATTCTTGCTGAAGACAGGCCAGGGTGATCAGACATCACTTGAGGGATGGTAGAGGATGAAGAACCCAACTAGCTATTGAGGGTGATCAGATATGAAGGATGGGGGATTCTGGCTAAACAACCCTATCAAGGTTTTTGTTGAAAACTGAAACTTGCAAGAAGTTGCATAGCTAGGCCTAGGAGAAGTTTCAGGAATCTGACAAAAGTTTGGTCAAGCAAAGAATCTTTGTCAAGACCAACAGATTTGGTGAGCATGAATTCGACTTCTACCCCATTGCTTGTGGAGGCAGTCATATATATTTTATATATGCTATATCTCATCAATAAAAGTACACATCTAATAAAATTTTGAGCATGTAACCAACTTTACATGTATTTATAATGACTTATATGATTTTGTGTGCAATGCATATTATAAATAGAAATTTTAAAAGGCTGAGATAAAAATATATCTGTAAATAGAAGTTTTGATAATTTCTTTCCACGCCCCATTGATTGCCTTGGAAGCTGCAATTTGGAAGCCTCTGCTTTAAAACAAGTTTGTAGATGAGGTTGCCCAGAAATAATCTGTTGAGTGGAAATACTATAAGGTTGGAGGTGAATGCTTGGCAATACCCATATATAAGATTGGTTGAACAGTTGAACAGAGGAAATGGAGACCACAAAGGAGACTGAGAAGGAATGGCCAGAGAAGAATCATCTCACAGAAGCTGAAGGAAGACAATAATTCTTGTGTTTATTGTACCTGCCTACATCTTACTGTTGAGTGCATGCCCTGTGACCAGCCCATTTAGAAGAGCTAGAGACTCAGTGAAAAATAAGATGCTATCTTTCTCTAGAAGTAGCAAAAATAAATTTATAATTATATTACAAGGTCATAAACCTTTATTAAAGCATTTGTGATCTTGTAATGTAAATTATATAAATTGATAATTATACATAAGAACACATTCTGCATTCTTAATGGAGTGTGTGTTTATACATGTTAGGGAGATGGAATGCTTCAGAAAGTTTCTCAGAAGAGGTGGTGGCTGAACTGAGCCTTTTTTTCTTGGTTGAGCAGGAGTTAGGTAGAGAAAGCTTAAGAAAACTCAATAAATGCCTGTGACTCAGATCTTCTGGGAAAACAAAATTGTCAAAACAGTACAAGAAACCGTCTTCCTGCTATAGGTCACCTTACGAATACATGCAACTACTGACTCATTTATATTCCTGAGGGGTATTACATTATTGCAAATTGTTACTGATAACAGTACTCACATTTAAATGAGAACTTTTAAATACCTTTCTCTATTTATAGCAGGAAAGTAGTTCCCCACTTCTGCTCCCTGGAGGCGTTCATTAGAAGTGTAATGAAGCAGGCAAACAGGTGCTTTTTATGTGCCGTTTATAAAGGGCTGCAGCAGTGCTCCTACCATCCCTTCAGATTCCAACTGGGAGCACACGTCATCAGCTGAGCTAATAGCTCACAGCAGGGACCTTTCCTGTGCTCCACATAAATATTCAGAGTTTTATCTTCCTCTGCCTGGTGATCGATCATCAGCACAACGTACAGAGAAAGATGGAAAAAATAAATACAGAAATGTATGATTTCTGGGTCATAAATCCAAATAAGTTTTGGCATAGTAAGATTTAAGAAATAAACACTGAATATACGGTTGCTGCATGAGTTATAAAACCTCTGCTGATTGTTATTATTAACAATTTCCCTAAATCCTCAATATCCAAGGAAAAATAATTCTATCCAGTGGCCATAACTTTCTTCCGTTGCTTCTTGATCTCTCCTTGCTAACAACTCATGTCTGTGGGAACTGGTAACATTTACAACCATTCTTAACAGGTTGATCATAATACAAGCATTGCATGATGTCTTTGTTCCTTTCACTTGTCAGGAATTTAATGTTTTAATTACTTGAATACTTGAACACATGTCAATTTGGTATATTATTTCCTTCTATCATCCACAAAGTGGAGAATCAATTTAATTCTTAAAAGATCACTTACAAAATGATCTGAATGAGGCAAATTGAGGAAAACTAAGAAAAATTTTTGTCCAATTTAGGTAGGAACCCATGATTCAGGTAAGATTTCTCTATTTATTTAGAATTGACTTGGAAAACTATTTTTAACAATTTCTAATATGATACAAGAATACAGTGTTCTGTAGCTGAGAACTCAATGTTTTAATCATGGTAGAGATTATATAATACTGAAGTATGTAGTTATTTTTAAATGGTCAGCAATTGTTACCTCTTTGCAGAAAAGGAATGGAATCTTAAGTTAACAAAATCGGTTATAATCATTTTAAGTATGGTAAAATAAAGCCATGACAGATAGAATGCAAACATTGAGGGATATCCTCTTCCAACAGCTTAAGAGCAAACATTCGTAAGGGAGGGGTAGAAATGAAAAGAGGTCTTGGAGTTGGATCAATGTTCTCTGAATAAGGACTAGTAGTGAGTGAAATAGCATAAAATCAGATTATAATTTTTCTCCTAATTTTAGGATTATGATTTGGCTTTGAGTAGCAAAGACTCAGAAAAAAAAAAGGAGCGCTTAACCCAGTTAGATGTCTGTGTCTCTTTCTCTTAAGTCTGGTGGTGGCAGTCCACAGCCGGTGAGGTGAAAACTTAATTTGTTAAGCTCCTGCTCAGCCATTTCTGAGATATGGCCCTTCTTCTCAAGGTTCAAGATAACAATATCTGGAGCTCCAGATTTTACTTCCGTGTTCTCCATAGCAGAAGGAAAGAGCAAGGAGAATGAGGCAGAGGATGTGTACTGCTGCCACACATGTTGATTCCATGTACACATCTTAGCCACGACTCAGTCACACAGCATACTCAGTTGCAAGACTGTTGGAGAAAATGCCTGCTTTGTCTTGGTCCACAGCTAAAAGTTGAGAGTTCTATTGTTATTAAACAAGAGGAGAATGGATATTGGAGGGCAAGCAGCAGTCTGTACCCTGGCTGCTTCTACAGAAGGGATGTGTTAAGTAAGCAGGTCTAGGATGTATGCAGTATGCAAGGCCCAGCAGCCCGAGGGATAGATTCTAGGCTATCAACTTTCCTACCACTTGGTACTCTGGACCCCACTTGGCCACAGGGGTCACCTTGACCCCAGAGAGAGTGTGGGTATAGCAAGGGTTGAGGTTATGCCCCAATATCTAGGGAGAGAGTCATAGTGGGATCTGTCCCAACTCTGGTCTGGCCACACTACAGAAGTCTCTTACCCACCCCCAATCCAGGCACCCAACATGGAGGTTGCAATGCCCCTGGCAAGAGGATATGCCTAGCTCAACTTTTCTGCCCTGGTCAGGGCAAAGTACGTGGATCCAGTGGCTGACAGGAAATGGAACCCAGCTGTAGTCAGGTTCCAGAGCCCTGTAATGTGGGGAGGGCCCTCACCAGCCCTGTGGTTCGGCACATGCCCTCTGAGTATTCCAAGCTGACCTTGGAAGATACTCTCTTCCTCATTCCCACCATCCTGAATCTGGCTATGTTTTTCTCTTCTGGCCAGCTCCTTGCACCCTCAGGAGATAAGCCACAAAATACATAATCTCAATTTTTCAGTGATTCCTAATAAGATCTGAAAATTGCATTTAAAACTGGCATTTCATCAAATAAAGACAAATGATAGTATTCTCGCCAATTTAAAATTGATAAGTAATTATTTGCTTAGAATGAAATTAAATGGAAAACATTAAAACGCTGTGACAAGTTGGAAGAATGATTGAAGAAGAGAGGAAAAAACTTTGTATTTCTGTACTTTTAAAATCATTTTCATCCCCTGGATTCTGAAAAAAGCCTCACATTTTCATTTTGCACTGACTGGGCCCTGCAAATTATGTAGCTGATCTTGTAGGTGTTTTCCTACTGAAATATGAGCATATATTGTATTTGAGACATTGGAGGCAAGTTTGTAAAATTTTATGAAAGGATTAGTTAGAACATCTACCCTTTGTGTGTCCAAGTGTGCCCCGCTTCTTGTCAGGTGTCAGACAAGATTAGATGCTCTACTTCACCTCATTATCTACTTAGTCACTGTCCACAGCCAAGTACGATATCAAGTACAATATTAATGCCAATAAGACTGTGTGCACATCAAGTTTTGTGTTAGCATTAGATGCAAAATACCTTGTCAATAAATCTGTGTGTATATTGCCTCAATAACCACAATGTAATTTTCAGCATGTCTGATACAGATTTATATACTTTTGTTGTATTAAAGAAGTACTGAAGGTCTTCTGTGTTTTCCTAAGTCTTTTTGAATAATTGCCCCCTTTCCTACCTCTGTCTAATTCTGACAATTCCTCTCTATATAAATAGAAAACAATTTCTATTCTGAGAGATGAGATTATATAAATGAATTTATTCTTTGTTTTCCTCTGGCTATGGCCCACCTACTCTGAGTTCTATTTATAAAGCTAGCTTGGCATGTAATTTGGTTGCCTAATGGAATGGAGGTGAATAACAAGTGGTTCCACTGTAAAATAATCATGTACAAGATGGATGAAGTAGAATGTTTGGTTTCAAGAATTTCCTGCACTATTAGTCCTTTGAAAAATACATCTTAACTTTTCTCAATGCATATTTTGTCACCATTGTACTGCATATTTTCAGTTCTTACAAAATGCACCCATGTGCTAGGCCCAAACCGATGTTTCCAGACTATTGTTTTCTAATAAAACAACTGAGAAGATACCTTTTTAGCCACAAACACAGCTCCTTCAAGGTTGTACTATGTCGAAATACTCTGTGATAAGATGGTATTCTAAGGAGTTACTGCTGATGTATAACACAATATTACTTCTATTTTCATTGAAGATAAATTCATCAGTGCCACAGCAAACCAGCCATTAGCATTCATACTACAGGTAAAATCCAAGGCTGAGAAATTGGAAGAGAAATCAGTAAAGATGAAATTTTATTCATTTTCATAAGCCACAGGTAGAGTCTTAATATATAAAATAATTTTCTCATTCAATAAAATTAATGACAGTTTATTATGTACTGATCTAGATAGTGAGGATATACCAGTGACAATGTCAAAAATTCCCACCCTCTTGGAGCTTATGTTCTCATGAATAGGTAAGAACACATGTAATGAGTTAAGTAAGTTTAGAAATTATATAGAGTAGATCTTGTTTTCTTTTTCATGAATTAGATTATGAGGATGTTATTTGCAAATATTACTGGGCAAGATAAGATAGTGTTAAGGAACTTGGGCTCTGAAATTAGGCAAACTGGGGTTTGACTCCTGGCTTTTACTCTTAAAAGCACTTACTCTTGACTTTTGGCAAATAGCTTGAGTTTTGAGCCCTGGTTTTGATATCCATAAGTGGGGCAAAAAGTACTTGATTGCTGTAAAAATGGAAAGAGATAATGCTTGGAAAGCACTTGGCATAGTTCCTGAAATGTAGTTGACATCCAATAATTGCTTTCTGTGTATTATTGGTAATAATATTATTTAATGTCCATATTCTCACAGGAAGATTTTGATTAAATGTCTGAGCCTCCAGCTTTAAATTCTGTAACAGCTCGATGAATTAAGTTTGCTATATGGCATTGCCTTTCAAATTTTTCTGTGCACAAAAGTCCTTGGGGAACTTGTTAAAATGCAAGTTCTTATTCAGTAGATCTGGAGTGGGGCCTGACACCCTGCATTTCTAAGAAGCTCACAGGTGATGCCAGCAATGTTGATCTGCTCCGTGGATCATAATAAAACACCATGCTTTGACAATAGTAAGCAAAATAGTAAGACTTGCCACTACAGGCCAATATTAAGCAAAATGTGTGTCTCCAAACAATAGGGGATGTCAGTTATCTCAACTGATGAGGTATATTAATAAACCAAAAGATATTAAGGGAAATGCTTCGTTTATTGTCAAATATACTTAACGTGAGTAGTAGAGTGTGCAGAGCTTTGAGAGACACCCGAACAGGAGCCACTGTCTTCTGGCTTTTGCTTCCAGTGAATCTTTCTGACCTAACTACCTTAGACTACAGTGATGACTTTAAGCTTTTTGGTATAAAGGCCCCTGACACTTTTCATCTGACCTATGCTACCAGAAACATATACCAAAATTGACTTATTCCAGTCTCTTTATCTGAGTGTATAAAACACATGGTATGGTTCAGTCAGACATGCACATCATGAGAAATCCTGGGTATAATAGTATATCAAGACTCAGCAATCCCACTTCCAAGTGTATACCCATGACAACTGAAAACATATGCTCACGTGAAAACTTGTACACAAATGTTCATAACAGCATGATTCATAACACTCCCGAAGTGGAAATAACCCAAATGTTGATTGAGCAGATTAAAAATTTGGTGTAGTCATACAGTGAAACATTATTCACAGAAATAAAGTACTTATACATGTTATAATATGAACGACCTTTGAAAACATTATGCCAAGTAAAAGAAGCCAGACACAAGAGGCTACATAGTATACGACTTAATTTCTATAAAATGTCCAGAAAAGGGAAATCCATAGAGACACAAAATAGATTAGCGGTTGCCAGGGGTTAAGGAAAGAGGGGAATATGGAGTGACTGATGATGGGTAGGGGTTTCTTTTTGGGGTGATAATGTTCTAAAATTAGATAGTAATGATGTTTGCACAATCACGTGAACATACTAAAAACCACTGAACTGCACACGTTAAAATGGGAATTTCAAAACAAAAGTATATCAAGTGCTCAATGCTTCCGTAGCTTTCAATCTTTACACAAAATACTTGAGAACAGTAAAGTTCCCGTATTATTTAACTGTTTTTTTAAGGAATGCAGTTTTAAAGGATAGGTCAACGGTAGACTGAAATAGAAATAAATTATTTGTGATTCCTCACCTCAAGAGGTAGAGCTTATTTCCTTTCTCCTTGAAACTGAGATGGCCTCATGACTTGCTTTGACCCACAGAATGTGGTAGATTGGATGTGTGAGAGCTCCAAGAGAAATTGTGGCTTGCATTCTCACTTTCTTAGAAAACTGTAGCCATATGATCAAGCATGGTAAGAGGGACCATGGGGGAGTCTCAGCTTCCCTAACCCTCACAGTGTCAGAGGCCAAATACAAGAATGGGCTTAGCAACAAGCTTTTCATGCAGAGCCTAGTATAAATTGCCTACCCATGGGCTCCTGAGAAAATAAATGATTCTATTAAATGACTAAGTTCTGTGGTTGTTGGTTACATAGTAAGGTCCTATTTAGTGGACTAGATGCCATTTCTTAGTGGGATTTTGCTGATGACCATATTAAAAACAAGAAAAAGTAAAATATCTGGCAGCGTCTGACCAGAACTTTCTTCTTGTCTTCTTTATATCCTCCTTTTCATTTCCATCCTTGGTTTTTTGAAGATCTTTCTAGCTTGGTTGTCTTCTGAATTAATAAAAGCCTGACCTCTAAGCTACCGTAGCAATAGCTAAGAGATTTCATGGGATAGGTCCAAATGCACACCTGATCTTGTGCCAAAGAGGAAGATATTGACTGAAAGACATGGAGGTCATTCCTTTCTGCTCCCTGTTTCCTAGAATACCATTTAAGAGCCTGGCTTCACAAGATGGCAGCTATCTAGCAGCAAAGAGATTTCTTATTCTATTATCTGTGTTATTTCCATACATATTTGCATGTTGACATGTAAAAACAATCTTGG